>NC_000002.12:236580527-236883557 GCF_000001405.40 Homo sapiens | reverse complement strand
AAAATATGCCTCAAAAATATTGCATTAGTACACAAATAACGGCAGTATTTGCCAAAACAAAGCCTAGCCATATATATATATATATATATATATATATATATATATATATATATATTTTTTTTTTTTTTTTTTGAGAAAGAGTTTTGCTCTGTTACGCAGGCTCGAGTGCAGTGGTGTGATCCCAGCCCATTGAAACCTCCGCCTCCTGGGTTCAGGTGATTCTCCTGACTCAGCCTCCTTAGTGGATGGGATTACAGGCACATGCCACCATGCCCAGCTAATTTTTATATTTTTAGTAGAGACAGTGTTTAACCATGTTGGCGAGGCTGGTCTCAAACGCCTGACCTCAAGTGATTCACCTGCCTCAGCCTCCCAAAGTGCTAGGATTATAGGCGTGAGTCACCATGTCTGGCCACCTAGCAGTGTTTTTTGTTGTTGTTGTTTTTGCGACAGAGTCTCACTCTGTCACCCAGGCTTGAGTGTAGTGGTGCAATCTTAAGCTCACTGCAACCTCCACCTCCCCAGTTCAAGCGACTCACCTGCCTCAGCCTCCCAAGTTGCTCGGATTGCAGGCCCACTTGGCAGTCTTTAAAAAACTTTCAGCACTAAAAAAATTGACGTTTGGTATCTGATTAAAAATTACCAGACACATTAAGAAATAGGAAGATATAACACATACAAGGAGCACTCTTAGTCAATAAAAACAGAACTAGATATGATTAACCTGGCAAAATTAACAAAAAGGGCCGTTAAAATAGCTATTATAAATATACTTACCATGTTCAGTGATTGAAGGGAAAACATTTATATAATGAGGACAGAAATAAAAGATACAAAAATATAAGCCTTTCAGAGATAAATATCTCTAAAATATAAACTTTCACGGATTTGGGCTAAAATAATATTAGAGACTGTAAAAGACCAGTGTACATAAAGACATGGCAACAGAAACTGTCCAAAATAAAGCATACCGAGAAAAAACAATGAAAAATAATGACCAGATTCTGAGAGACCTGTTAGATAACATCGAGCCACCTAAGATATGTGTCAGAAAAAGAAAGAAGAGAGGAGTGGGAAATTATATTTGAAAAAACACCAGAATTATTTAATATTTGATAACTACAATTCATAGATCCAAGTAGACCAATAAGCCCTAATCTGCATAAATACACACATGCAAAAACCACCACGGGACATCATAATAAGACTGCTAAAAACTAGTGATAAAGAGAAAATCTTAAAAGTAGCCAGAGGCAAAAAGGCACATTACAAACAAAAGAACAGACATTTTGCCAGAAACTATGTAAGCCAGAAGACAATTGAATTACATTCTTAAAGCACTGGAAGAGGACAACCTGTCGATTTAGAATTTTACAGATTTTATCCTAAAGATTTATCAGTCAAACAATAAAAGATAATTTATGATGCACATACCTTCACCACAAGAAATGTTAAAGGAAAATTTCCAGGCAGAAGAATGATAATTTCAAATGGGAACTTGCATCCATATAAGAAGAGCATGAAAAATATGTGCAAAATAGGAAACTGGGGGTTTCTCTAGTTTTAATTTTTTTTTTTTTACCAACAGTTGAACATTTAAAGCAAAAGTGATAATATTGTTTTGTTGGTTTATAATATATGTAGCTATAAAATATATGACAACAACAGCAAGAAGATGGAAAGTTGGATATAAAGTATTTACATTATATTTAAATGATACATTATTTGAAGGTAGACTGTGAGATGTTAGAAATACATATTTTAAACACTAGAGCAATCAAAAAAAGCAAAGTCGCAAATAAATAATATAATAAATAATAAAATAGTGAATGCAAAAGGAAATCACAAAAAAATTCAGAATTAATTTTAAAAGGCAAGCAAAAAAAAAAGCAACACATATCAGATTAACAAATAGAAAACAAATAGAAATATGGTACGCTTAAACCCAAACATATCAATAAGTACGTTGAATGTAAATTACCTAAACCTTCATTATCTCATCTGCTGGTCACTAACCACATGTGATTATTTAAGTTTACATTAATTAGTTAAAATTAAAAAGGAAAATTCAGTCCTCAGGCAAACTGGAAACATCTCCAGTGCTCAACAACCTCATGTGGTTAGTGACTCTCAGCCTGGACAGTGTAGACAGAGAACATTTCCATCATCACAAAAAGTTCTATTAGACAGTGCTGATCTAAACATATCAACTAAAAAACAGAGATTTTCAGATATTGGATAACAAAACAAGACTCAGGTATATGCTACCTACAAAAAAAAAAAAAGAAAAAGAGAGATAGAGAAAGGAAAAAAGAAAAAGGGGCAGCTTTAAATGCAAAAATACAAAGACACAGACAGGTTAGTGGAGAAGTCAGAACAGAACAACAAATAGTACCAGAGATAAAAGAGGCCAATTCATAATGATAAAGAGCTTACTTAATCAGGATGACATACAATACTAAATGTACAAGTACCTGTTTGGTACCTGTCAGGTTGGTGTAAAAGTAATTGCCGTTTTTGCCATTACTTTTTTTTTTTTTTTTTTTTTTGAGGTGGAGTCTCTGTCACCCAGGCTGGAGTGCAGTGGCGCAATCTCAGCTCACTGCAAGCTCCACCTCCCGGGTTCACGCCCTTCTCCTGCCTCAGCCTCCCAAGTAGCTGGGACTACAGGCGCCCGCCACCACGGGGTTTCACCATGTTGGCCAGGCTGGTCCTGACCTTGTGATCCACCCACCTCAGCCTCCCAAAGTGCTGGGATTACAGGCATGAGCCACTGCGCCTGGTCGCCGTTACTTTTAATTTCTTTTACTGGCAAAAACCGCAATTACTTTTGCACCAACCTAATAACAGAACTTCAAACACCTGAAGAAAAGCTGACAGAACTAAAAGGAAAAATAGGCATTTTTATAAGTATATGTGGAGTTTTTATCACCCCTATTTCTCAGTAAATAATAGAACAAATAAAAAAATCAATGGGGGTACAGTTGGAAAACACAATTTGACCTTACTAAGCTTTATAGAATATTATACACATTTTAAAACTTCAGAACACACATGCTGTTGAGATGCATGTGGAACATTCACGATGATAGACAATATACTTGCTTATAAAATAAGTGTCAACACATTTTAAAATATTGAAATCACAATGGTTTATTAGTTTGTTTGTTTAACCACAATGGAATTAAATTAGAAATCAACAACAGAAATTTAACTGGAAAATCCCCAAATGTTTGGAAATGAAACAGCATGCTTTTTTTTTCTTTCTTTCTTTCTCTTTCTTTCTTTCTTTCTTTCTTTCTTTCTTTCTTTCTTTCTTTCTTTCTTTCTTTTTCTTATCTTAAACAAGGAGAAAGCACTTTGGGAGGCCGAGGCGGGCAGATCACCTAAGGTCAGGAGTTCAAGACCAGACTGGTCATTATGGTGAAATCCTGTCTCTACTAAAAAATACAAAAAATTAGCTGGGCGTGGTGGCGGGCACCTGTAATCCCAGCTACTTGGGATGCTGAGGCAGGAGAATCACTTGAACCTGGGAGGCAGAGGATGCAATGAGCCGAGATCTCGCAACTACATTCCAGCCTGAGCGACAAGAGCTAAACTCCATCTCAAAATAAATAAATAGATAAATAAATAAATACAAGAAGAAAGGCAATTTTATTCTTTCAAGAAAATGTACCAACAGGTTGAAGAAAGGAGCAACTCTGGCTACATCCCCTAAGCAGGGGTCTGAGATGAGGCCAGGCATGACCCTAGCTGGGGAGAAGCCCGTGGAGCTCCCTATGGCACTGGAGAGGGCATCAGGTGGCCCAGGAGTGGCAATTTGTTCTGTTAACTCCAGGAGCCTCTCACAGCTGGACTTGGCGGCAGGGCAGTGTGTGGCAGAAACAACACACTTCTAAAAAACACATGCGTGAAAGAAGAAATCATGATATATTTTGAACTAAATTAAAATGAGAATGTAATCTGGTAAAATCTGTGGCATACAGCCAAAGCAGTGATACAGGAAATGTTTATGGAAAGGATTAAAATCAACCACACAAGCTTCCAATATGTTCTAGTTTCTTCCAACTAGAAAAAGAACAATCAAAACCTGAAAGAAATAGAGGGGAAGAAATAATATATAAGAGTGACAATCAGTGAAATAGAAAACAGTTAAACAATAGAGAAATTAATAAAAACAGTTAAACAATACAGAAAATTAACAAACCAATATCTGACTTATTGAAAAGATTAATAAAACTACTCATCTCTAGCATGACTGATCAAGTTTTTTTTTTAAAAGAAGACACAAATTTGCAATATTACAGATGAAGGAATAGACATCACTTCAGATCCTACAGATGTTAAAAGTCTAATAAGAGAATATTTGAATAATTTTATGTCAACAAATTCAACAACCTTGATGAAAAAGACAACTTTAATGAAAGGCACAAATTAACAGAATATTTGCAAGAAGAAATAGAACATGTAAATAGCCCTATATCAAATAAGAAAGTGAATTCATAATTTAAAAAGTTACTCACAAAGGAAATACCAGGCCCATGTTATCCCACTGTTAAATTCTGTGAAATATTTAAGGAAGAAATAATACCAATCCTACACAAACTCTTTCAGGCAATAGAATGAGGAGGGAACACTTACAAACTCATTTTATAAGGCCAGCATTAACTTATGTCAATACTCAACAAAAGTATTACAAGAAAAGAAAACTACAGACCAATACCCCTCATGAGCATAGATGCTAAATGCTTGACAACATATGAGGAAATAACATGCAGCAATATATATATTTTTTTAAATCATGACCAAGTGGAGTTTATTCCAGGAATATAAGAAAATCAAAGTAATTCACTATATTAACAAAATAAAAGATAAGAACCATATTGCAATATCAATAAATATAAAAAAGCATTTGATAATATTTAAGTCCCATTCATATTTTAAAATTCTCAGCATACTAGGAATAAAATACAATGTCTTAATCTTGATAAAGAAAACCTACAATAAACTTATAGCTAACTTCACACTTAGTGGTGAGCATTCTGAATGCATTTCTTCTTAGATGAGAAATAATACAAGATACCCCTTTCTCCAATTCTATTCAACATTGTACCGAAGGTCTAGCCAGTGCAATATGGCAAGATTTAAAAAAAAAAAAAAGAATTGAGAAGATACATAGAAAAGTAAACTGTAATTATATATATGGAAAATTCTAAAGAATCTTAAAAAACAAACAAATGCCATTAGAACTAATGAATGAGTTTAGCCACTTGGCACAACATAAGGCTAATATACAACATTCAATTTTATAAAGAGAGAGACAGGGTCTTGCTCTGTTGCCCAGGCTGGAGTGCAGTGGCATGACTGTGGCTCACTGCGGCCTTGACCTCCCAAGATCCTCCCCCTTCAGCCTCCTGAGTAGCTGGGACTGCAGGTGCATGCTACCACACCTGACTATTTTTTTTTTTTTTTAATTTTTGTAGAGACAAAGTCTCACTATGTTGCCCAGGCTGGTATCACACTCCTGGGCTCAGGTGATCCTCCTGCCTCGGCCTTTCAAAGTCCTGGAATTACAGGCATGAGCCACTGACCCAGCCTATATTTCTGTATACTAGTGACAAACAACTAGAAATTAATATTTTAGAAATAATAATCACAACATCAAAAATACAGTATGCTTTGAAATAAATTTAACAAAATGTGTTTAAGAGTTGTACAATGAAAATTACAAAATACTGTTGAGAGAAATTAAAGAAGACAAATAAATGAAAAGAGACGGAACATGTTTTCGCTTGTAAAACTCAGTAGGATTAAGATCTCTTCTCTCCCACGACTCTATAGCTTTAAAGCAATCAAAATCAGACTGGTTTTGTCTGAACGTTTTTGAATAAGTCAATGGCTTATTTCAAAATTCATATGAAATTTCAAATGCCAAAGAATAGGCAAAATATTTCAGAAAAGAAGAAAGATTGAGGATTTGCAATAACTGACTTCAAAACTCACTAGAAGAACGAGGCCAGACTGCCCAGGGTTTCGGGGCGTCTGCAATGCTGTTCAATTTACCCGTCAGCTTCCTCCTCCTTACTCTTATACGTGTGAATCCTTAATAAATATCTTGCACTCCATACTCCGCCTCAGATTCGGCTTCTGCAGAACCCAGCATTTAGTAAGCATCTCCCTATTCCAGATTATTCTTCATATTGCTACTATAATTACCATTTTTATTATTCAACTTTCTAACTGTAAAAGTATTCCTAAAAGACATACATAACTCCCATGACATAACACTCCTTGTAGAGCATAGAAACAAATGGAATATTCCTTTGAATCATTTTATGAAGCTCGAATAATCTAGATTCTAAAAACCTATGAACAACAATGAGACAACAGAAATAGATGTTTCTTCCTGATGTGAAACATTAAATTAAAAATAATAGCAATGAAAGTAGGTGGTACCTTTGAAGGGCAATATGACATTACTTAATAGGGCTTATTGTAATAATTTAAAAAGATAAAATTTCGGGAATTTTCTTCCTCTACCTAAAAAAGAAAGTCAACACTTTCTTTTAAGCAGTTAATGGGTATTTCAAAAATCTCCCAGTGAATCCACATCATTGTGAATGTTAATTAACTAACAGTCCAGGCCCCAATCCAGACAGTTAATAGCTTGTGTCTATGCTAGCTTTCCTGTTCTTACCTGAACAGTCTGTTTATTTAAGTGGCTTTAGTGGTTCTTAACCCATCGAAAGTGTTAGTTTAACAAAGAATACCAAACAATTAACCTCTGGTGGAAAAAAAAGGAAACGATTAAAACAAACAAATTTATCGCTCTGTTAGGTTCTGCAAACACCATCTTGATGAGCTAAAAACCCCTAATAAAATAGCAGTTACACTCTGCCTAAAAACATAGATCTCAGTTATCATACAATGTGGATTACCACCAAAATAGATGGGTGCAGTGGGTGGTTGGTCTGCATGAAGCAAAATGGTGGATGTGACAGACTGCTTTTCCATGGAATTGGCTGAGCATCTGATTTTGTTGTCATGAGATCACAGGGAGGAACTCTGCATGGTCCTTGTTATGCAGAGCTGGGGCAGAAGAGGAAAGTGATATCCCCAGAGGGCCTGTGAGGTCTTCAGACCGAGGCACAAGCTGGTGCCAAGAGCCGCCTGGACCACACACTGGAGAGGCGGTGGAGAGAAGGAGAGAGGAAACTCAGAGGGCAGGTCGTCCACGGCAGCCTCGGTCAGCCCGGACAACTGGCCGGACACACCAGGCTTTCCTTTTCCTGGCAGGCACATCAGGGCAGCCAGAGAGGCAGCCACCTTCCTCCAGCCAGAGACTCTGCAAACCCATCTGGACAGCAGGTCAAGGCCCCGCTCCAGAGGCACCATCACTCTCCCCATGGCTGACCTCTTCCTCGCCAGGTGACTGGAAGACAGGATGAGATAGGGCCGGCAGACTGGATTTCCCCTCGGGTGGCTGGGGGCCTCTTTGACGGAGTGCAGGTGTCCTTGCCAGCTCCCATCCAGGCCGTCCCCACCCACTTCCCTGCAGCCCTCTGAGCCTGGGCGTTCACTGCAATGACTCATTTGCTCTGTGTGTCTGGAAGCACGTTGGTAGGGTAGGGAGGTGGGTACCACCCTAGCCTAAGGTGCACACTGCTTTATGTTCTGAAGTCCTTGCAGAATGTTCATTCTAACCTACTAGCTTTCAGGGACAATTAGGAACAATATAATATTTCCTTCTCAAAATAGCCTCCAAGTTGCAACTGTAGGAAGAAGTTTTGTCTAACCCTTAGCTGGCCCTGGCTCCTGGAAAGCTGCATAGGGAATCCTCATGATCAGAAAAATGTCAGGCTCTTAGCAGATCACTCACAATCTGCTTTTTCTCCTGGGATCTTCTGCCAGATGGATCCTGGGGTTCTCTCCGTGCCTTTCTCCACCTCCTTTCTTGGGGTTCCCAGGACCTTCCCTGTCCCCTTCCGCTCCAGGCACTGGCTCTATCTTGGAGGGTGATGGCCCATACTTGAGGCTTTAGCTCTTCCAGCTTCTAAGACAAACAACACTGTCTCTTGCTATTATTCAACACTTTTCATAGCTTAATAAACTCAATCAATATCTTGTTACTCTAATGAAGTCTCTGGCTAGTTAACACAGTATTACCAAAAAGCCTCTCCCCTACAAGTAGTGTGGAAGGAAAGGAAAGGAGAGGGTGGGGGCAGCCATGCTGCCTTTTCTCCCCTTCACAAGGTGTATGGGCATGGACCCTCATAGCAATGTCCCAGCCTCCCCAGCCAGCAGGCATGGATGTGACTATGGGTCCATCTCACAGTGAGGGTCCCTCTGACGTCTTCAGTTCAAGGACAACAGGCTCCACAGTTCCCCTGCTTTGTCCAGCAAAGAGTCCTGATGTTTGAGCTTTTTATCATAAAAGGAAAAGCTAATGCATACCAGAGAAATTTGAAACCCAGCTTGACATCCCCTGGGGCAAAAGTGCATGGTGGCAGGTTCAAAGGACAGGGCAGGAGACATGGGCCAATTACAGCGGGAAGAACTTGTTTGTTTGAAGAGGCAGGAGAGTCGCAGGAAGGGTCACCTTTCATTAGCTGTAGATACATTCCTAAGGCAGCTCCTCCAGGTACTCAGTAAGTTCTTAGAAAATTGGGGTGGGATTGAACTTTGCTAATTTAAGGGTCCATCACCAGTGGCTGTCGCCTGTCTCCATCTAAGCATGCTTATATTCCCAGCCCTTTTCATTTCCATTTGGCCCCACGTGACCCCAGTTTCTGAATACAAAGACATAGGGGCTAGATCCCTTAGGTGAGACTCTACGGAGCAACACGCAGCGTCTTATTTCCATTTGACAGATTTCAGAGGAAAGTAAATTTGGTGCAAAAATATAGAGGCACCGTGACCTAAGATTAAGAGAGAGGTGGAAAAAAAATGCCAGAATCATTTCTTATTTGTAGCAATTGGCCCTTGATGTAGAACAGTGCGTTATACTCTATAGAATTTCAATAAAGTCTAATTGGTTATGGTCAAGAATTTCTGGAGCATTTGGGGAAAATACTGATGCATCTGAAGTTCACTTTTAAGGTCTGTACTGAGTATGCTATCCACAGTTTCTTTTTTGTTTGTTTAATAGATGTTTATTATACATTTTACAACACATTTCAAGTCAAAGAGACAGCTAGGTTTCTGCTGAAGACTGAATTTCAGCAGCAAATTTTGAAATCTGTGATGTGTGCATATTAAACCATACAGACCTTCACATCAGAGGATGAGATGATTAAATTCTGCCTCTGTTTCTGAGATACTGCAGCATGAGGGACACAGTTTCTATAACAGTGACAGCCATGGGTATAAAAGTGGGTATAAAAAGCACGCCTCAAATTATCTGGAAACTTTGTGTACACCTATATCTATGAAGAGATGTTGGAAGGAAAATTCCTGCCTCGCCAGGTAAACCTGTGAACAAGAACAGAGTAAATGGCCAAGAACAGGAATGAGTGCTCTGTCCACACACTAGAGAAATACTAAGTATAATCTTCCACTTTTCAAAGAATGCAGAAACCAGCCTGTAATTAAGAACGTTTTGTGTTGACTCTGATATCATCAGCCTCAAGCTATAAGACCTTTTATAATTGCTCTGAACCAATCTAAAAATGTCCATTCCTTTCCAATATCTTATTCCAACTAAACGAGTTCTTTCCTGCTCATGACACACACACACACCCACGCGCACACACACATATGCACACACACATGCACACAGAGCTATTTTTAGAATCTTGTAATATTTTCCCCAATTCTAGCCCAAGAGAATCTATAAAATTGCTCTTCACAGCCCTGGAAGTATAATAGGTGCTCAAGGATATTCTCTGAATGACACAGGGCATGGATGGGAAAAAGGAATAAGTGAAAAAGAAATGAAAAAAGAAGGAAGAAAGGGAGGGAGGAAGAAAGGAAGGGAGGAAGGGAGGGAGGAAGAGAGGAAGGGAGGAAGGGAGGGAGGAAGGAAGGAAGAAAGGAATGAAGGAGAGAGGAAGACAAAGAAAGAGGGAGAAGAAAAAGAAAGAAAGAGAAAGAAAGAAGGAAAGAAAGAGAGAAAGAAGGAAAGAAAGAAAGAAAGAAAGAAAGAAAGAAAGAAAGAAAGAAAGAAAGAAAGAAAGAAAGAAAGAAAGAATTAGTGACCATGTGGATTAACAAATTGATTTCAGAGGGCCCCAGAGTAATTCCATCGTTTAGACCACCTAGTCACTGGGATTACATGTCCCTCACAAAATGCACTTAACGTGGGCCATGCAGACACCTGTTCCCTAGAACCGCCCTGAGCCTTGGATCTGATTTCACTGTGGTCCAAGAACAGCTGCAAGTGCCAAAGGCTCGTGGACACTCTGGCCACCGCCAGCCACCCCGTATGAGCAGGAGATGAAAGGTCCCATGTGTCTCACCTAAGCTCAGGATGCGTGACTGGTCCAATGTTTTCTTCTTCATGCCCAGATCCTTATTTGAAAAAGATGAAAAATTTCACAGCTGTTTTCACATATTCCTTTTAATGACTTGACTTCCTGCACGGTTTGTAGCTAACTTTATGAGCAACAAGCCACCCCTTCGAAATGTGGATTCAGGAAAAAATTGCTGCATGTTTGCGACCCTTGCTGATCTGCATCATTTGCCTCAGTCTTTCATTATTAAAAAGCCAAAGAGCAGCAGTAACAACAGCAAAACTCCTCTACCTGATTACCTGGATTCAATAAGCCATGGAAAATGAAGGAGTGTATGAATTCCCTGAGGTAGATCTTCTGTATTTTCTAAGCTCACCAAGTCAATCTTGTTAACACTGGCCTATTTTAGCTACTAGTTCTTATTCAATGCTTTGTGAATAATCATAGCAACTAATTATAAAAGTGTCATTTTGTGCAGAATATTGACTCCAGATTAAATAGGTAAAGGGTTTTGTTTTTGATATGCTTTGTTTTCAATAATAAGAGCCATAAAACTCGAGCAAATCCTTCCTGCATGTAGTTGTACTAAGGACTTCATATAAAACATTGCATTTAATTGTCATAACAACTCTTTGGAAGGAGTTTTATCTTTAGCTCCATTTTACAGTTCAGAAGGTTAGGTAATGTGCCCAAGTTTATCCAACTACTGAGTGCCATGGCTTGACCTGCTGGCTCCTAAGTTCACGCTCAATCTGCTGTAACTTGCAGCTTTCCTAGAGTTAACCTGTATTCCTGTCCAGACAGCATGAGGAGAGATACTACATTCCATGTGAAAATCTGTTCAAGATGCATCTGCTTCCTCTGCTTGGGTCAGTGGGCGGCACTGGCAGAGTTTGCTGAGGAACCTGCTGACCATGAACTTCTAAACATGGGGTTATTTGCAGACCTAGACACAAGCGTAACATGTTACACACAGGAGTTTACCGTAAGTGTGTTGACAGAATGAATGAATGAACAAATAGATAAAGCATAACATGGACAAGTGTGGGTTCTGTTCAGGTTAAATAGGCTTTTTTGCTCCCACCATCCAAGACACGCAATATTAAATTTGCCAGCTTACGATGATAGTAACTTGAAAGCTACTAAAGGAAAGAAGTGTATTGCTGATCTCACCCTGTACATGTCTGGAAGAGCTCTACTTATGTGGAACTAATGGGAAGTTCCCGCTTTGACAGGAAGTGACTTGGAAAAGGAGACAGGATGAGTCAGTGAAATAGTCAGGCCTGCTCCCCTTTTCCTCACTCGATTCTGTGGCTGACGCCAGCTCCAGGGTATTTTCCTAAGCCCTCTTGACAGCTGGTGTTAGTTTCCTGAGGACACCAGGCTCACCACACTTTGCACAGCAACCCTGCGCACATACTCACTGGAGCAACACGTAAATAAGTATTAAAAGAAGAAGGAAATGGCTTTGTCCAGACTGTTCTGTGGTTGCTCTGTTGCAAACAGGAAGTAATGCAATAGGGATATACACAGAGTATGAATCACTAGAATAGTAAATATAGGTCAAGAGAAGAGAGCTCACATACACCCATCCTTGAGAATGATGTAGAGCTAGTTCCTGACCAGTAATAAAGTATGTGTTCATAATGGAATCATGTTATGGAAAGAGGTAATAAAGTGTCACCACATGTTTACAAGAAGACCATTTTAAGAGATACTTGGCATCAACTGGGCCACCATTATAAAACCATCTCCAGATGAGTCTCCAAAATTGAAGGGTGCTATCAAAAAGCCAGTTCACAGAGAGGCTAAGAAAATGGTCAAATGTTTAGAAAACAAGACAAATGGGGTAACTGTGTTTTTCCTCATTGAATAAGTAAAGGACTTGGGGCTTTTCCATTTGGAGAAAAGAATGTTGTTGGACAATTATAAATTATTGGTTCCTCATTCTTTAGGGGACATATATTGAAAAATGTATTTATATTTCTGGTACTTAGGTTGTACTTTAGACATTAATTGTTAATAGCCAAAGCTCGAACTTTTTGTATATTTAAACAGAGAGGCTTAAGAATCCCAAGAAAATCTTTTTGACAACCTTTCTTATGGTGGAAGCTGGGGAGGCTCCGTGTTACCTTCCTTGACACCTCCAACATTGGGAGTCTTCCTTCAGTGCCTGTCTTGCTTAGCAAGACTATCATGTCCTTATAGTGATTACTACCTTCTTCTTACACCTTCCCTCAGTCACTCAGTAACACTTGCCTAAGTATCCCCAGCACTCAACTAGGCTCTGGGAGGACTTCAAAGGTATAAAAAGTAGTGCCACCATAAATGGCATCAAGAAATACCCCTGTGAAATATACACTCAAATGATAGCCCAAGGCCATGTGTGGCCTGCTGGAAGGAGCCTAGATTCACACGAAGGTGTGGGTTCTGGTTCTGCCTAATCTTATCAGCTGTGTGGGCTTGAACATAATCTTATCAGCTGTGTGGGCTTGAACAAGACACTGTTTTTTTTACTGCGCTTTGGTTCTTCCTGTGCAAAGTGAGAAAAAATCAACTGCTTAGGAATAAACGCAACCATCCATTTTACTGTGCAGTCTAATCAGTAAATCACTGTTCAACTACAGGGACCCTATAAGGCAAAGTAGTGACTCAGCAGTGAGGGCAGGGGACAGTGAGAAGGTGAGCTTGGGAAAGACTTTGCAATGTTGAGGAGACTCGAATGGGACCTCAGGACCAGATAAGTTACTGAGGCAGGGGACAGGGAATCTACCTTGGGATGTCATTTTCTTTTAAAGGATATTAAGCAAAAATGTCCAGGCTCTTCAGAACTAATGCCGATTTAGGCATGACTGCATATGAAATACAGTGTCAAAGATTATAAATCAAATGAAAGAAGGAAAAATTTGTGTTACTATGTATGTTATAATCTAGAAGTTAGCTTTTAATGACTTGGATGGCAGAAGAGGGTTAAGAAATGTGACATTTATGGTTAAAATAGTCAAAATACTGATTGTTACAAAAACAGAACCTATCTCTTATCTTCAGATTTTGAGTCATTTTTAAAGAGAAAATATCTAACAATCTGTCTACCAAAGTTGTCGCTAACTGGATATTGAAGGAGCTTGAAGTATGTTGGAATGTATTACATTTTTATTTGACAGTGAGTCTTTTTCTATCATTTATCTGGGAGACAGCATAAGGCTTGTTTTCTTTTGCTGTGGCTATTTTGATAGCTTAGCCAATAGATAGCTTAGCTGTATAGATCTGTACCAGGACATGTATATACCATTCTTTATTCCAATGAGGTAGCAGAGAAGTTCAATAAGCAAAAAAAGTTTAAGGTCGCAAAAAGACAGTATGTGATTCATAACACCATGCAAGCAGAGATGATTGAAAATGACAGCTAAGTGAAATCCTCAGATTTCAGAATGGCTGTTTCTGCAGAAAAGACAGAGTTTTCCTTCACTGAAAGAGAGCTGCATCCAGGGAAGACCCCACAGGAGTGGAAATGCGGCCACCTTCCAAGTCACCAGGAATGCAGTATCTCCAACAACTTGTCATTTAGGAAGATCAGCCAGCACTTTGTACATCATCTCACATCTCTAAGATGAGAAAAATAAAAATAAAAAGCACCGACTGAGGCATCAGCTTTCCTCAGGCATTGCAAGGAGCACTCACTTCAAAGCTTAATTTGGCACAAATAAAAGCCCATTAAACTCGGTGTGCCCACAGATGAGATGCCTGCTCACATTTCTAGAGAACCTTCAAAAAACAAAGAAGTCACTCCAGTTTCAAACTTGAGGTTTAAAAGCTTATGCTTGCAATCCCAGGTCATGATGCTTAGTTGCCCCAGAACCATTTGATTCTGATGTCATTATTAAACAGTGTGCTTTGAGTTACAGCTCTCAAACCCTTCAGAATCGCTTTTGTTTTCTTCAGTAATAAAGTCTTTTCCCGTCCTAAGAAAAAGATTCCTAGGAATTGCTCCACACGGAGTCTACAGTTTGGAAGGAGGGGAAAGGGGACAAGAAGGCTAAGAGCTTGCTGGTTTTCCCTTGTCTCTGATCATAAAGTTAAGTTCAAGTGGTGTCATTCCACACTAATCAGAATAATGAGGTAAGAAAATGGACAGGAAATGGCTTCACTTTAAGTGCCCATTATCTGATGCCAATTGACAAAGAAACGCTTAGGAAATTGGAAGTGTATGCAGCAGCCAGTCCCGTGATGGGGGCACTGAAGTCAATATGGTCATTGTTGTTCATTTCAATGTCAAGGTTTCATAAGTAGGGGGATTTTTCAGACACAAATTACAGTCCTTATGAGTGCGTGTTGAAAATGATGCTAGAAACAAATCTATGTATAATGCTACCATAAGTGGGGAGACCAGTGTGTTCCTAGTATTAACCACAGTCTTTAAAATTAAGACCAGGCCGGGCGCGGTGGCTCACGCCTGTAATCCCAGCACTTTGGGAGGCCGAGGCGGGCGGATCACGAGGTCAGGAGATCGAGACCATCCTGGCTAACACGGTGAAACCCCGTCTCTACTAAAAATACAAAAAATTAGCCGGGCGTGGTAGCGGGCGCCTGTGGTCCCAGCTACTCGGGAGGCTGAGGCAGGAGAATGGCGTGAACCCGGGAGGCGGAGCTTGCAGTGAGCCGAGATCGCGCCACTGCACTCCAGCCTGGGCGACAGAGCGAGACTCCGTCTCAAAAAAAAAAAAAAAAAAAAAAAAAAAAAAAAAAAAAAAAAAAAAAAAAAAAAGACCAAATGCCAGTAAACAATGCATATTCTTTTCCATGTGAATTTTTCTTCCTAATAATGCCATCAGTACAAGATTAAATTTCAAGTCTACCTAGAGAGCTATATGAAAAGCAAACAATTTGATCTTTGAAGGATTTCGTTTCATCCAAGATACTCTGAAATTTCCTTTGTCTCCATACAGTGTCTTTGTCAATTTAATGTGGTTAATGGCCAGGAATGTCAGAAGCCACATGATGCTGGAGGGCACATTTTCACTTCGTCTGCCTTTCTGACACGTTTTGTTTAACTTACTCAGAGGGTTGACGCTAACTTCCTGAAGCAGTTTCCAGGGTCCTTGTGCAAAAAGGGAAAACCATTCCCATTCTTTTAGGACATATGGTTGTCGTTATGTAAAAATTCTCTTGTGCCATTCTGGCACCCCCATTCCCCCACCGCCACTACTACAGATTGAGTTTAACCACCATGTTTCGAGTACATTCATTTTCCAAGGCTTTCTGGGGGTGTGTCAGCCGAGCACCCCCAAAAACAGGAGTATGTCCACTCATGGGCTCCACATCCCAGCCCTCACCCACCCAGGGGGGTTTAGAGTGGGTCACTACATTGCCACCAGGTGCCCTAGCAGCCCAGGAAATTGACTTGATCTCCTGCTACACAAAATGGGACCCTCTGTGGAAGACACCAGGGTCACCTCCGAGGGCTCAGTACAGCAGAATCACTAGGTAGGACTGAGGACCTGGGGTGTTTTCGAAGCAAAAAGCGCACCTGGGTCTTAGGATAGCTATAGTGGGCACCCTAGAGTCAGACTGCCTGAGGTTGAGTCTTCTGGCCCTAATGCTTACAAACTCTGGCCTGGGCAAGTTTCCTACCCTCTTCCAAGATTCCAGTGTGCGCATCTGTGAAATGGGCACCCATTTCACAGAGCCCATATGAGGACAAAGTGAGATAATGTACTTAGGGCACTCAGCAAAGTCAAGGACACAGAGGAGGTGAGGAGTAAACATTCACCCTTTCCGTTCTTTGTCTGATGAATGGAAGTCAGTCTAATACCCACCTCAAAGGCTGTCGTGAAGACTGAAAGAATGAAGGCATGTGAAGTTCTGGCACTGCTTGGGGTGTAGCAAGCACGCAGTAAATGCTAGCAGTGCTATCGTTATGCATAATATACACAGAGTGGCCTTGGCCCTAGTGGCAGGCACCTTGTCTCATAGGCATGACTCTGCGGAGGCCTTGGACGCCAAGGAGATGACATTGGGAGGTGTCTCATCCATCAGGTCAGGACAAAGCCTTAGGGAAGAAGTCAAATTCCAAGCCTCCACAGAGGTGGTGAAGAGCAGAACATGGGGTCAGGGTGGCCATGGGAATTTCTGGTGGGCCAAGGCCACCCAGAGATAAGGCCAGTCATGCCTAGTAGTTGCGGGTGCTTCTTTGCTAGTTATAGGAATCAGACATTTTTCATTCTCCCTAATATTCTGCTGAGATTCCACCAAACCGAACAATCAATAGTAGGCACTTATAAAAATGGGGAAGAGGCCAAAAGGAGACAGGCTGTTGAAGGAAGTGGTGCCAACTGCCTGTCTGAATTAGTCAGGGCTCTTCAGAAAAGCAGAACCAATCAGGATAGACAGAGACGTCTAAGAGGGGATTTGTTATAGGAGTCGGCTCAGGAGATTTTGGGGACCAAGAAGTCCCACTGATATGGTTTGGCTCTGTGTCCCCACCCAAATCTCATCTTGAACTATACTCCAATAATTCCCATGTGTTGTGGGAGGGACCCAGTGGGAGATAATTTGAATCAGGGTGTGGTTTTCCCCATGCTGTTCTCGTGATAGTGGAATCTGATGGTTTTATCAAGCTTTTTCGCTTTTGCATCTTCCTCATTTTCTCTTGCTGCCACCATGTAAGAAGTGCCTTTTACCTTCCACCATGATTCTGAGGCCTCCGCAGTCTTGGATATGTCTTTATCAGCAGCATGAAAACGGACTAATATAGTAAATTGGTACCAGTAGAGTGGGGTGCTGCTGAAAAGAACCTGAAAATGTGGAAGTGACTTTGGAACTGGGTAACAGGAAGAGGTTGGAACAGTTTGGAAGACTCAGAAGAAGATAGGAAAATGTGGGAAAGTTTGGAACTTCCTAGAGACTTGTTGAATGGCTTTGCCCAAAATGCTGATAGTGATATGGACAATGAAATCCAGGATGAGGTAGTCTCTGATGGAGATGAGGAACTTGTTGGGAACTGAAACAAAGGTGACTCCTGTTACATTTTAACAAAGAGACTGGTGGCATTTTGCGTCTGCCCTAGAGATTTATGGAACTTTGAACTTGAGGGAAATGATTTAGGATATCTGGTGGAAGAAATTTCTAAGCAGTAAAGCATTCAAGAGGTGACTTGGATGCTGTTAAATGCATTCAGTTTCATAAGGGAAGCAGAGCATAAAAGTTCAGAAAATTTGCAGCCTGACAATGTGATAGAAAGCAAAACCCTATTTTCTGAGGAGAAATTTAAGCTGGCTGTAGAAAGTTGCATAAATAACAAGGAGCCTAATGTTAATCCCCAAGACAATGGGTAAAATATCCCCAGGGCATGTCAGAGGTCTTCACAGCAGCCTCCCCCATCGCAGGCCTAGAGGCCTAGGAGAAAATGGTTTCATGGGCCAGGCCCAGGGTCCCTATGCTATGTGCAGCATAGGGACTTAGTGCCTTGCATTCCAGCTGCTCCAGCCATGGCTGAAAGGAGCTAACATAGAGCTCAGTCTGTGGCTTCAGAGGGTGCAAGCCTCAAGCTTTGGCAGCTTCCACATGGTGTTGAGCTTGCAAGTACACAGAAGTTAAGAATTGGGGTTTGGGAACCTCTGCCTAGATTTCAGAAGATGTATGGAAACGTCTGGATGTCCAGGCAGAAGTTTGCACCAGCGGCAGGGTGCTCATGGAGAACCTCTGCTAGGGTAATATGAAAGAGAAATGTGGGGTCAGAGCCCCCACACAGAGTCGCTACTGGGGCACTGCCTAGTGGAACTATGAGAAGATGGTCACTGTCCTCCAGACCCCAGAATGGTAGATCCACTGACAGCTTGCACTGTTTCCCTGGAAAAGCCACAGACAGTCAATGCCAGCCCATGAAACCAGCTGGGAGGGAGGCTATATCCTGCAAAGACACAGGGGCAGAGCTGCCCAAGACCATGGGAACCCACCTTTTGCAGCAGTGTGACCTGAATGTGAGACATGGAGTCAAGGGAGATCATTATGGAGCTTTAAAATTTGACTGCCCTGCTGGATTTCAGACTTGCATGAACCCTATAACCCCTTTGTTTTGGCCAATTTCTGCCATTTGGTTTGGCTGTATTTACCCAATGCCTGTACCCCCATTGTATCTAGGAAGTAATTAGCTTGTTTTTGATTTTACAGGCTCATAGGCAGAAGGGACTTGCTTTGTCTCAGATGAGACTTTGGACTGTGGACTTTTGGGTTAATGCTGAAATGAGTTAAGACTTTGGGGGACTGTTGGGAAGTCATGATTGGTTTTGAAATGTGAGGACATGAGATTTGGAGGGGTCAGGGGTGGAATGATATGGTTTGGCTCTGTGTCACCACCCAAATCTCATCTTGAATTGTACTCCCATAATTCCTGCATGTTGTGGGAGGGACCCGGTGGGAGATCATTTGAATCATGGGGGCAGTTTCCCCCATGCTGGTAGTGGGTGGGTCTCACAAGATCTGATGGTTTTATCAGGTGTTTCTGCTTTTGCATCTTCCTCATTTTTCTCTTGCCGCCACCATGTAAAAAGTGCCTTTCACCTCCCACCATGATTCTGAGGCCTCCCTGGCCATGTAGAACTGTAAGTCCAATTAAATCTCTTTTTCTTCCCAGTCTTGGGTATGTCATTATCAGCAGCATGAAAACAGAGTAATACACCCACAACCTGTAAGTTGAAGAAGGAAAGCTGGGGGCATAATTCAGTCTAAGACCACAGGCCTAAGAACCAGAGGCTTCATCTTGGAGTCTGAAGGCCCAAGAACCAGGGGCTCCAATGTCTAAGGGCAGGAGAAGATGGATGTCCCAGCTCACAAGACAGCTGTGCCTTTTTGTTCTATGGGACCCTCAATGGATGCATGATTTCCGCCCACATTGATGAGACTGATCTGCTTTATCCAATCTACTGCCTCAAATGCTAATCTCCATCAACAGCCTCACAGACGTATCCAGAAATAATACTTTACCAACTATGTGAGCCTCTCTGAGGCAGGTCGAGTTGAAACCTAAAATGAACTTCACACAGCCCATCATTTCCTTTCCTGAGGAACATGGCTGGACCAGACGCAGGGCCTGGGCACCATCCGGATTATGGTTTGACCAAGGTCTGAGCTCTGGCATGTTGCAGCCCAGAGAGGGATCAGAGGCACAGGGCTGAGTCCCAGGGCCCATCTGAAGAGCTTGGGCTTAGTGTGGCACAGCAGCATCCTTGTGTGAAACCAGGGCGCTGTCCTCCTCCAGAGTCCTCCAGGCCCATCCCTGTCCCCCACGGCAGTGCCAGACCCTTTGGTCCTTCTCCTCTATGATGATTACAGAAGTTCCCTCAGACTTGCCCAGAGAAGTAGGACCTGTCTTTGGCTTGATTTGCTTAAGAAACAATGTGTGGTTAATGCTGGAACCTGAAATAGTCAGACCTTGCAATCCTCTTGGCTGGTAGCAAGTTGTCTGTAACAGTAAATTTGGAAACAAGATAGCACCACCTCTGACCTTGAAAGCATTTAGTATGACTCCCATTTTCCTTCTTTCAGTGTGAGCTAATCCTACCAGTACTTTAAGGACCTTCTCAAGTGCAGGCAGATCCCTGCTTCAATGCAAATTCCCCTCCACAAAACCCAGGTATAAGAGGAAGTGGTCATGAAGTTAGGCCAAGCATCACCTACAATCCTTGAGACCCTGGGGCAGGTTTTGGGAGCCCAGCACCCAGAAGCACAAGAGGACACAGTGTTTACTGCTCATGAAGGGGTCCACTGTCATCTCCATGCTGCAAAGGACACCACCAGCTTCACAGTGTCAGTCATCAAGCCAGAGCGTGTCTGGGAAATGAGTGGCAGAGCAGGGAAGCAGAAACTTCATGACGCATCTGACTCACAATTGTCTGACACTGAGAGGCAGCAACCGTGGAGTCACGTCTGCTGGGGAGAAGAATTTTAATCATTCACATGTGCACTCAGCTGCCAGCCATGCAAATGCTCTCAGTATACTGGGGCCTTTCAGCTCCCTTCCCATCCCCTGCAACGGCCCTGAGAAGAAGGCAGGGCAGGGCAGTCGCCATTACCGCATCAGATGATGATTTGTTTCGGCAAGAGTATGGACGAAGAAAAAAAAGGAAACATGTTGCTGGTTTTAATCATGGTGCAAAGAGTGCATGACTGTAGGAAGCTCTTCCTGGATTTGAAATTTGGGGTTCTGAATATTTGGGTATAGGCCTTGCCAACCCACAATGCCCCTTGGGCAATTCTTGGTGACTGTAGGCTTGAGTGAAGCCAGGGTGAAGACAGATGGAGTGTTGGGGCTGGGGGACCTCCCAGAGAGGGGCCGGGACCCATGCTGTCATGGCCTCCTTTGCAGAGTCCTGCAGAGGCCAGGATGACTGGTTGGATGAAGGCTGCACGGAGGATAACAAAGGCTGCTGTTCTGATCTGACTGTGCTGGATGAGAGCCTGGAAGAGCAGGAGGCAGATGTTCTTCCCTGCAGCCCACAGCCACAGCCATGCCTCTCACATCAGCCTGTCCTAGCTCCTGAGATTGGGGCTACAACAGGAGGTATAGGACAGTGGGGGAACTTGATCACCTGAGAGGTTCTATCAAACCCCAAGAATCTATGGCATGCCAATTAGATAGTGTTGTTAAAACCTCTGAACTCAGTCCCTGGGACTTGGCTGTGGCCTCGTGGAGACCCTGAGACTACACACTGCTACCACGACCCACTGTGTTCACCGCCCATTTCCTGCACTGGAACGCTGCGCTGACGCTGGCTTCATTTCTCTTCTCTTGTTTGGTCTAAAATCTAGGTCTTATGCACAAGACCCCTAGCAAGAGCTCCACTCCTCTTTATGGAAACCTGCCCCTCAGTTTTAATTACTAGCCTGTGGAGCACTTATCCATTCATCCATACCATGCTGACACAGTTTCTCAAAGACCTGGTGTGAACAGATGCCTGCTGCCTGAAGGATTTTTAAGGGCCACCCTGCAGAACAACTCCAAGATATTGTAGTATCTCCAAGACAACTGCCTCTCTTCTCACTGTAGGATGGTCAGGGGAGACAGTGTAGTTCATAACTCTGGGTGTGCATTGCCTCAGGGATTCCGGCCAGTGTAGGAAGACAGAGCAAGCATGTCACCACCACCTCCTTCTCTGCTCATGGGAGACATTGATAACTGATCCCAGAGCTCTGTCTCACATCACTGTTAGATTGGAGCTAACATTCAAGGTGAAAAGCCTTTTTGGTACCTTGACTTTGCCCAACCCAGAGTGATATGTTTTCAATGAAACTGAGAGATAAATCACAGTCAGGGATGACAAGGTTTTCGTGGGGCTCACAGCAATACCTGGCAGAGACAGACAGTACCCAACACACGGAGATGGCTCTGTGGCTCCTGGGGCTTGTAGCTCACTTGTATTTCAAACAGGCTCCGCACCCTCCATGCACACCTGTCTACCCCAGAGGCAGAGCGGCCACAACTATTAGCCCCTAACTATCAGCCCCTAACTCAGGTCCCTAGAGTGATCTGTGTGACCGATGAGGGTCCTAGTAGGAGGTTCCCACAGGGAACACTACCGGCTCTGTAGGGTCAGTGTTTCAGTGAAACAAAGACTGTAGCTGTAACATTCTGGTGGCAAAACACCAGCCTTCCTGCCTCCCCAAGGCAATCCCCTTCACAGATCCATTGGCAGCTTCCAGCACAGAGATTCCCAATGCCATTTGAGCTTTGCCCCTTCCATGGGCCTGGGCAGAAAACATGTTTACTACCCAGGAACTTTGTTGAAATGGCACCTGGGCAATGAAATGATTATCGGTTTTCTCTTGACTCTGCCCAATCCCTAAAGAAATGGACAAGATGCCATTCAGAGCCACAAGGAACCCCTCTGCTGATGAGTCCCAGCGTTCATGGCACACACTGTAATGAAGCTGTCGCTCGCAGTGACATGACGTTTTATCCTCCAAGATAGAAGGGAGCAACCTGCAGAGACAGAAACCTGCTGTGGCCACCGTATTTTCTTATAACATTTCTACCCATGGGCCTGATGTGTGAGGAGCTGCTGCCTGTTTCTTATGTGAGGGGTGGGGTGGGGGTCCCTGAGCCCCAGTGCTGTATCTAGACAAATGTGTCCACAGGGAACTTTCTGGAAGGGCTGCCCCTCTATGGTACAATTATTGGTAGATTTTTATCACTAGAACCCATGAGAGAAATAATAAGGAAATTGCCACACAAATACATATGTGGAAAATAAACGTTTAGGCAAAAATATATATTCTTCAAAATGAAAAATGATATGAAACTGTCATAGAAATTAATTATGCAATCAAGTCAAAGGAACTCAGTCTAAACAAAAGGGTCTCTCATGCCTGCCCCTTCAACTCCACTAATCTGGAAGAGAGGCTTAATGAAAAAATATGAAACCCTGTTGAAACGATAAGGTTGTGATATAGGGTAAGTTGCAAGAGTTGGGATTCTCATATTTATTTTCCTGTTGGATACTTTGGTAGGGGGGGTCCAATCTTTTGACTTCCCCGGGCCACACTGGAAGAATAATTGTCTTGAGCCACACATAAAATACACTAACACTAACAATAGCTTATGAGAAAAAAAAAAGTTGCAAAAAAACTCATAATGTTTTAAGAAAGTTTACAAATTTGTGTTTGTAATCTTCGCTGCATTCAAAGCCATCCCAGGCCGCATGTGGCCTGTGGGCCACGGGTTGGATAAACCTGACTTACAGATAAGCCATACAGTGCCTCTATTCCTTTTAAATCACACACAGATGCTGCAAGGAATCCTGTAGACTTCTGTTTCTAAGAATCAGGGGCTTTTTCCTTTTCCTTACCTTTCACATGATGGCCCAGGAGCCAGCTGGTTTTTACCCAGAGGACTTGCTGACACACCTCTGCAGCCTCGGAGACAGTGAACAGCAAGACAGAGGCAGCACTTTTTGCATATGAATATGCGAATAGGTCTAATCAGCCAAACGATCTGGTGAGGTCAGCCCTCCTGCCGCTTTTCAGGGAAGGAGCCTAAGCATGGGTGCCTGGCTCTGCTGGAGCTGACAGCACTCCTCGCTAGCACACTTCTCCACCGAAAATGAAAATTATCTCTGCAGGGAACTGGAAACAAGAAGTGTTCTCCTGTTTTGGTTTGATTTTCTGTCCTAAAGCTATTTGAAATGTAAGCTCTTTCGGTATTTAAAGTCTTTGGTGCTGGGCGCAATGGCTCACGCCTGTAATCCCTGCACTTTGGGAGGCCGAGGCGGGTGGATCACCTGAGGTCAGGAGTTTGAGATGAGCCTGGCCAATGTGGTGAAACCCCATCTCTACTAAAATACAACAATTAGTTGGGCGTGGTGGTGCGCGCCTGTAGTCCCAGCTACTTGGGAAGCAGAGGCAGGAGCATCACTTGAATCCAGGAGGCGGAGGTTACGGTGAGCTGAGGTTGCACCACTGCACTCCAGCCTGGGTGACAAAGTGAGACTCCATCTCAAAGAAAAAAAAAAAAGCCTTTGGTGGGGGCTATATAGAGAATGATACTTATAAGTATTAATAAAAGCAGGAATAATTGTAAAAGTGGGCAGGGCCTTGTAGGCAAAAGAAGCAGGATGTGTGAAGCGCATGGAAACACGGCATCTGAAGGGGCACAGAGCAGGAGGGAGACCTCAGCCATTCGGTGTGGCTGGAGCCCAAGGTGTCTGGGACGGTGCCAGGAGAGGAGGCTGACAGGGACCTTCTCAGCACTGCAAAATAACAGCCACGTGTGTTTCATTTAGCATCCATCCCAGGCATGATTTCAGCTCATCTCTAGCGTTCCTAGGAATTAGGCATCGTCATTCTCCTTTTACAGATTAAAAACTGAAGCTCAGGGGAGATTGCAGTCTTGTTTGAGATCTGATAATGGCCAAGAGGGAAAATTAATACATGAATGTGTGGTACTTTTAAAATACACCCATGAATTCTTTAACACTCTTCCCTTCCAGAGGTGAAGGTCAATCCCAACTCCTCTTGAATGTGAGTTGGACCTCATGACTCTCTTCTGCTGAACAGAATGCAGCAGAAGTGATGATGTCCTAGGCTGCGTCATAAGAGGCATGACTGCTTGTTTCCTGCTCTCTCTTGGATCCTTTATTCTGGGGGAAGCCAGCTGCCATATCATGAAGGTACATAAGAAGCCCTATGGAGAGACAGACCTGTGTGCCAAGGAGCTGAGGCTGCCAGCAAACAGCCAGCAAGGAACCGAGGTGCCTGCCAACTGCTTCAAGTGAGCTCCAGAGTGGATCATCCGCCCCATTCACGCCTTCAGATGACTGTAGTTCCAGCCAACATCTCCAGGGCAGCCTCGAGCCATGGCCTCCCAGCCAAGCTGCTCTGGGATTCCCAATGCACAGAAACAATGAGGAAAAAATGTTTATTGTTTTAAGCTGCTCCATTTAGTGGTAATTGGTACACTGCAATAAAAAACGAATACATAATTTACAAATTCAAGAAATACAAATGCATATAAAATAAGAAGTGTGTGTAGTCCCCCTCCCCTTTTGTCTTCACCAAATCCCCCACAGAGATAATCAGCTAGTGTTTCCATGTTCACCCTTCCAGCCCATTATGCCTCCAGTGAAGGGCTGATGAGCTAAAGCAGCTCATAAACCCCTTACTAGAAGGGCTTTGTGGAATTTTGCAGAAGCCATTGAGTATCTTAGACAGGAGCTGACACCATCAGACTTGCATTGTCAAAAGAACAGCCTGGCAGCCTGGAGAGGAAAGGTTGCAGTGGATAGGGTGAGAGGCAGAATCCGTGATGCAGACGGGAAATGACACAGTGACTGTGAAGATGCAAAGTTACAGAACAGAAAGGCAGAGTCTAGAAATATTTAGTGATAGCATCAACAGGACCTCCCCTCTTGCTGCAGCCTCCGGGTGTCCACCACCAGGGCTAGGTGTGTCAAAGTGTGTAGGAGTCATTTGCTCAGTTAGGGTGTGGATGCATCTGACATTTGTGAACCATCAACGCGAATTCAATTTCACCGTCCCATTTTCCATATGCAGCAGCCTGGAGAGGTCAAAGGCGAATCCTGTGTTCTACAGCAGACTCCATGCAGGACCAGTCCTGACCCTGAACCAAGGCTTGGGTGCCATGCACATGCATTAATCAGCGTTTCCTGGCTGTGTTTCTGCGCTACAAAGAGCCCAACAGGCGTTTCAGGTTTTCTCAACATTCCTATATGATAGGCACCCTCATGATCCTCAGCAGACTGCCACCCTGGGCCAAATCCTGCTGCCACTTGATTTTGTGAATGAAGTTTTTTGGGAACCCAGCTATGCTCATTTGTTTACGTATTGACTAGGGCTGCTTTTGCTCTGCTGTGGGTGAGCTGAGTAGTGGCCATTGAGACCTTATGGCCAAAAATATTTACACCCCGACCCCTGATCTAGCACAGATGAGGGAGGCTGAGCAACTGCCCCCTGCAGCCAGACTCAAGCTGGGTCGGTTCTGACTTCAGAGGCCAGCACTTGTGTTGAACTGGGCCCGGCAGAGTGGCCACCGTTTTGAGGCTGGTGTCGTCTGCTTTCCTTCAGAGCAACTCTGAGCAGCTCAGAGAAGCTGCAACTTGAGGCCTTGCAGACTCCCTGCGTGGTCAGAAGATGGTCTGCAATCTGAAGAGGGCCAGCGGGAGGGGTCGCAACTTTGCTGAAAGGAGCCCGGCAGGAGGGCCCTGGAAGACATCTAATTACAGACTCCAGTTTGCCTGTGTGCTGCTTTGTCTAGGAGAAGGGTGGGCTCGGTGCCTCCAGCTCTGGGAGCCTCACAGATAGCTAACCCAGCCCCAGAGAGTGGGGGCGGGAGAGTTAAGAGGAGGGGGCGGGAGAGGAAAGAGGAGGGGGCGGGAGAGAGAGAGGGAGACAGAGAGGAGACAGGGGAAAGAGGAGAGAGGGGAGGGAAAGAGAAGAGAGAAAGAGGAAGAGACTGTCTCTAGAGGAGAGAGAAAAAGGAGAGAGAGGGAGAAGGAGGGAGAGAGAGGAAAGAGAGAGAGGGAGAAGGCCTCAGTGCCTGCACTGCTGGGTTTGGCTTGGAGGAGGCTTGTCATCAGCGGTCCCGGCTGGTCTGTAAAACTGCAGAGAATCAATTTCCTGTGTTATTGGTGGTTCCATTTAGGTACTCTTCCCCTAGGCATTTTTCAATTACAGGTCTAAAATCTCATTCTCTCTAAGCATGGAGCATGTTTTTTTGTTGTTTTTTTTTTTGTTTTTTTTTTTTAAATCCTGCCTTTGTTGAGGTTCAAACTGGCTGGCCCCAACCCAGAGACAGACCAAAGAGCACAGCGGAGCAGAGAGCTCTAGACACTGCCTGGGGAGGGGGCGTGGCCACGCCCACCCTGTCCACGTGGGAGCCGTAAAAGTGATCCTGCTGGAGAGGAAGGTGTGCTTTGGAGATGCACATGGAAGCCTGAGCCACGATGGAGCCCACATCGGACACCAGCGGAGGGGACACTGCTGGCAAGGGCAGTTTGTCCAGGTGCCCCAGATCCAGCCTCTAAGCCCCACCCTGCCTTTCTGTCCTCAGATGGCTTGGTCTGTCTGTCTTACAGACCAGGAGGCAGCCAGGCATTGGCGTAGATATTAGAAAATAAAATTGCCAGTCTGGGTCCTGCTCAGGTGAGAGTGGTTTAACCCAGGCTCCTGCCCCGCCCAAGCAGACAGTGCGGGGAAGAAGTGCCTGAGAAAGTCCGTCCTGCAACCTGTCATTCCACCTTCAAACTGTCACTCCTCCAAGCCTCAGGGATTCTGGTCTCCAGGAGTTCCCATTCAAATATGCATCACCCTAGGGTAGGAGAGGCGGTCGTCTGAAGATTGATGTGTGCAAGGTGAGCGTGGCCACGCCCTTCCCAGGCAGTGTCTAAAGCTCTCTGCTCTGCTCTGCTCTTTGAAGTGAAGCATTAGGATGTTAGCAGGGATAGTAGAAATGCAATTTAGGGGAGTAGGGGAGACGGCTGAACTCAGTTTATCTGAAACCTATGATGCTTCCACTGTGTGTGTGAGATCCAGTGGCAGGTGAGAGGGTTGCAAAGGTGAGCGGGACACGGGCTCTGCCCCAGGGAGCTCACATTCCAATAAGAGCTACTCATGAGAATGAAGAAGTGTGGATGCACATGGTGTGGTCAACAAAATCGTAACCCACCAAAGACGTCCATGTCCTAATCCTCAGAACCTGTGACTATGTTACCTTAGATGACGAAACAGCTGTGCAGATGTGACAAGTCAAGGACCCTGAGATGGAGAGCTGAGCCTGGATTATCAGGTGGGCCCAATGCACTCATAGGGTCTTTATGAGTGGGAGGCAAGGGAGTGAGTCAGAGAAGGAGACGCGGTGACAGATGCAGGCATCAGAGTGATTCCACGTGAAAAGGACTGGACCAGCCATTGCTGGCTGTGCAGATGGAGGAAGGGGCCATGAGCCAAGGAATGACGGCGGCCTCCAAAAGCTGAAAAAAGCAAGGAAATGGATTCCCCCTAGAACCATCCAGGAGGAACACTGCCCAGTTGATGCCTTGATTTTAGCCCAGTGACACCCTTTTTGGACTCTAGCCTCCAGAACTGTAAAATAATAAATGTGCATGTTTTAAGCCTCTAAACTTGTGGTGGTTTGTGACAGCAGTGACAGGGAACTAATACTCATGGTATGTGCAGGGATGCCCATGTGCCCCGCAGGGAGGGGTGACTGTGGGAGCACAGAAGAGCCCGGGGGTCAGGGGAGCTGCCTGGAGAAGATGCCTGGGCTGAGCACTGAAGGGTGAGTATCTCCTGGGCAAGCCCAGAGGAAGGGCGTGCCAAGGAGGCAAAAGAGGGGAGTAGAGGCAGCATGGTCTGTAGCGCCAGGAGGTGTTTGGAGACCCCTAAACATCTTGGGTCAATAGAGCAGGAGGTGGGGGTGGGAGAAGGAGGATGAGGCAGGGGAGGTATGCAGGGCCCTGCCCAGTGCCTTTCAGACAGCACAAGGGAAGGGGCACTGTCGTCACGTTAACCTGGGTTGCATTTTCCTTTCAACAGCATGCCTTATAGAAATAAATCTTTTTATTACATCTTCTAATAACTTAACAACTGGCTTGGCTAGGCACAGTGGCTCAAGACTGTAATTCCAGCACTTTAAGAAGGCTGAGGCAGGCGGATCACTTAAGCCCAGGTGTTCGAGGCCAACTTGGGCATTATAGAGAGACCCTGTCTCTACAAAAAAAAAAAAAAAAAAAAAAAAACACAAAACAAAACAAAACAATGAATTAGCCAGGCATGGTGGTGCCTACCTGTAGTCCCAGCTAGTTGGGAAGCTGAGGTGAGACGATCGCTTGAGCCTGGGTT
This sequence comes from Homo sapiens, assembly GCF_000001405.40. Lineage (NCBI taxonomy): Eukaryota > Metazoa > Chordata > Mammalia > Primates > Hominidae > Homo > Homo sapiens. Next base: position 236,854,755 of record NC_000002.12, on the reverse strand, counting down.
CGAGGCTGCAGTGAACCATGATAACACCACTATACACCAGCCTGGGTGACAGAGTGAGATTTTGTCTCAAAAAACACAAACAAAAAGCAACTGGCTTAACTATTTTCAGTGGCCACTAATCAGGTAATCCCATCAATTCATTAAGAAAATAACTACTGGCTATCTAGTCATCATGCAAACTGTACATGTCAAATCATTGATTTGGGATTTTAAGATTAATGGCTAAGTTGATTACATCAAGCCGCTATGTTATCTTGTAAACTCCCTTGCCCCAGTTTCCTACACCACACCAGAGACATTCAAAATTCTGAGAAAGCCTGGGACTTGGGTGAGTTCCTCAGAAGAGCTGCCTGCGAATTTAGGAAGAATGGGGTTATCAGACCCAGAAATGCAGAACAATATCACTTGCCGTGGAGGCAACAGAGGCTTTGGGTTAAGACACACCTGAGTTTGAGCCCAGCTCTGCCACATTTGCCTGGGTAACCTTGGACAAGTTGCTTAACCTCTGTGAATTCAGTTTCCCTATCCGTAAAATGGGGATGGTCACATCAAGCTCACGGAGTTGCCAATATTAAATAAAATAATACCTGTAAATGCAAGGTGCCTCCTGAGGCATAAATGCTAACTGATACACTCGGCAAGGTGTCATTGATGAAAAAATGAGCCCCTTTCTCAATGCCGATGTGGCCCAGCCCATTGCAGACGCAAGTGTGGAAGCGGCTGCTACAGAGGCCCTGAGAGCTCCTGGGAGGCCACCAGTGGAACGGCCAGGCCACTTCCAAATAGAATTATGGACGCGCGCCACGTCTGCATTTATGCGCTGGGGTCTTTTGAGCAGGCAGGCCAGAGCTGAGGAGTTAGGAGGAAACAAATTCCCAAACAAACACAGATTCCCATGGAAAGAAGTGGAAGAAGGTCAGGGGACTGTAGCGGACTTGGCTGCTGTTCCTCTTGGGCCGTGTCTGGCAGGTCTTCCCTGCACAGTGGGCTCCCTTTGACCTGCTCCTGGGGACCTTGGCAGCCCCGCTTTGTTGTGCTTAAGTGTGACCTTCCCTGACCCCAGTGTCATTTGAGATGTCACCATGGAGACTGCCAGACCTCCCTGGAGCTGACCTTTTCCGGGCTTGTTCCTAGGCTGCTCACATCACCCAACACAACCCCGCGGTTAGGCCTATGGGCTATGGCTAGCAGGTATATTTGATTTCATGGGTGACTATTTTTGAGTGAGGCTGTCTACACAATGTTGAAAAGGTAAAAATGGAATTCACATGGTTATTTATTATCGGCTACACCTGACTGCTAGTTTGATTCCATGTAAGGGAGGCCAATTACAAATTACTGAAAGCAAAGGAACAGCAGGCCTGTTACTTTTGTAACTGCCTGTCAGCAATTCCATAAAGTGGGCTCACTCTGGGTTTTTTTTTTTTTTTTGCCAGTCTTCAAAATAATCACCCATGGGATATTTGTTTGGATTCACAGATTTCATCACCCTGCAGTGGTGGGCAGGGCCCCAGCACTCAATGTGTGCATTATCTCACTGGAATGATGAGACACATAATGGATTTTGAGCAATGTAGATTAGAGAGTTAAGCTGGTTATCACCAAGATCTAGAGCCACTGACCCAGGAATCAGAAAGGGAAGAGTTGGACTGGGACTTGGAACGTTCTCCAAAGGAGATCCGTGGGGTCCTCATGCCTGTTTTCATTGGATGTAGCACAGCCAAATGGGTGCGATCGGCTCGCCGGTGATTTGGAAGCCAGCACACTCCAAGGGAGGGAAATATTTCATTCTATGGAAATGACAGGTCCAGTTCTGGCTCAGGAACACTGAGACCTTGAGACCAACCTTGCTAAAGTGAGAGGAGTAGGAGTTTCTCTAATAGCCTCCGAGGGCTGTGGCGGTGATCAAGACTCCCATGCCTGGAGGAGAGGAAGCAGTGGAAGGGCTGCAGGAGGAGGCGCCACGTGAGGCTGAGCTGAAATGCAATTTCATGTCACGAAGCCAGACAATGCATTATTTCCCGCCAGCGTCCGGAGATAAAACCTCCGCTCCAACTGCTGCGTATGGGATCACTTTGAACTGCTGGATGAAATTCCCAAGTGGAAATTCCCCACCTCTCATATTCCTTCCTGTTCAACGACCATTTTTACTTTCCATTTACATCTGCATAGCTCTATGCTTTAGGTAAAACAGTGGCTAACTTAGTCGATCTCTCAGATTAATAATCTATTTCTTTTTCCCATTCACTACAACACTTCACATTTGTATTTGTTTACTAATTCTTTAAAGAGTCTGGGCTGTGTGTGGGAGCAGCACAGTGGCTAAAACACTCCTGCCCTTGAGAAGCTCACAGCTGGGTACGGAGACAGACATACAGCAAACAAGGTACTATGATGTGTACAACATAAGGGTAAAGAGTGAATGACTCTATTGGGAAGTGGGGAATCTTGGAAGCCTTCCTGGAGGAGGTGAAATCTGAAGTCCCTGTGAAATGTCCAAATGTAGTTGCCCTAGAAGTGGTTGTTCGTGTTGATGTGAAGTTTAGGAATGTGCTCTGACTAGAGTGTTCGGGTGGGCGTCGCCAGCACATACAGGGTGGTAAATCATAGGTGTCAGGGAGATATAAGCTAGGGGAAGCAAAGAAACTTCAAGCAGGGCCATGGGGATTTATGGATCTAGACCTGTGGCCACTTCTTCAAATGCATCCTCTTTACATGGGAGGCACCTGACACTCTCCCTCTCCGAGGCTTCCCCTACCCCAGCTATTATGGTGTATCTTTCCTGGCCTGGTTCCCTCCTCATTCTCTAATCACCTCATCTCTGTGCTTTTTTTTCTCTTTCCCCCTGCTGGTCCATTTATCAATAAATCATGCAAAGATCCATTGCGTGCTCATGTGCTAGAGACTTGGGCTGGGGCAAGAATGAAGGTCAAGGTGGTGGGATGATAGGGAGAACCAGTGAAGGACAAAACCTGTAAGACCTGACCCAGGAACCAAGGAGCTTGCCATCTATTTGGCTAAAAGAGATGAGCACTGCAGAAAAGAAAGCACACAGCAGAAAGCGATATGTGAAAAATGTTGATATGGTTTGGCTTTGTGCCCCCACCCAAATCTCATCTTGAATTGTAATCCCCATAATCCCCACATGGTAAGGGAGAGACCAGGTAGAGGTAACTGACTCATGGGGGCAGTTTCCCCCATGCTGTTCTCATGATGGTGAGTGAGTTCTCATGAGATCTGATGGTTTATAAGCTAATCTTCCCACTTCGCTTGGTACTTCTCCTTCCTGCCACCTTGTGAAGAAGATGGCTGGCCTTCCCTTTGCTGTCTGCCGTGTTTGTAAGTTTCCCGAGGCCTCCCCAGTCATGCTGAGCTGTGAGTCAATTAAGCCTCTTTCCTTTATAAATTACCCAGTCCCAGGCAGTTCTTTATAGCAGAGTGAAAACAGACTAATACAAATGCCAAGATAGGGCAGACTAATACAAATGCCAAGATAGGACTAAATGTGGAATGCAACTGGATTTCAGAGGAAGGGGAGGCCATTGCTGGTTGCAAGAAGTCAGGGAAGATTTCTTTCAGGAGGAGACTTTGATCTTTGGGATCCTGAGGATCCTATCCTCTGTCATGCCATACATGGGCCTCTGTTATTACATTTGTCATTCTGGGGACTGCCATCGGTTTGTCAGCCTCCCCCCATAGACTGTAAGCTCCATGAGGTCAAAAACCACATCCCTGTAGTCTTTTTCCGGGCACAGCCTGGTACGTGGTAGACAAATAGAAAATGCATGCTGGGGTGAATTAATCCCACTACCCTTTCCCCCTTGACTCAGTTTTTAGCACTCTCGATTGTTGTCTTCCTTATACTCTCTCTTAGGAAATGTACCTGTTCCTGGCAACAGCTCTCATTTTAGGGTGTGTGATGTTTAATCCACACCCCTGTAGCACATCTTAGACCCAGCATGTGTAGAGATGCCAGAATAATATCAAACTCTGAACTCCTCAAACCAGCCACATGATCTCCCACCAATAGAGATCTGTGTTGGTGTGGCCTCTTTCCCCCTCCTAAAATGCAGCCTTAGAAAAGGACTGTGTGCAGGTAGTTTATTTCAGGAAGTCAACCAGGGATGCCAGTGAGGTGCTAGTGAGGGTCAACAGGGAAGGAGGAAAAGCCAATGCCATCAATGCCACACACACTATAGTGTGGTATCAAGCTCCCCATCCCATCACCAGGACATCATGAAAAGAGAATAAAATATCTCTGCATCATCTGCCCAAGGGACAGAAGACAGAATCATTTATCCAGCAGCTCCCGTCTCCCAGTGGTTGAGGGTTGGTCCATGAGATGTCAGCCCTTATCAACTTCAGAGGTGCCCGGCCATGAATTCCAATCCGGCTTCTGCAGGCATACATATGAGAAGTTAGGGATGGGAGGTGCTCTCTTGAGATGAGCTACCATCAGCACAACGCTGATCAAGGTCAGTGTTCATCTCCTCACCATGGCTAGGCCTGGAATCAGAGGCAAGGCCAAAAGGAGGATGGGGAGGCACCCAAGTGATTCCATGCAGACCCTGTCCCTACTTGCCCTGTGTCCACCCACAGCACCTCCATCCTGCCAGACATCCAGGTTGCCCACTGAGCTGTCTGCAGTTCTTCTTGGCCACCCCTCTCTCGGGACTTCCAATTCAGTCTCCTTCTTTCAACTCTTCCCTTGCATGTCTCTTGAATGCGCCCGTCTGTCACCACCATACTGTGAGTATCTCCCAACTCTTTCCATCCTATTGGCTTGCAAGTCTCCCAGTGGACTTGGCCACCTCATTTATACCCTTCCTGTCCACCCTCGCAGCTCCCCCAAAACCTTGCTTTGTGCATGTCACTCCAAGACTGGAAAGCTGGCTGCCTGCTCCCAATAAAGCTGAAACAATTTTTCAAAGGCCTTTTGGAGGAGTTTGGAGTGTCCACCAAGGAAGTATAACCATTTATAGACCATCCATTTATCCCTTCCATTGTTCAATCATGTGTGTGAGGACCTGCTGTGTCCCCAGCCTGTTCCAGGCACAGAGAGAGACGAGTGAGCCTCACAGAGCAGGATCTGCCATGTGATGGCAGCTGCTGTTCCAGTAAGACACAGGCCACAAAATGACATGACATGTACCTAAAAGAGACTCATTTTGATCTTTTTTTTTTTTTTTTTTTTTTTTTTTCAGACGGAATCTCCCTCTGTCACCCAGGCTAGAGTACAGTGGTACCATCTCAGCTCACTGCAACCTCTGCCTCCCGGGTTCAAGAGATTTCCCTGCCTCAGCCTCCCAAGTAGCTGGGATTACAGGCTCCCACCACCACACCCAGCTAATTTTTGTATTTTCAGTAGAGATGGGCTTTCACCATGTTGGCCAGGCTAATCTCAAACTCCTGACCTCAGGTGATCCACCTGCCTCTGCCTCCCAAATGTTGGGATTACAGGTGTGAGCCACCGTGCCCGGCCTGATCATTGTTTTTAAACTGGTAAAAATAAATAATAGAAACAAAAACTCACTAACAACAGAGTAAGGTAACAGAGAGTAACTGGGTGATGGTGAGAGTGGGCTTCAGTAGGTGGCGAGGAAGTTGTTTGTGAAAACATGTGACAGGCAGGGCCCCAATAGGAAGATATGAAACAGGTGGCACACCCAAATTAGAAAATAATAAGGCTGCTCTTACTGCTTTTTTTTTTAACTCATATTGATAAGGAAGGTTTAGGGAAATGTAGCCTCATTCCACGTCTGCCTAAATGTCCCCATCCCACCATACCCACGAGTCCTTCTTCCCATTGTCCTTACCTCTGCGAGACCTGGTTGGGTTGGGCTTTGAATCGGTGCTCTACTCTACAACCCTATAATCATCAGCACGTGAACTAGAACCTCACTCATGTCTGTCCCGAGGCCACAGGAGAGGATTCCTTGAGAGCGGCCTCTGTACACAGGCTCTTAATTGAATATTCATGGCATTAATTCCCTTTATGGCTTCTGCAAGCTCCCTGGGTGGTATGCAGGAGCTGGACGACACCGTAATCTTGATCATCACTATTGTTGCCATAGCAACTAAGTGCCACAGCCACTTGATCTCCCAGCGCCTTGCCTTCCACCTGCACTTCATCCCACGCTACCACTGATGGTAATATGAAGATGATATGATCATCATGATGCCAGCACGTGCCCTGCTCTAATCATGTCCCCAGTAAGTGGGTTACCCCCGAGGTCGTCGAATACATGAGCAACCCAATTCCAGAATCCATTGTGAGGGCCATAGAGTCCACCTCTGGGACTATTCAGATATTAGTAGGGGTCCCAACAGGACACAGACTGCACACTCAAATTAGGATAATTCAAAGAAGGGTTGAAAACAGTTTCCCCCAACAAGTGTGGGGAGGGTTTGGGGGGCTCATAAGGAGCAGCACTATAGCCCAGGAGAGATGAGGGGGGGCAGAAACCAAGGAGAAAGTTGAGCTGCAGAGCCCACCCTGGAGAAGCAGGGACTCAGTGAAGTAACACAGCCAGCCAGGGAGGGGACAGGAGAGTGACTGCCCCAATTTTGCTCTTGTCCTCTCATCTCCTACAGCACTGCTCCTACACCCCTCCCCCTCCTCCTACACCCCCTGCCCTTCCTCCTACACTTCTCCCCTTCCTCCTACACCCCTCCCCCTCCTCCTACACCTCTCCCCTTCCTCCTACACCCCTCTCCCTTCTACTGCACCCCTCCCCCTCCTCCTACACCTCTTCTCTTCCTTCTACACCCCTCCCCTTCCTTCTACACCCCTCCCCCTTCTACTACACCCCTCCCCCTCCTCCTACACTTCTTCTCTTCCTTCTACAACCCTCCCCCTCCTCCTACACCCCTACCCCTCCTTCTATACCCCTACCCCTGCAAAAGCCAGAAGGACAGAAGCCCACAGTTGCAGCCCGTATTCATCACACTTTATATTTTCTGTATTTTATAATGCTTTGACATCCAGTGATCTTGCAGACACAGGGAGGAACCGCCCCTCCCCTCCTCAGGGTAGCGAATTCCTAGAAATGGCAAGCAACTTGCCTGCTCACAGAGCATTCCTTTCAAATGCAAATCAACCAATTCAGAGTCCCTATCCCCAGCCCCTTCTTTATCTAACTCACACACACCAAGCCAATATTCCACCTGCCCTAAATCATTAAGGTGGGCCCTGATCCAATATGCCTGGTGTCCTGTTAAGAAGAAGAGATTAGGACTCAGACATGTACAGAGTCCACTGGGAGACTTGCAAGCCAATAGTGTGGAAAGAGTTGGGAGATCTACTCAGAGTATGGACCAGGGATGAGACAACTAGGGACCACCCCTATATCTCAGACCCATCCGCTGCCCCAGATTATTCAAGCTGCCCTATCCCAAGCCTGCCCAGCATGTCCACCCCACCTGGCCCATTCCTTCCCGAGAAAACCGCAATAAAGGCTCCGGTCCCTGCCTCCCTCTGGCTCCCTCTGCCTCCTGAATGACCCTGGTCCTTTCCCTCGTGGCCCTGTGCAGCCTGGTGTGTCATGCCCACTCCTATTGGTCAAGCAAAGGAATGCTTCTTTCAAGGCAGTTGTGTCTGTGTCTGTGTCTCCCCATACCTAAAATGTTAAATCCCGGGGACATTTGCAAGCCCAGCCCAACACAGTCTGCCTCCCAGCACAGAGCAGGGTAGAGGGTTGATGCAGGGCAGCCATGAGAGTCCCAGCACAGGAACTTTTGTGCTGTTATCTAAAAGACAGGCTGCTAGCCTCACAGAGATCTGGGCCAAGAACATTCGAGACATGAGGAATGGCCAAGGCAAGCCGTTCTCAGTCTTCAGAAGGAGACCAGGCCTCAGGGTCTGGTTGCCACAGCCAGAGCGTGCCCTCATGTCCGGGGAGCACTGATCCCTCCCCCTCCTGCCATCAGGCCTCCTGTGCCCTCACCCCTTTGCCTTCTTCTTTCTCAACTTTGATTATCCAGTTCAGTAGATGTTCAGGCCAGGTGACTCCTAAGTCTTCTCGCTGCTTACCCCATTAACCCACCATGACTTTCCTCTCTTCTGATTCTGGAAGCTCCTGTGTATTTACTAAATGCAATCCAGGGCTAGGCATTTGACCTACATTACCTTGTTTAACCCTGAAACAACCCCCAAAGAAAGGAGTTAGTTTGTTAGTTTTTGAGACAGAGTTTCACTCTTTCACCCAGGCTGGAGTGCAGTGGCATGATCTCGGCTCACTGCAACCTCCACCTCCCAGGTTCAAGCGATTCTCCTGCCTCAGCCTCCCAAGTAGCTGGGACTATAGGTGCCCACCAGCACACCTGGCTAATTTTTGTATTTTTAGTAGAGATGGGGTTTCACCATATTGCCCAGGCCAGTCTCGAACTCCAGACCTCAGGTGATCCACCTGCCTTGGCCTCCCAAAGTGCTGGGTTTACAGGTGTAAGCCACCGTGCCCAGCCAGAAAGGAGTTTTTATCCCCATTTCCAGAGAGTTGAAACGGCGCTGTTTCAGAACACAGTGCAGGATGCTTAACCACTGACCTGGGTAAGTACTGCCTTGCAGATGGCCCACAAGGGTGGTGTGGCTCTGTGATGGCCTGAATTGCATCCCACCAAATTCACATGTTGAAATCCTAACCCTCAGTAGCTCAGAATATGAGTAGCTCTTATCTCTCTAGAGGTAATTAAGGTAAAATGAAGTCATTAAGGTGGGCCCTAATCCAATATGCCTGGTGTCCTTTTAAGAAGAGATTAGGACTCAGACACGCACAGAGGAAAGACCATGTGAGGACACAGGGAGAAGGTGGCATTTACAAGTCAAGAAGAGAGGTCTCCAAAGAAACCCAACCCTGCCAACACTGTGATCTAGGACTTCCAGCCTTCAGAACTGAGAGCAAATAAATGTGTTGTTTAAGCCCCCAGCCTGCGGTCCTCTGTTATTGATGGCAGTGGCTGCTGCCATCACACTGGCTGCAGCAGGGAGGCGTGGCTGGGGCTGCACCCTCCAAGGAGCCAGTGGGGCCCCGCTCCTTCTGAGTTGGGGCAGGAGTTCCCCAGTGTTGCTACAGCCGTCCAAACTGTGGCTGTGGATGTGAGCCTCCCTGTGCTCTTGTGGGGGTCCAGGAATAAGCAGGATCTGCCCTCCTGGATGCAGCTGCAGCTGCCAGACCTGCAGCGGCAGACATGGGCCTCCTGATTTCTGGAGCAGGCAGGAGGCAGGGACAACTGGGAGCCCCACCCCTTCTGATTTGGCATTGTGGGAGCTCCCAGGTGCAGCTGTGGCCACCCTCCCAGGCACAGGACCTAGGCATCTCTGTAGCCTGCACCCTCGGGGGCTCCAGGAAGAAGGCTGCTATCCCTGCAGGCTTGGGGGTATCTGCTCCTGCTGCCTGGCCTCTCTTCCTCTGAGGTCCATGAAAGCCCTGGACTTAACCAGAGCAGGGCAGTGGACAGCCAGAGGATGAAGAGGAATATCCTCTCTGTTGAGAGCTGCAGAGAGACGACCTGCTGGCAGAGAGGAGCCACCCTCTCCAGGGCCTCCTTTCCACTGAGAGCTGCAGAGATGACCAGCTTGCAGAGAGCAGCCACCGTCACCCTCCAGAGCCTCCTCTCCACTGAGAGCTATCAACATCAGGATGACCAGTTGCAGAGGAGCTACCCTCTCCAGGGCCTCCTCCCTGCTGAGAACTGAACACTCAACAGAAGACCTGCCTACAGAGAGGAGCTACCTACTGTGGGTCTCCTCTGAGCTGTTGTAATACTCAATACAGCTCATCCTTGTTTTGTTCACACTTCACTTGTCTACATACCTCATTTTTCCTGGATGCAGGACAAGAACTCTGGCAAGGGCACCATGGCCACAGAGGTTTCCGGCCGGAAAATCAACACCCCAAAGATCCTGTAACATTATGATACCCTGGCTGACTAATACAGGCTCTGAATGCTTGTAATAAAAACAGGGTGGCTTCAAAATGGTTTCCACATCAGTTTTCTAAAGTGGAGAAGGACTCTCTCCTGAGTCTGGCTGAAAACGTAGAAGGGGACAATGATGCTCTGATGCAGCTGAGGGACCTCCCTGGGACCCAGCCCAGATAGTGCAGCTGTGTAGGAGGGAAGGGTGTCTACCCAAGCCTGTCTCCTTTGGAGCTTTGGGTTCCTATTGTAGACCACAGTGGAGTTGGCACTAGGGAAGCCTTGCTCCTCTCTACTGCTATGGGTGTGTTTGGCATTTTAATGGGCTCTTGTTTCATTTCCATACTCCTCCGAGCACTCCCAAGCCCCAGGTGCGGTAGTGTGATATGCATCCAGCACTGCAGAAGGTAGGTGCTTCCACATGAAACTCTATAGGCCGGGCACTTTAATTTGGAAGTGGAGGCACCCTGGTGTACCCCATGGGCCTGAGTCACTCACTCCCCAACCAACCATCAAACAGAGTCCTACCTCTCACCACAAAAGTGCTTTCTGGCTTTAGTTTTTCCTGTAAAAAACTAAATATTTATTCACGGGATATTTATCAGATGAATAAAGACTTTGCGTATCTGTAATTGGTAAGACCTTGCCTCCTCCCTTTCCCCATTCTTAAACAAAACTTGGGAACCTTGAATTTTTTTAAACAGAAGATTGTTCTGAACCCACAGAATGGACCCATTCTTTGGTCTGTTTTCTGCTCTGTTGCCCGTGAATGTACACACACCTCTCCAGATCCACTTTAGTCCTCCCCAGCAGGAATAAAGCCACCTGCTGTTAGGCCCACAGCAGTGGATTGTGTGAGTCTGTCCCCCTGGATATCAAGAAAATTGATGTGACTCCAATATACACAATTTCTCCATCTTGCCTGCTTGCGTGTGTCTGGCCTCAGATCTGCCTTTCCCGTGCTAGTCTTAATATAAATTCTGCAGGTGAAGCATGCCTACAGAAGTCTTTTTGCCAGACTGATTTCTGCAACAGGTGTCACGGAGCTGATGCACTGGCTTCCCATTTATTGTGTGCATTAATGGACAACATCTGTTCAATTCCCCTCCTGCTCACCCTCATCACGGGATCCGTGGACGGAGGTTCAGCGGCATCCTCCTTCAACTTTCAGTTCTTGATCACTCTATAAGTAATTTGTGGCCCCAGTGAGAATGCCTTTGAGCAAACACTTTTTCTTAAGTCTATTCTCTCTTCTTTTGTTGGGTTTTGCAGCCTTCAAAGGTCAAACACCCCCCTCTAGGCTGGCTTTCTTCTTTTGTGGGCCAGATTCCCATTTTTCCAGAGCTCTGTGGGAACACCCTAAATCCTGGGGAGAATTCCTGTCTGTAAGATGAAAACCTGGCCCCATGTCTGTCAAAAAATTTGGAAAACTTCAGCTCTTAAGGAGGATATTGGGAATTGTGGACCACGCAGACACCTCAAACTCAGCTATTCGCCTGGAACCTAGCACATTTGTAATAAAAATGTGTCAGTTACCTGGGCAAGAGCCATGGCTGATTTTCTGCCAAGTTGGAGGGAGACTGCCCCAGGGAACAGAGTGAATGTGTACTAGAAGTAAAACCTCCCTTGCACTTCGACGGAGGAGAGGTTGCTATATACAGGCCAATCATTTTCCTGGACACAGGAAAAGAGCCAAGAGAGAGGTGGGCCAGCGATGGAGTGAAGCCCGCCCTTGGGCACTGGGTGGTAGGGCTGTGTCCCAGGGATTGGGAGAGCTGGTCTATCCTGCAAAGTAGCCCAGTGCAAGGAGGCTGCCAGATTTCTCAAATAAAAATACAGGGTATCAACTAAATGTGGATTTCAGATAAACACAAATCACCGTTTAGCATAAATATGTCCCAAGTATCTGAAATTCACATTTAACTGGGAGTCCTGTATTTCATCTGGCAACACCGGAAGGGGGCTCATGCAGGTCCCAGCCACCATACTGTTCTCTCCAGGGAGCTGAGGTCACAAGCTGGGGAGGACCAGGGGCAAATGCACAAGTACAGAGGTGGGAGGCAGGAGAAGAAGCCAGGGATGGAGTGGGAATTGGATCCAAGTGGGAGCAGGTCTGGCACTGGAGATGAGACCAGGACACATGGCCTGGAACCACAGACTGAGTCAGACAGCCACACGTGGGCCACCGAGGTGGGCTTTTGTGTGTTTGCTGCCTGACTTTCTTTTGGCTATTACGCAAATTGAAATCTGATTTCTGCAGTCACTGGGAATTTACCTGATAAAGTCTAGGAGGAGATGGATGAAGACTGCTCTGCCGTCCTTTCCTGGGAAGACAGCCTTCCCTCTCCCCTTCTAGATGTAAGTCTATGGCTCAAGACTAAACTCACGCCTGGGGCTGACAAACACAGCAGCATCTCCCCACAGCCCACTCAGGGCTCTGGTCCAGCCCGTTTCTCCTCGTCTCCATGTATTCAGACCTTAGTGCCTATTTCCTTCAAAATGTTAGTCAAAGAAAAAATTGAGAGAAAAATTCAGGAAAGCATGAACTATGAATTGCTACTTCCGTTTTCTGGAACACTTAAGCCAGTGAGAACCATCTCCGCCATCCCTCAGACCTGCAAATACCCAGGGGATCGCCAACCACACAGATGGGGAGGGGGCTCCACGTGATGATGGGGTTTCTCACCAGGGCCATTGTCCTCATCACTTACCCAGCATGTGGCACATATTTTGAATAAATACTAAGATGAAACACTTATACGGATACACGTGCATGAGACTGTGTGTGAGAGAGAAAGAGGAGCCCCTGAATCTTCACACGAACTCCAGGTGGGTCCTACGTATCATCATCCCAGGGAGCAGACGAGGAAATTGGAAGTGATAGAGGATAAAGGATAGGTGGCTTGGCCACGATCCCAAGCAGCCTTGCAGGTTCAGGGTCCTGACCACTGTGTTCTGTGGCCACCCCGGGAGACAATGTGTCACGATTGGCGAAAATGAACGATCCACTTAGAGTCAGGGTGGACCTCTAGACCAGGCTCCTGGGCCTCCCACAACCCTTGTATGGATAGTACAAGTGTGGGGTGGGCCCGGTAGTGCTGTCCATCATGGTGATCCAGGCACTTCTTCCTCTGTTTTCTGTCCTGGATGGAGGCAAATGTCTCAATGGGCACTTGGGCCAGGCCAAAGGCTCAGAGCTGCTCTCACGATCTCACCCTTGGCGCATGAAGGTCCCCGGAGGTCCCCGGAGCTATGCCCTTACAAGGTGATGTGAGGGAGGCCTGGGCTGAGGCTGCTTCTCTTTCTCATAGCACTATCGGCCAGCCCCACTTGGTGTGTGCTGAGAACACCAACTAAGGGCACTCTGCCTCGTCTTTTCAACTTTTAGGGACCAAGTGTCATGCCCTTCAAATAGATGGGATAACTGACCATATTCAATTAATGTAGGAAATGTCATGCTCTTCCCAGAAATAACTCCAAAGATTTTTTAAAAAAAAGTCATTCTTTTTGTCTGTGGGATCCTAGGGGCATTATTTCCTACACGTTTATACCAGGTGGGAAAATAACTATCGTAGTTTTCATTGGAACAATTATATATTTAGCATTTGTTTAAATTTAGACTTCCTAATTTTTCTCTGTCACTAAACAACCACAGACAAACAAGATGCAATTTTCTAGTCCAAAATAAACAGAGCAAATAGTTTCCCAGATACCGAAGTCCCTTACCACAAGGAGAGTGGACGCCTGCCATCGGTCTCCTCCCCTGGGACTGCGTTCTCACACTGGGCTCAGTTGGCTTAAGGGTGCCCGGTGTGAACCGGATGCCCCAAGATAGTCAGGTCAGTAAGCTGCTGCTTCTGTATGGCCCTCTAGGAAAGGTCTCTTTGTTTTGATTTGTTGCAGCCATCGTCAGTCTTGGGTTTCTCTATTTCTAATGCCACATTATGGAAATGGAATTTTCTGTGTCCTAGCTTGCTCTGGGTTGATAGAATCAGGGGATCTCAGGATTGGAGGGTGATTAGGAAGCCCTTCAATACAACTATCTTCCCCAAATGCCTAGGGAAGCTCTTTTAGTTCAGTTTTGGGATGGGGGAGACCACTGCCAGGGTGATCATTTGAAGTCCAGGCAATTCCCTTGTGTCATCCACCTGGCAAGTGAATCAGCTCCTCTGTGCCTCCCATTGAAGGTCATTTTATTCCATCCAGGCTCCAACTCCACTTTCTTGGGCCACATAGGACCTGTCTAATTCTCCTTCCACGTCAGCGGCATCAAACTATTTGAAGATAGGTATCAGGTCACCGCAGGTTAAAAAAAAAGTGCTAATTTATTCTCTTATATGGATGGCATTTCAAATAACTGCTGAAAGGATGTATCATTCAATACAGTGATGAGATAATTGGTTAACTGTTTAGCTTAGATCTTTATCTCAGTTGATGAGCCAAATATATTCCAGCTGGATTAAGGATAGAAAGATTCTTTTTAAATGAAATCATAAAATAATGAAAAATTTTAAATAGCTAGAAAAAAATGTTAGTTAAAAAACATCTGGGACTGGATGTGGCCTTTCTAAGCATAATATCAAAATCAGAGTAAACAAAGAAAATGCTCACTGATTTTTTTCAAACTTAGAAATTACAAGCATCTAGATGTTAAAAATAACCCACAACAATTTTAAAGTAAAAAATGCATTGGAAGCATTTGTAGTATATATGACAAATAATTGGGATCTTTCGTATAATAGGAGGCTTCTCAAAATGATAAGGGAACATGAATAAGTTATTCATGCAATAATAAATGCACATAGATAAAGCATTGAAAAGATTTAATTTTGTTCAGTAACCAAAGAAATGCAAACTTAAAAATGGATGTGTTTTCCACTCGTTAGATGGAAAGATTAAAGGCATATAACACTCAGTTCTGATGAGGTCTGGGAAATGAGAGCTATGTGGAATGGTGCAAACTTTCCCAACAGAAACGTGTCAATATGCATCAAAAGTACTTTCACACAGAAATCCCACTGCAATGATTTATGCTAAGGAAACATTAAGAATGTCAGCAAAAGGCTTAGGTATAAGACTGATTAATTGTTTTAAAATAAGACTTCAGACTAAGTTGAATGTCCTACAATATGGATTTAACAGGTATATAATTTCTGACAGTTTCAAACATATGCATATGATACATTAAAAGAAAAAGAGGTTAAAATCTGGTATTCAGTACACAACTATGCATAGCCATTTAGATAAGCACGTTCTATTGTATCCTTATATATGTGCATAGGGATAATTCTGGAAGGAGATTATTATCACGGACTATCTCTAGAAGATGGAATTACAGGTAGCTTCTGTTTTGTTCTCCTTGCATATCTGTACTTTATACTTCTTTTAAAATAAGCTAAATTTACTATATTCTAAAAACAAATTTAAAAACTGAGGTAGCACTTAAGATCTGTTATATCAATAAAGTAATAGGAAATCAAAAAACCCAATGCTGTAATAGTTGTGGTGAAACAAGCACAGGCCTACATTGTATGTAACTATGTAAATTGGTAGGAATATTTTTGGAGGTCAATATGGCATTATTGACCAAGAACCACATAAAGGTTCATTCCTTTTGACTGAGTAATGCCATTCTGGAAGCAGTTCTCAGGAGCAAAGCTGCTCCAGGTCTGTACTTAATACAGTATTGATATTCATGTGGAAAAACAGTTACTTTTATAATAAGGAGGTAAGTAAATGATGATATAAAAACTAAGTGGACTAGCCTGATGTCATTAACATTGTCATTGCCATTTTTTATTTAATAACACATACTTTGTGTTCAGTATCTAAAATTATTTCCAGGGCCAGGTGTGGTGGCTCACACCTGTAATCCCAGCACTTTGGGAGGCCAAGGCAGGTGGATCACCTGAGGTCAGGAGTTCAAGACCAGCCTGGCCAGCATGGCAAAACCTCATCTCTACTAAAAATACACACACACACACACACACACACACACACACACACACACACACACACACAATTAGCTGGGTGTGGTGGCATGCACCTGTAATACCAGCTACTCAGAAGGCTGAGGCAGGAGGATTGCTTGAACCCGGGAGGTGGAGGTTGCAGTGAGCCGTGATCATGCCACTGCACTCCAGCCTGGGCAACAAAGTAAGACTCTGTCTCAAAAAAAAATTATTTCTAATCATAAGAATTTCATTATGCCAGAATTGTGTGTTTATATGCATGCAGTCAGAGAGAGTGGGAGCCAAAAGTAAAAACATGAAAGCAATTTGGTTTGTTGAGCTTGTAGAGCTATTTTTGATATCTAATATTAGTAAAATAACAATTTCATGTGGCTTTGGGGGAAAAAAGGGAGTAAGTGTTTAAACTGTTAGGATTGACTCTTAATGGAAACAAATTGTCTTTCATTGATCATACCCCTTTTCTGACAACTCCCAAGTTACTTTTATAATAATCCATGCTGGAAATTTGTCTGGGGTCAACATAAGTTTTATCAGTTTAGATACCTGGTGCATTAGTCTGTTCTCACGCTGCTTTGAAGAAATACGTGAGACTGGGCAATTTATAAAGAAAAAAGTTTTAATTGACTCACAGTTCTGCATGGCTGGGCAGGCTTCAGGAAACTTACAATCATGGCAGAAGGTGCATCTTCACAGGGTGGCAGGAGAGAGAATGAGTGCAAGCGGGGGAAATGCCAGATGCTTTATGAAACCATCAGATCTCATGAGACTCACTCATTATCATGAGAACAGCATGGGGGAAACCACCCCCATGATACAATTACCTCCACCTGGTCCCACCCTTGATGCATGGGGATTATTACAATTCAAGGTGAGATTTGGGTGGGGACACAGAGCCAAACCATATCACCTGAGTACTAAGTAGTGGAGATATTAATATATCAATACGTATTAATAGAATCACTCATTGCTGCTGTTCATTTCTGCTGCATTTAACCTGTATCCCCCACCCAATAGCAACCATGGTAAAACATAAAATTAGTATTCCTCCTATTTTGCATAGCATCCCCTTCCTACAAGATGCCATGCTCTCCTTTATCTATTTGATGCAGGTGTCATGATTCTGATTTTTGCAGGTGAAGAAACTGAGGCTCAGAGAAGTAAGGACCTTGCTCAGGGTCACAAGATGGTAAGACTCAGCCATGACTGGTACTGAGTGCCTCATTGTTTTCAACACAGCATGGCTGTTGCACAGAATCAATGCCATCAACGTAAGAACTGTGGGACCAGCCAGCCAGGATCTAAGTACTTGTTGGTAGGGTAAAGGATTTTTCCACACATGATGCAGTGGCATACATTAGCTTCAGACTATCTCTAATACCCAGTCCAGAGTGCAGACTCTGTCAGTGACTGTGGAAAAGACTCTAGACTGAGCCCCACACCTTCCTTTTCTGTCTGGGCACACAGGTAGATGGTGTTCCCCAGCCTGCCTTGTAGCTAAGTATGGCCAGGAGGCTGCTTTATAAGTCCTGCATCCTCCCTCTCTTTTTGTTTGACTGGTGCCTGAATGTCGACATCCCAGTTAGCCCTGGGAAGCTCAATGAAGACAGTAGAGCCAGCAAGTCAATTCCATCCACTGACCAGGGGCCTCTGCATTGCACAGTGACTTCGGTGAGGGATCTTCTATTGGACGTTCTCTGAGACTTGTTAGGCAGCTGGTGGCACCTTAACTAGTACAATAATTATTCACTTCTCCATTTTTCTACGTCATTTTTCTTCATCTTTTCATTCTTCTCTAAGTCCACCTGTGTGAGATTTGGCATCAAAAGACCCCATGCTGCATCTGTAGCCATCAAAGACACTGCCTTTGCATCTTAGAGTGAATCTCTTCACAATTTTACCCTTTGATGTCCTCATTTATAATCTAGGTCTACATAATGATTTTTTGAATGCCAACCCATTAGGTTCTAGGAAGTAGACTAAAATGTCAATGATATGGTTTGGTGGCTCTGGGTCCCCATCCAAATCTCATTTCAAATTGTAATCCCCATGTGTCAAGGGAGGGACCTGGTGGGAGATGATTGGGTCACGGAGGCAGTTTCCCCCATGTTGTTCTCATGACAGTGAGGGAGTTCTCATGATACATGATGGTTTTTAAAGTGTTTGGCAGTTTCCCCTGCTTTCTCTCCCCTGCAGCCATGTAATACATGCCTTGCTTTCTCTTCACCTTCTCCTAAGATTTTAAGTTTCCTGAGGCCTCTGAAGCCATGTGGAACTGTGAGTCAATGAAATCTCCTTTCTTTATAAATTTCCCAGTCTCAGGCAGTAACTTTATAGCAGTATGAGAATACAGTAATACAGAGAATTGGTGCCAGCAGTGGGGTACTGCTATAAAGATAACCTGAAAATGTAGAAAAGAATTTGAAACTGGGTAACAGACAGAGGATGGAACAGTTTGGAGGGCTCAGAAGAAGACAGGAAGATGTGGAAAAGTTTGGAACTTCCTAGAGACTTGTTGAGTGGTTTTGACCAAAATGCTGATAGTGATACAAAAAATGAAGTCCACGCTAAGACAGTCTCAGAAGAGATGGGGAACTTGTTGAGAACTGGAGCAAAGGTCACTCTTGCTATGCTTTAGCAAAGAAACTGGTGGCATTTTGCCACTGCCCTAGAGATCTGCGGAACTTTGAACTTGAGAGAGGTGATTTAGGATTCCTGGCAGAAAAAAATTTCTAAGCAGCAAAGCATTCAAGAGGTGACCTGGCTTTTCCTGAAAGTGTACAGTTATATGCACTCACAAAGAGATTATTTTAAATTTGAACTTATGTTTAAAAGGGAAGCAGAGCATAAAAGTTTGACAAATTAGCAGTCTAACCACGCAGTAGAAAAGAGAAACCCATTTTCTGGGGATAAATTCAAGCTTGTTGCAGAAATTTGCATAAGTAACAAGCAGCCAAATGTTAATAGCCAAGACAATGGGGAAAATGTCTCCAGGGCATGTCAGAAATCTTTGAAGCAGCACTTCCCATCACATGCCTGGAGGCTTAGGAGGGAAAAATGGTTTCATGGGCCAGGCCCAGGGCCCCACTGCTCTATGCAGCCTTGGGACTTGGTGCCCTGCATTCCAGCCACTCCAGCTCCAACCATGGCTAAAGAGGACAAGGTGCAGCTTGGGCCATGGCTTCAGAGGGTGCAAGCCCCAAGCCTTGGTGGCTTCCATGTGATGTTGGGCTTGCAGGTGTGCAGAAGACAAGAGTTGAGCTTTGAGGACCTCTGTTTAAGTTTCTGAACATGTATGGAAATGCCTTGATGCCAGGAAGAAGCCTGCTGCAGGGGTGGAGCCCTCATAGAGAACATCTGCTAGTGCAGTCCAGAAGGAAAATGTGGTGTGTGAACCTCCACACAGAGTCCCCACTGGGGCACTGCCTAGTGGAGCTGTGAGAAGGAGGCCACAATCCTCCAGAATCCAGACTGGTAGATCCACTGACAGCTTGCACCATGCACCTGGAAAAGCTGCAGGCACTCAACGCCAGCCCATGAAAGCAGCTGCAGGGACTGTACCCTGCAGAGCCACAGAATAGGGCTGCCCAGGCTGTGGGAGCCCACCCCTTGCATCAGCATGCCTGGATGTGAGACATGGAGTCAGAGGAGATTTTAGAGCTTTAAGATTTAGTGACTGTCCAGCCATGTTTCAGACTTACATGGGGCCTGTGGTCCTTTTGTTTTGGCCAATTTCTTCCATTTGGAATGGAAGCATTTACCCAGTGCCTGTACTCCCACTGTAACTTGGAAGTAACTAACTTGCTTTTGATTTTACAGGCTCATAGGCTGAAGGGGCTTGCCTTGTCTCAGATGAGATTTTGAACTTAGACTTTTGGGTTAATGCTGGAATGAGTTAAGACTTTGGGGGACTGTTGGAAAGGCATAATTATGTTTTGAAATGTGAGGACATGAGATTCGGGAGGGGCTCTCAAGAATGGGATTCAGTCCCCCAGGATGCTCAGAGCAGAGACCAAGGTCTAGAGCAAGCTTACTGGTGAGAGATTTGGAGAGGTCTGTGGATGGGTTGTTCAGGGACTCCTACCAACCAGAGGGTGGCCCTGCACATCCTCAGGGAACAAAGCAAGAACTACTGCTCAGAATCTCCAACTGCCTGTCCCAATGGTGGGTCACTTGGTGGAGCTGGGGCAGGACACTAGAACTAACAGGACTCAGGGTTGGGGAAGGGTGGGTCACCAAGACAAAAGGTCATGTATCATTTATTCATTTAAATTCCATTCATTCAAAAAGCATCTGCTCAATGCTTTCTCTGTATTGGTGCAGTTCTAAGAACTGAGCATAAGCAGAAGACTATGGCTCAGATGCCAGGAAGAGATCAAAGTCCAGCCAGAGGCCATGGAGGAAGGCAGTGTCTAACACATGGCACCTGCCTGGTAAGTGCATGCTGCTTGAGGGATGAATGAATGAAGCTCAGACTTTTCAGATGCACAAGTCCCATCACCAGCAAGGTTACTCAGGTCTTTGTTACCTTCTTTGATTCAAAGGGAAAGAGTAGCGTTTTATAAAAATACTCAATAAATGGTAAAATGAAACTTGTTACAACAGGTCATGTTCCCTGTCATGTAGTAGCTACCTACTACCTGTATAGCGATAGCCAGAAATATCAAGCTCGGCCAGAAATGCTGGTCTGTGGAGACAAGAAGAAGGCCTCCCCTGCATTTAACTCATGAATAATCACAGTTGAGGGAAACAGGAAGGGAAAAGCATTGGCCTGTGTTCACTCTGAAAATGATCACCACACAGCATTTGAGTGCATGCCCTGTGCCACGCTTTCTTCATCTCCAAAGGAAATGAGGTGGCATGAGTTGATCTCCACATACCAGCGTCAATTTATATTTTGGATTCTCCACTGAGTTCGGAAATTTCTCAATTGTTCCCAGGGCTTTCCTATTAGGTAATGTGTTTTTTTCCAGTAAGATAAGATTGGTGTTCTTCCCATCAGGTTTAACTCTGAGAAGGTAGCAGAACTACAGTGCAATGGAATCCCCATTGCATTTTGTAGCCAGGGCATCAAAAAGGACAACATCATTTCCTGAAAGAGGTTCAGGGTGAGAAATAAGTTCCTAAACCCAGTGATTTCCCACAGTGCCAAACAGGATGTAACTTGCAGCTGAGTCTGTGAACTTTTTATCTCTTGGCCCACATGAGAAGCTTAATGCCAGTGACACCATCCTTGGTCAAATTCCTTTTAGATGAGAATGGGGCAGTGAGGTAGGTCCTGACCATGAGTTTTATGTCAGTAGGAAAATGCATGCACCTGTCTGGGGTGCTGGCAGAGAGAAGCTGCTAATGGCATCTCTGTCTGGGAACATGGAGCCCTTGGTTTAGGACTTGGTGTTTAAGGGGGCATTTGTCAACCTACTGACTCATGGATCCCTGATACTAGCCAATGAAGAGATGGAGAGGACTGGGATTCCCCATCTAGTGATTCCTGCTGGTCTTAGAGCAGCAGTGGACGGGGCTCTTGCAAATCATTTGGCCCATAATTTCCATTTTATAGACAAAGAAACAGAGGTTCACAGCAGAGAGCGACTTGCCCACTGATACACATGCATGGTATAAAACTACTAGTGAAAATCTAAAGCAATTACAGGCTATATGCAGAGGGGTAGAGACTCTGGCATGCATCCTTCCATGGCCTCTGTTCACCGTGTACCCTTGGCCATCCTCAGCTCTGAAATTCCGTGACATTTGGCTCAGAATATATCTATCTCCCTACTCTTCTGACTTAGTCCTGTGTTCCTAACAGAAGAAATGAAATTCAAGTCCACAACTCCAAGACTGGAGAATTCTTTCTGAGGTTTCTGTCCTGGGGCCAGCCCTCCCCTTGTCTCTAGAACCCAGTGACTGGCAGAAAAGACAAAAATATAAATAGAAACAGTGACAATCACAGTCATTAATAACAATTAATGATAATAATAATAATTGCAATTCTCACCTACTTAGTACCTACTACGTGCCAGAGCCAGTGACTTTGAGACTGGTTATTCTATCCTCATTTCACAAATGAAAACACTGGTGCTCAGAGAGGTTAAGTGACCAGCCCCAAGTCACACTGACGGGATGGTGAGGATTTGGTCAGGTGGGAGTGATAAAGGACATTCTCTTCCCTGCTCTGAAATGGCCCATCAGGCAGAGCAGGTGCAGGAACAGGAGCAGTTCCTGCTGTACCTGTTTCAGGATTAAAGTGTAGCCTGAGACTTCAGGACACAGGAGCCTTTGGCAGAGCTGGCTGGAGGTGGTCTCTCCCTGGCTTTCAGAGATGGGCTCCCCTTCTTCCAGCCCCACAGGGAGCTTCCAATCCCACCATGAGGAGTAGGCTTCTCTTTCTAAAATGGCCCACAAAGCTCCAGGTCATCTGAGCAGCCCACCCCAGCACCCTCCTTCCTGCACATGTACCAGATGCCCCCACCTGCTCCCAGGCCTGCTTCTCCCTCACTGGGGGTCTTCAGAACAATCTGAGATGGCCCCAACCTGCTACCACTCCCACCCTTCACAGCCCACTTGGGCAGCCCCTCATCAGGAAGCTCTGGATGTGCCGCTTGGGTTAGGGGCTCTCCTTGACATGCCCCTGGATGGAGCACAGATCCCATGCAGTGAATCTGCAGCTGACCACAGCCTCTCCCCAGAGATGGTGTCTCCTAGAAGGCCCCTCCTAAGAGGGGCCATGTCTTCTTAATACCTGCATCCTTAACCCTGGCATCTTCCGGAATAACCCAGACCCTCAACCCATGTTTATTGAATTAAATAAAGAAATGAAGACAGACAGATTGGTTCGAGCGGTGTTTCTCAGCCTTTTATACTCCGTGCCCTTTTTAGTAAACATAGAAATCAGGTGCAGCCTCACCCAGCCTCACTGAAGACAGTGGGGTGCTGCACAGTTCCCCTCCCCACGCGTGCACAAGTATCTGCAGCTGTCAGCCAAGCCGTTTCTCTCAAGCTTAGTACCTGGAATCTATGTCCCCAGCACAATGTGTAACTTATCTCATTATCCAAACATTACACACAACACACTTTCTCAAAATGCATTTTGCTCCTCACCTTCAAAACTGGGATCCACTGCCTTAGGGGCCTTTGAAAACTCACTGAGTTATGGAGTTGAGTTGCAGTGACAGGTAACAATGGCTTGACTAAAGT
The DNA here is from genome assembly GCF_000001405.40 of Homo sapiens. NCBI lineage: Eukaryota > Metazoa > Chordata > Mammalia > Primates > Hominidae > Homo > Homo sapiens. Next base: position 236,831,674 of record NC_000002.12, on the reverse strand, counting down.
CATGGTGATGGGAATGAAATAAGGAAACAGAATCAAGGAACACATCAGAGGAAGGACAAACAAAACTTGGCACATTTATCTCAGACTGTGCAACAGGCAGAGCCTAAGAGGGAAGCTGAGGCTTCTCACTCACCTCTCCCAGTCCCTTCCCTGATGGAGAGCCAGGCGTCATCAGCCACTATACATGGCAAGGCGAGGGAACAGAAGAGACCCTCAGCAGTAATCCATGGAGAGGGAAGAAAGAAGGGTGAAGTCCAGTCGACTCTGGGGGACACCAACCTTCAAGTCCCCCATGAGACAGCTGGCCACGCTTTGGGAGAGAGGCAGGAATCTCTCTGCATTTTTAGTCTAAGAAGAGAAGAGATATAGGAAAGCTGACCCTGTCCATAAAGGCTTGAGAATCTCACAAGTCAAATGACGATGTCAAGTCAAGTGGTACAAGAGACCTAGACTTCCTGGGGGCCATGAGAAGCCTGTGAGATGACGTGAATCTGAACTGGAAGAGCAGCCCTGCATTCTCTGGGCTCTAGTGGAGTCTGCAAGTTCAGTGGAGGGCCTTAGTATGATGGAAAGCACGTTTTTCTCACCAACAGAGAATGTGAGTGCAATAAAATGAGATCACAAGCAATCTTCAAGACTTCACCATTTTCTTCCATTTGTGGCAATAGAGAACTTCTAAAAATATCCATTTCACATAAGCAATGTAAAAATAACAACTTAAAAACAGTCATGCCAATGGATGGAGATTTTCCTGGGAAAATAAATCCCATGTGCTGAAATACAAATAAATAAATGAATAAATATGATTAATTCTGTGAAAGCACTATGGTTCTCCAGCCTCCAGGAATCACTGGCCTGTTGGGGTAGCCACCCCATAGGCATGGCTTCTTTCTTCCTCTATGGGTTTTTAATGGTCATTCACAAACTTTTCTGGGCGGTCTTTGCACTATGCCGAGTTCTAGAGGTGCAGAGCGGAATGAAACAGAGGCCTGTCCTCAGGGAACGCTGTAAACACACAGTTGTCCTGTAACATGGCAAGGCCCAAAAGAACCAATTCTCCCAGGATATGACAGAGGAAGGGAAAGAGCTTTCAACAGATAATTTTAAAACAATAATACCTAGAAAAATAACTTGCTTAGATTACCTTATACCGTATGCCAAAATACACTCTAGGTGGATTGAAGAGGGACATATTTAATCATCTATCTTTAAAAAAAAAAATCAGCAGGACTACAAGAAAACAAAAATCAAATACCCAATTTCTGGAGTAGACTGGACCTTCTAAATTTCAAGGCAGTAGAATAAGTCACCAAGAAAAAAATTGTCCGGATAATAACTTTAAATGCCAATACATTAAAAATACGACATAATTTTTTAAACATAATTTTTATAGCAAATGGAATGCAAAACACAACTGTAGCAAAGATGCAGGCAGAGGGCTCATTTCACAGCAAATTACCAACGTTCTTCCAACCCCAAGGGTTGGGGGTTATGAACCAGGAATTCACAAAAGGAAATGCAATTAGTAAACAAATACTTGGGAAAATTTCCTGCAGCATTAAGGATGGAATAAATACAATTAAAATAATTACATACCATTTTGACCTATCAAGTTAACAAAGTTTAAAAAAATAAACATTGTTGCCAGAGAAGGTATATAAACATGGTCTTGTAGGTTGCCAGTGCGATGTTTATTCGGAGGTCTGAAACCATCTGTGGGGACAGAGCAAGTACTCTAACTTTGGGGAATCCTAAGTTAATAAAAACAAATACTGTAAAACCTTCAGAGAGAAAGATTTTCATCACAATATATACTTAATAATAATGACAAACTGAAAATATTGTAAGCACCTCCCAAAGAGACAGAACAGTTAAGGAAACACAGTGTTTTGCAAAAGCAATTATTATATTTTAAAAGAGTCTAACATTACAAAAAAAATTTCTGGGCTGGGCACGGTGGCTCATGCCTGTAATCTCAGCACTTTGGGAGGCCGAGGCAGGTAGATCACAAGGTCAGGAGTTCGAGACCAGCCTAGCCAAGATGGTGAAACCCTGTCTCTACTAAAAATAAAAAAAAATTAGCCGGGCGTGGTGGCAGGCACCTGTAATCCCAGCTACTCGGGAGGCTGAGCCAGAGAATTGCTTGAACCTCGGAGGCGGAGGTTGCAGTGAGCCAAGATCGCACCACTGCACTCCAGCCTGGGCAACAGAGTGAGATTCCGTTTCAAAAAAAAAAAAAAAATTCTGATATGATGTCAAAGGGAAAAAGCAGAGCATAATACTAAACAGATAGGATGAACCAGACCATAACAAAAACACTTACACGGAGCTTCTAGAAAGAAATGTACCCCGATGGGATTGGGATTACTTTTCATTTCACTCTCCTTGCCTGTATTTTACAGGTGTGCTTTAACAAGTATGTCAGTGGTTTTCAAATTTTAATGTGTATGAGTATCATTTATGTACTCCCTAAAATGAGGATTCCCTGGCACAGATTATCTGATCCTCAAGATCTGGGGTCTGAGTTTTTGTTAGCATTCCAGGAGATGAGAACGTCTGCAGTTCCAAAACCAATCCTCTGTCATCAACTGGATGTCCTACCATTCAATTCCATTCTGACACTAACTAGCCAGAATAAGCTCAGACCCTACAGGGTAAGGGCAAAGTCCTTCAGCTCTGACACTAACTGCCTGGAGTTCCTATTGGGTCCCAAGCTCAGACCCCGTGAGTTAAGGGCAAAGTCCTTCAGTTCTGACACTAACTGCCTGGAGTTTGTATCAGATCCCATAAATTAAAGAGCAAGTCCCCAACAAGACTGCCCTTCCTTAAGAAGCCCTCTGCAAATGGGGTCCCCAGGCTACTTGCATTTCTGTCTGACTTCGCTACAAATTTGGGGGTTCTCAAGATCCTCACCTTAGGTTTATTAATTCTGTAGAACAATTCAGAACTCAAGAAAGCACTATACTTACAATTACAGTTTTATTTTAAAGGATGCAGATGGACAGTCAGAGGAAGGGATACACAGGGCAAGGTCTTGAGGGTCCAGGTGGTTGGCACAGATCTTCCCGACTTTTCCCTGTGGAATCGGGTCCATCATGCTCCCAAGAACCATCAATCACTATGGTTCTTTAGGCTCCAGGAATAGTGTCCTTCAGCTCTAACACTAACTGCCTGGAGTTTGTATCAGCATGTGGACCTGTTCACCAAACAGGAAGCTTCCTTAGGCTTTGGCATTCAGAGCTCTTATTTGGAGTTTTGTTATCTAGGCACAATTGATTAAGTTATTGACTATGTGATTAAACTCCATCTTCTGCCTCCTTCCCTTCCCCAGAGGTCAGGGCATGGGGCTGAAAGTTCCAAAACTCTGGTTAGGTTCTTGGTTCTTGGTCTTTTTGTCCTGGCTATGGCCAGCCCCTCCCATGAAACTATCTAAGGTCCCGCCTCATTAGCATCCATTCAGGCGAGGTCAACAGAGGTTTCATTCGAATAACAAAGGACACTCCTATCACTTAGGAAATACCAAGGTTTATTGAAGCTTTGTGCCAGGAACTGGGAGCTGGGAACAAAGACCAGACATATTATTCATTATATCACATTGTTTTATGTCTATGCATCATACTTAAAAAATATTAGAGTGTGTATTATTTTAACATGAAAAATATGAGATCATGCATCATTTTAATCTTTAAAGTAAGTTTAAGGTTATCAATGGGGAAAGTGTTTGGAGATGTTAGAGGCCAGGGCAATGAAAAATATTAGATCATGCATTATTTTAATCTTTAAAGTAAGTTTAAAGTTATCAGTGGGGAAAGTGTTTGGAGATGTTAGAGGCCAGGGCAATGGGGCTCCTCATGGAAGAGATCTTTGAGCTGGGTCTGGAATGGCACTAGGGTCTCATCAGGCGAGCTATTTGGTGGGGTAAGTGGATGGGAGGGACAAGTGTATGGTAAAGATAGAAATTGGAATGTATGTTGCATTTTTGGAAGAACCAGTTTAGTCCCTGGTAGTTAGAGTTTAAGTCTGCATGGGGAAGAAATTATTCTAAAAATAATAATAATTTGGTATCAGGTTGTGACAAACCACATTTGAAATACTAGAGGCGCCTAACTTTGTCCTTCAGGTTACTCACGTTAGTGTTTTATGAACTATAGGTGGCATGGCTGATGAATAGAATAGCAATACTGGGGGCATTACACGGATTAAGAGGAACTATTGTTTTGTGAAGTTTGTTTCTGTTCTAGGTGTATGTTTACGGGAGGTGAATGTGTGTGTTTGAACACCTGGTGGGGTATTGTGATATAATAAGTAATATATATATTTGGTCAGCATTCCTGATTCCTGGCCAGAGCTTCTAAAATCCTTATAATTTCCAAAGCAACTGGAGCCATAAAGGTTAAACAAACATTTTTTAGCCAAGTGAGATGGCGGGCACCTGTAATCCCAGCTACCTGGGAGGCTGAGGCTGAAGGATCACTTGGGGCCCGAGTGTGAGACTAGCCTGGGCAACCAAGCTAGACTCTGTCTCTAAAACAAACCCAGAAAAGCAAACATCTTTTGTTATTCATGACAAGCCCCCTTCAAACACCCTCATGTTAAAGAGGGGACTTTTGGAAAGGCCCTAAGGATGGGGCTGGTTGCCAGGGGAAGCAACCCTGTGATTAGAGTTGGAACTTTCTGCCCTACTCCCTGACCTCCTTGGCAGGGAATAACTGGAGACTGACTCAGTCGACAATGGGCAATGAATTAATCAATCATGCCAGCTTAATGAAGCCTCCACAAAACTCCAAAAGGACAGGGTTCAGAGAGCTTCCAGCCTGTTGCGAACACAGGGACAGGGGCCCACCAGAGCGGGCGTGGATTCTCCACATCCCTCCCCCACATCTTGCCCAGTGCATCTCTCCCATCCGCTCTCCCTGAGCTGCATTCTTTTCTATTAAACTGGTAAGTTAGTAAATGAACTGTTTTCTTAAGTCCTGTGAAGTGTTCTAGCAAATCATTGAACGTGAAAGGGAGATCATGGGGACCTCCAATTTACAGCCTTGGTCAGAGGCACAGGAGACAGTCTGGTCTCGTTCCTGGCATCTGAGGAGGGGGCAGTGTTGTAGGACTGAGCCCTTAGCTTACGGGGTCTGACCCTGACTCTGGTCATATAGGATCAGAACCGAATTGAATTGTAAGACACCCAGTTGATGTCCTCCAAGAATAGGAGAACTGATTGGAGTGTTAAGAAAACCCACACATTTGGTGTTGGAAGTGAAGTGCTGTGTGTGAGTAGAGAGGAAACAGGTTTTCCTTTTACGTGGGTTCCGCAGATAGATTGAAAATGGCAAGCTTCCCCCATTGACACTGTGGCTTCCTCCACTGAAAATGGCAAGCTTCCCCCACTGACATTGTGGCTTCCCCCACTGACACTGTGGCTTCCCTCCAGGAGCTGGGAGCTGCACAAGAGTGCATGTCCGCACGTGTGCCCTGAAACTAGGGAGATGTGCGGGAAAAGGCGCAAAAGCAATTGCAGGAATCAGATGATGGCCTAGGGCACTGGCAGGGGGCTACAAAGAAAGGGCCTGCATGGGGATATATTTGGGAATTATGTTGACATTGACAGGGAGGTGTCTGCCTGAAGCTGGTATGAGTCTAAGATCTGCAGAAGAAACACAGGGAGGGTTGGGGGGAGGTCACAAATGACGGTTTAGCCACATGGACTGTAGAAGACCTCCCAGATGTACTATCAGGTATAGACGTGGATTCTGCCAAAGCCCTACAAGTGCCAAATCAGATGAAGAGTGCGAGGACAGACACTGCCGCCCACCAGGGCTTCAAAGAAGGAGAGGAAGCCACTAGGAAGACCCCAGAAAGGGGGTTCTGGGTAGAGGCAAGAGCTGTGCGTGCAGCCACAAGCCTGCTCTCCCCTCTGAACCCATGGGAATGCACCCGGAATCTCAATCACAAAGCTGTAAAATTACCTAAGCTCGGAAACTGAGACTATAAATCAGTGATTTCCCAGACTCTGGAAAGAATTCCCACTCAACGCTACCTGAACAGAGCTAGTAGGAGCCGACGTGGTTAAAATCACATAGAACTGATTCAAGTGGAGAGAGACTGATGCTGGAATGGAAGAGATTCGAAATGGGCTTCAGTATGAATAAGACCTTGATAGCTACAGAGAATGCAGCCCAGCCAGGAAACCAGGGGAATGTTTACCAAAAAGCACCCGGAGAGCTGGCTCTTTGGTTAAATAAGTAAATAAGATTACATCTTCACTTTAACTATACCCAACAAATTTAGGTGAATCAATGAGTTAACAACAAATTCCAAAGTATATGAATATTGTTCTAATCTCTGTCTAAAGAAGGGCCTACTATAAGCAAATAAACCACTTACACAAATTATTTTAAATATCAACAAAGGTGAAAGCCAAATCAAGAGAATGCATTACAGAAAGGAGTAGCCAACACTGTGTAAACCACATCTGATCACTGGGGTGCAATTGGAACTGAGTCTGGGAGAAGAGGCAAGATTTAGACAGGTGTGGCTTGGGAAGGGAGTTCCAGGTGGCCCGGACAGCATGAGGCCTGGCAAGAGGACAGCCAGGCCTTGGGTTCGCCTGGCTTAATTATCAAGTTACAAAAGTCCTACATAAACAAAGGCCACCTGGATAAGTGGCACAGCCGGCCTAACCTCATCTCCTTATGACTGTCAATATTGACATTTGTAGACTCTTTGAAAACAAATTTAATTACTCAAGCAAATAATATCCTCCATGCAGGAAAGTAGGTTCAATCCAAATATCTGATTCATGATATTTACTTTGTTAGAGAGAATTGCCACTTTGAGAAAATAAGCCCTTGATATTTTTAATTGCTTGCATGCAGATTTGGTTTTCTAATTATTTTCTCCTTCATCAAACACAACCAAAGAGCAGCCTTTTGCATATTGCATCCAAGAGAGGCAAGATACCTTCAAAGAAAGATTTCTCCCGTCGGGGAAAGAAAAATAATTAAGACAAGAATAATGCCACCAGACTTGCTGTCATCCTCCCTGGATGGTATTTCAAAGAAACAATCCAATCTGCCCTTAAATACAAATGGGCTTTGTTTCATCTCATACACTTTTTTCAGGATACAAATACTTTTGAAAAACCTGGGAACCAGATTTATAGAGCTCATGATACGTCCATATTTTAAAATGTCATTTTATTTCCTGCTATTCAAGAAAGAAATGAGCCACTTACACACACACACAAAAAGGGTTAGAAGAAAATATCCTTCTAGTAATTATGACCTTGTTTATTTCCTGTGTCTTTTGATTAAAATGGTACACAGGAGGCTGGATTCCATTCCTACCCAGTGCAGAAATTCTCAAAGCCCTTTCATCGAAATGAAGCAGAAGCAGGTTTTCTTACTGACAGATCCGTGATTCAAAATGATATTATTCACAACAACAACAAAATGATCCCATGACCATCTATCAACTTCAGCATTCAGGAACATGTTTAACATGTGCTGATTCAGGCTCGCCTCCCCAGCACACACCCACCTCCAGGGCTTTCTTAGGCCTTTCTGGGCCTCTCCCAGGCAGGAGAGGTAATCCCTATAGAATCTCCATTGCATGGAGCCCTGATTTGAAAGATCAGAGCCTGGATTCTAATTTGCAGTTTTATTAATGGCTTCTCACCCTCGATAAAGTGATTTTCTTCCTTTTAACTAAGGTGACAGTCTTTGTTTACAGAGCTGATTAAACGTTCCTTTCCTATTCAATCTGTTGTAGGGCGAAGACAAATTCCAATTCCACTGAAAGGTACTGCTGCACACAATGGGACCCTCGTGAGGGAGATAAGAATTCATTTTTTCATTTTTATTTTTCATGACACTGGCAGCCAGATGGACACAGGCACCTGGTGACAAAGCTGAGAATTCATTTGCCATTGAAAGAAGCCCACAGGCGGCTCAGGATGTAAATGCTCACAACACAAGGATTTTGCTTGGTTGTTCGTTGTTTTTGTTCTATGGAAGTTTATCAAAGGGTATTTTTTTTTCTACTCTCTGGGAGACGAGAGTGAAGAGGCCCAAAAGTTTCCCTTTGTCCTGTGCAGGAGGTGGCCAGAGCCTAAAGTTCTCCATGAGTGAGAATCCGCGTCTGGAGGGGTGGTCAGCAGGGCGGTCAGCAGGACGGTCACCGCGCTGCCTCCAGGGCCCCTGGCTCATCAGGGCCAGCTCTGAGGCTCGCCCAGGGCTCCGTCTTGGCCAGGTGTCCTGTGCTTACTCTGGCTCTATACCCAGTTCGTTTCTTCCGTGGCACTCCTCACAAACTGCAGGGATCCCTCTGTGTGCATGCGTGCTTGCCGCCCCCATTAGACCCAGAAGTCGGGCAGAGAGCTCTGTGTGTAGCTCACTTCCCCACACCCAGCACCCCGCACAGAGGCCACACGTGGGAGACAGGGAATTACTGGATCAATGACCCCATATGAAAGATAAGGAGGCTTTCATGGCACCTACACTTTGTTCAAAGTACACACTATTTTTTCTTTTATCTTAAGTTTCTTCCTGTATACTGACTTATTTTCCTAAACTAATTAACACATTGAAGGATCTTCTATCTTTAAGAAAGAAAAATAAAGAATCCTAAGATACAAAGAAAAAGAGAAAAAGGGCCACGTGCGCTGTCTCACACCTGTAATCCCAGCACTTCGGGAGGCCGAGGTGGGTGGATCACAAGGTCAGGAGTTCTAGACCAGCCTGGCCAACACAGTGAAACCCCGTCTCTACTAAAAATACAAAAATTAGCTGGGCATGGTGGCATACACCTGCAGTCCCAGCTACTTGGGAGGCTAAGGAAGAAGAATCGCTTGAACCTGGGAGGCGGAGACTGCAGTGAGCTGAGATCATGCCACTGCACTCCAGCCTGGGCGACAGAGTGAGACTCCATCTCAAAAAAAAAAAAAAAAAAGAAAAAGAAAAGAAAGGAAAGCCTCTCCAATTCTACCTCTCCCTCTGTTACTATCACATTTGAAAGATGAGGTGGCCTTTATTTCACCTTTTCTCACTTCCATTCATCTTGTGTCCTGCTGCAGCCTCCCCCTCCCCTCTTCCCTAAAATGGCCTGGATGAACTGCAGAATTCTATCCTGTGACTTGTCTCTTGAACCCCAAAATGATCCGATAATATTTCTGTCTTCTTAGACAAGGAGCAGTGCTATGAACATCATTTGCATCTTTCCCATTATTAGGTCTAAACAGTGACACACAGAGAGGGTTTGGCCTTCTTCCTCCTCTTTCCTTCTTCCTCCTAAGGGGTGTGGAACCTTCTCCATGACCTCCAAGCCTTCCTCTTCCACCTCCATCATCTGACATCCAGTGGATGACCTTGCCTTTCCCTTCACAGGAACAGTGGAATCACCAAGCAGAAATAGCCTCAACTTCCCCAGCATTTCCACCTCTAGAATCATATCTACCTTTGCCTACATTGCATTGTTTGCTGAATAGCCCACTACTCCAAAACTTAGTGGCACAGAACTGCAATAAACATGTATTATCTCACAAAGCCCAGGAATTCCAAAACAGCTCAGCTGGGGGTTCTGGCTCAGAGTCCCTCACAAGGTTTTAGTCAAGATGTCAGCTGGGGTTGAAGTCATCTGAAGGCTTGGCTGGGGCTGAGCAACTGACTTCCCATCTGTCTTACTCTCATGGCTGGTATAGAAGCCTATTTTTCCCTGGCTGTTGGCAGGAGGCCTCAGTTTCTCCACAATGAACCTTGCTGCAGAGCTACTTGAGCATCCTCACAACATGGCGGCTGGCTTCCCCCAGAGAGAGAGCAAAGTATAAGTCACAATGTCTCATATAGCCTGGCCTAGAAGTGGCACTTCATCAGTTCCCTGATGTCCTTTAGGCTACATGCAGCCCTATTCAGTGTTGGAGAGAACAACACCAAGGTATGAAAAGCAGGAGGAGAGGCTCATGGGGCCATATAAAAGGCTGGCAGCTGGTCCCTTCTCCTTCCTGGCTTCCTCAGCAATGCACTTTCCCCTTTATCTTTAGTCTGTCTCTGTCTATTGACTTCTTTGCCTAAACAAATAAGTATAATCAATATCTGCTAATATTGTAATAAAACACAGTGTTGACCCCATCTATCTGATTTCCTGAAGAGGTTCATTAGAAAGCCATCTCTACACCATCTGAGCCTACTCAGCTGCATTCATGTTCTAGCCCACCACAATCTCTCTTTGGACCCTGCTCTACCTCCAACACTCTTGCTGTGGTCACCAGTGAAGTCCTAATCGCCAAATCCAGTGAGCACCATGGCTTATGTGGCATCTCTGGAGAAAGAGACAGAGGTCATCTCTCCTTCCTTCCTACTTTCTCCCTCACCTTCTCAGAATCTTTCTTTCCCAGGTCGTCTCTGAATTCTGTCTCTTCTACATCCCCCTGGCTGTTCCTTCCTCTGCCATCTCTCTCAAGTTCTGGGATGTGCAGGGATCCCATCTTCAGTCTCTCCTCTCCCCTCTCTCCACCCAACACAACCAGAGGCTGAATCCCCAGGCACAGTGGTCAGGCAGACCTGGTTTGAATCAAGTCACCCTGACTGTCTGGGTGACCTTAGCTAAGTCACCTAACTCTCCACGTACCATGTTCCTTGTCTCTAAATGGAGAGCTTTGTGGAGACTGAGTGTGCTGATGGATGCCAGGACGGTGCTGAGCACAGCGCCAGAGGTGACAGATGCTCAACATCCCATGATCCTGCGTCAGGAAACTTCACTCGCTGGATTCAACACTTACTTGTAGCGGATTCTAATTTCACAAGTCACTAACTCAGGTACACAAACATTTCCCCATATCCCGACTTTGTATTTTGAGCCTCCATTACCGCCTGACGATTGAGAACTTAATCTAGTCTCTTCCAAGTAAACTCAGCCAGATCTGGTGATTTATTAGTATTTTCAGGATTAAACTCAGTCCAATTCAGGACCTTCCCTCCCCCCACTTCCAGAGCTCTTCTTCCAGGGTCACACCTGGGTTCAGTGCACACCTGACCCCATCATGGCATCAGAAGCCAATGTTTGACTCTTAGTCAATATCTGTGCATGCAGCTTCCATGTGTCCTGTTGTCTCCTCAGCCACGGTCACTTGCTGTCACCCGCTGAAATATGACCATCCAGGCTGGCCTGAGACTTCACTATCTCCCAGAGCTGACAGCAGCTGCGGTGTACCCTGTCACCACTTCTAATCCAGCTCCTGGGGGTGGGGGACACCTTCCTCCCAGACAGTACAGGTTTGCCAGCTGCTCCTCCTCAGATGACCTCCATGCCCTTTTTGGCCCCAGTGGGACCCATTTGCACCCCTGAGTGTCCAGGGGCTTCTGAGAGTCCCCACAGGTACATCTGCAAGGACTCCATGCCCACTGCTTCTCTGCCATTCTGGTGCCACATTGCATACCTGGCTTCTCTCCAAGACCTTCTGCTGCCCTGGCACCCCTTGGGAAGAAAGGCATGGGATCACGGCAGGCAGGATCTGCTGACGTAGGTGGATTCTTTTTTTTTGTTTTTTCTTTTGATCTCGGCTCACTGCAAGCTCTGCCTCCCGGGTTTACGCCATTCTCCTGCCTCAGCCTCCCGAGTAGCTGGGACTACAGGCGCCTGCCACCATGCCCGGCTAATTTTTTTTTTTTATTTTTAGTAGAGACGGGATTTCACTGTGTTAGCCAGGACGGTCTCGATCTCCTGACCTCGTGATCTGCCTGCCTTGGCCTCCTGAAGTATTGGGATTACAGGCGTGAGCCACTGCGCCCAGCCCGTAGGTGGATTCTTACTGCTGCCCACCACCCCTGGTACTCAGCCAGATGAGGTCTGGTAGAGTGCGGGCCCTAAAACAAGTCTCTGCCTCTCTAATGTCTCTCTCAGCTGGCTGCTTCTGCCGCCCTGCTGGTTATGAGTGGTGCTTGTCTGGACACTCACGGAACAGATGGGGCGTCCACTGCTGTTTTCTGCAAAGAATTTGGCTGCACATCCAAGCCACTCCCCGCCTTGTTCTTTTTTTTTTTTTAAATTGAAACCAAAAAGTCCACAAACTCACCTGGTTTCTCTGTTCTTAATTCTCTTCCCACATGGGGCAATGCCGGAGAAATGTCTTCCAGCCTGACAGGGGAATCGCAGGGTTAAGTTATGTGTGTGACCAACACGTGGGTTCATTCTGCACCCCATGCTGCCTGAGTGCAGACACCATATCTATCCAGTGCCCTTGGCTGCTCCATGTGAGCACTGACCATGGCCACCTGGACACCTCCAAGATGCCCAGCAGGAACACCAGGGTCACCCACACGTGGCCCACTCCTCAGGCCTGCCGTGTCCTCACCTTCCATCCCTCGGGGCCACCTGCCCTGCACGCTCACATTTGCACATTACTCTCTCTATACATACATTTTATTCTCAATGTCCAGCCAATTTCAATACCACAACTTCCCGCCTCTAAACCACAAAACACCTTCCCACAAAGAGCTGAGACAAGCCTCCTGGTCCCTGCTTTGTTGACAACCAATCCTTGTGGCCCTGTATGGTAGGTGTCCAGTAGAACTGGCCGTATAATTTAGGGAAAAAACCTAGAATTTAGCCCAGACACAGCCATTACATTACTCAAGAGATTTTTTTCCAAGATGGAAATTTATCTGGGTCTACAATGCTTTAATTTCCCTCTTGGCATCTACCTCCCATGAATAAATCAGGTCATGCATTTCCTGAAAGTTTTCATGATTGATTTGCCCCACAGGCTGCCGTCCTTGGGTGCTGGGTTACTTCTCAGCTGCAGTGTGGGCCCCCAAGTCCCAGGGTGAGCAACTCCACCCTCCACGGGGTGGTGAGGGTCTGAGCTGATGGATGGGCTGGGTTTCAGCTCTGACTCTAGGTCTGGAATTCGGCATTCCCGGGGGACCCAGCTTTCAGGAAAAGTCATTTCTTGCCTTATTGATGCTCCAGGAGGTCAGGTTATTTGACTTTTGACATCCTTTTCCTCCTCGTGAGATGTTATGATTAGACATTCTCTTATCAGCTGATCTAATGTAAAGAGCCGGGTGGGAAAGAGGAGCGTAGGAAGTGGAGCTCGTGCCAAAAGCCTGACGCTTGTGATCAGCATGAGCTCCCTGAGGAGGGACCGATGCTATTCTCAGTCATGACCAAAGTTACACCAGGCATGCGGTGCTCCCAGCAGGGTGCTGCCGGGGTAGCCTCTGGGACGCACCTGTCCTCACTGCTCACCTTCCTGAGTCAGGGCTGCCTGGGAAGCAGTGGCTCTCCTGAGTTGGCATCTTTGCTGCTCTCCTTTGAGTGCTCACCTGGGTGACTCTGGAGCACACTGAAGCCCGAGAGCTGGGTCTGGAGCCTTCCAAGATGCCCCGTCACCCCTCCAGGACACGTGGCTGTCTCTGTCCAGAGAGCCACACACCCAGGCCTGGCCCTGTGTGCCATCAGGAGGTGAGTTTAGCTCTTCCCAAGGCCCTTCCCGGTCCCATCTGCCAGGACAGTGCTGCTGTTGGTCCCTGCCCTGGATGAAGAACTTGGGTATCACCTGGCACCCATCGGGATTCTCCCTTTATCAACCCACAAGCACAGCCTCTATGACTGCACACCTAACAAGCCTGGTGCCCACGTGTGACCTGTGGTCTCTACGCTCTCCAGTCTTCACCATCTCATAAAGAAACTCTGGCTCCAGCCCCCCTTCCCTGGCACTCACACCCAAATGCAGGGCTCTCCTGGAATCCTCCCATCCCACTCAACGCACCCTCTCTACCCGCAGAATGCAAGATCCAGAAGCACTCCTGTGGGAAAGACCCAGGTCGGTCAAGTCACCTTCAGGTCCTAACATCAAAGTGGTCCTTACTGTGAATGTCATGCCCTCAGTGACCAGCCCTGAGGGCCCAGTGGTTACCTTCTGCTCAGCGAGGAGCAGAGGTGGAGAAGCCTGCCCCCGTGGCAGAGTTTAGTTCTATTTTTTTTGAGATGGAGTGTCGCTCTGCCCCCCAGGCTGGAGTGCAGTGGCAGGATCTCGGCTCACTGCAACCTCCCTCCTGCGTTCAAGCCATTCTCCTCCCTCAGCCTCTCCAGTACCTGGGATTACAGGTGCACGCCATCACACTTGGCTAATTTTTGTATTTTTAGTAGAGATGGGGTTTCACCATGTTGGCCGGGCTGGTCTCGAACTCCTGACCTCATGATCCGCCTGCCTCAGCCTCCCAAAGTGCTGGAATTACAGGTGCGAGCCACCACACCTGACCTCAGAGGTTTAGTTCTGTTCACAGTGCCCTGAGCCAGCCACCACAAATGGAGTTCCGAGGTGGCAGAAGAAGCCATTGTCGTTTAGGCTTTTTTAGACATGGCAGATAAACAATTAATGAAAAAGAGGAAAGAAGGGAGAAAGGAAGGAGGGAGGGCCAGGGAAGGGAGAGAATGAAAGGCAGGACCACAGTCTTTGTCGTTTTCTTAAATAATTATTTATCTAGTAAACTAAACCCTAGTTCGATTGAATTTTTATGTATGAATAGTGATCTGAGTCCATGCACTGAACCTCCTCTACCACCAACTCCCACAACAAATGCCAAAGAAACATCGCGAGACTGGGATTCGATGCCGGTGGCTTGAAGGTTGTCCTCCACAGGCCAGGGGACTTGAGGAATCACTGTCAGGTGCCGTGCAGGCCTGGCCAGACGGTGACGAGGACCAGCCCCTCCCCAGAGAGGGCCAGGGAGGGCAGGCCTAGACCCAGGCCATGCATCACGGGACATGGGGCAAGACCACAAGAAAAATAAGACTCCAGAGATCCTCACAGCAGACCTTGTTCAGCCAAAGCCCCAGACTCCAATACAACGGAATGGGAACCTGGTGGCAGGTGTATGGAGACTCCACGCTCCGATGCTGAGGAATCCAGAGCTAGAAGAGAAGACTGTGCTAGAGGCAGGGGCCTGCATCTGGACGTTTGAGCTTCTCCCATGGGAGGAGCTGAGAGGCAGGCTTGGAGGAGCCTGGAGGCCCAGGAGGGAAGGGTGGCCCAGCAATGACTGCATGATCCAGGAGGTCACTGATGGCCACACACCGTGCAGGGAGCGAAGCTTCCATCTTAGGTGTGCCTGTGTGTCAGAAGAGGGTCATGGAGGGTGCCTTTAACTCACCCTAGACAGCAGCGCCAGGGTCTCCTAGGCCCCCTGCCGGGCAGCCCTGTTTTGGTACCTGGACTCACCTCTCAGCAGGAGCCCGCACGCCTGTGTTACACAAGGGGTGTGGTCACCAGCCGCAGCTCCTGCTGGGCCTCCACAGAGGTGCCAGCCCTGCCTGAGCTCTCCTGATGACCCACGAGGCCGGCCGCCCACACCTGTGTTTGCCGGGGGCACGATGGCCAGGAGCTCACTATAAGGGAAGAGTGAGTGGGCACAGCAGGCATCTGCTTTAGTGGCAGGGGGAATGGGCTACACCATAGGACATCCTTGGACTTACTGAATCTCCTGGTCTGAGCCCCAGGGATTCATATGGGAGAAACAGAAGTGCCGTGAGGACATGGGAGAATGTGGAAGATGCTGCTGAACGCAGAGACTCTTAACACGAAATGTAGGAAGAGGCATTGCCTGCACTTTGTGGAAAACCTCACCGCCCAGTGCTTTGGCAGAGGTGGCCTGGTACCCCAGGAGAGAGCAGGCACAAAGGCAGGGTCTGTGTGAGACCCTGGAGCCCAGCAACCCTGGGTCTGTTCACTGCACCTGTGCTTGGCAGAGAAGGCCAGGCCCAGAGGGCACTGCAGTCATCGGAGAAACACCAGCAAGGACCAGTGGGCTCGGGCACACCCACAGGGACAGCAGCACGCCCCAGAGGAGGCTGATGTCATGAGGTGCCAGCCAGACCTGCTGGAGAGCCCTGGGAGCCGTCCTGGGAAAGGCCCTAAATGTGACGGGGATGAGGACTCTCCTGCACTGGCTAATAGAGGCAGAGAAGAAAAGAAACATGTTTGCGAAGTGGTGCATATGCCACCACAGTCCTGGGGGAACCCGAGTCAACTCCAAGACTGTCGCCCATCTGTGCATTCCTTGATTCATCAAATACACGTTGATCATCACCATGTGCCAGGCACTGTTCTGTGCCCTGGGCTTTGGAAGTGAACAGGACAAACGAGGTCCTTTCTGTGTAGAAATGCATCCCGAGGATGGAAGCAGACAACCAGCAAGTGAATTGAGACGCATCCCATGTATGTACATCTGCAACCCATATATATGCAGGCATACGTAGATACCTGTGTATATTGCACAGTGTATCTAAGCAGATATTTAAATGCATATATTTAGTTCATTTTTTTAGTGAATCAATTACCATAAAGTTAATTATTTGGGGGTCTTTATAAAATTTGGAGTTAAAAGATCCCCAAAGCTGAGCGAGAGCCCTGATGCAGGTAGACATATTAGCCCTGTTCTCAGATTCTATGGGACCAGCACAACGTCTTTCTTCCAGAACGGGTGGTCCCTCCTTACACTGGCCCACTCATGACCATTTTGCACTGGGCAGCTTCCCCGGAGGTACCTGGTCCCATGGCCATGTCCAGCCACAACAGCAACCCACATAGCATGGCTTAGGAAGACTTTGCTCTTCTTGCCCCAGAAGGAAAAGTGAAGAGTAATGATCTACCCAGCGGCCCAACACATGTGAAGTTGCTTAAATTACATTCCCAACATGTACCAATGTGTCAAACTAATTTGCCTTGTTATTCCTGGAACAGATCATCTTCCTAGCAACACGAGTGTTGCCTTCATAATGCTTTGGTGTCTATGAGGGCCAGAGGAACCACATGCTAACGCTGTTTTAATAGGCACAGAAACACAGTTGCTAAATCTCTTTGTGGCTTTTCTTATAATATTTGTTCTTATATATTATGATCGTTCATGTGTGCCAATGTCAACTGTTAAAGGGGAGAACACTGCGATTGCTATTAAAAAGCAATCAAGAATTTGGAAGACTCATGCCTGGCTTTCCTGCATAGAATGCTGTTTGACAGTAATAAGCCATCACATTAATGCAGTAGCTTGAGTTTTCAGAGCATCTCTTATGCTTTCTTGTTAGACTGTGGCACTGGGCAGGCTACATAATATTTTTCCCTTTTTATAAGGATGTTTCTTCTGCACATCCCTTGGTTAGTGGAAGGCAGACCCCATGTAAATGTCCAGTCCTTGCCCACCAGGTTGGAGCAAATAACCTGGCAAAACCCCTCTTTCTCAAACCCCATCAACTAGGGTTGCCGTTAATCCTGTGGCTATTAATGTAGGATCAATACGCACCCTTTTGTTCATACATTTCTTCCTTTTTATACTCATAGTGCTTGCTGAAGTTTGCCCATCTTGCCAAGGGCCATCCTTAATGCAGACAATGGAAGAAGTCTTGGGAAGAAAGACTAAAGAGGAGAAGGTTTTGCCTGCTCACCGCCTCCACCCGCCACCCCACTCCTCCACCCAGCCTCATGCCAGCCCCAT
Organism: Homo sapiens; assembly: GCF_000001405.40. Lineage (NCBI taxonomy): Eukaryota > Metazoa > Chordata > Mammalia > Primates > Hominidae > Homo > Homo sapiens. Next base: position 236,814,191 of record NC_000002.12, on the reverse strand, counting down.
CGAGGTACCGTGGGGAGCAGGTGCTCCCTAGCAATGGGAGTGGAGACCCCAGCTGGAGGCAGAACAGAGAACGGCTGGGGCCATGAAGTCTCCCTACCTCTCAGGGGATGGCAGAGGTTTCCAGAGAGCCACGTGGGAGAGCCACCAAGGCAGGGAGCTCTGCCAAGACAGAGGGTGTGTTCAGCTTGAGCCTGGGGCCCTGGAGTTGGGTGAGAGCTTCACAGAGCTGATGTTTATTGATGCCGTTTTCTGTTAACTAAGTTAAACCTCTCTCTGAAGCAGTGCTGGCAGGCAGAGCTGCCTGGGGGGGCAAGGGGGTTGAGAGGGGGCGTCTATTTTCCCAGGTGCTGGGTGGGGTTCAAGCCAAGGGAAGTGAAATACAATCCCCCCAAGTGTGAAACTCCCCTAAAAGTAACCTTGCCCTTCATGCCAGAGGCCTCCCTCTCTGTCACCAGGGCTGCACTTGGATTTCAGCACACGTGCTTCCATTCAGTGCTTTGTCCATGAAATTCCACACAGAAAAACAAAACCAAGCCATAATGATTTTGATTGGAAATTACTGCTCTCTAACATAAAGCATATTTAATGTCATTAAATTTTGTGGATTATAACTCCCTAGTGAAGAACACAGCAGTCAGGCTGCACAGCAGCCCCGTGTTCAGAAAATGGCAATTTAGTGATTTTAGAGCCACATGATTTATCTAGGAGATCAGAAATGTAATCAAAATGACATCAACGAAAACCTGATTTGCTGGTTTTTAATTACAGTTGGCCCTTTTTAGTTGGGATCACATATTTACGAATTCACCTTCTCTCTAAAATCAACACCTGAGGTGCTTTTGAGGTTATTCTCCCATGCACCAAAAGCAGCAAGAACTTTGGGTCACCCCCAGCGTGCGCGTTGTTCCCCCCGAGATCGGGCAGGCAGCACTCTGCCTTCTTTGATGGCCCTCAATACTGAAAACGTGTCCTTTTGGCAGTGCCATTTTTGTTGTTGTTGTTGCATTTTTGTGCTTTTTTGGTGATTCCACTGCTTTAAATGGCCCCTGAGTGTCATACTGACAAGCTCCCAGGTGTTCCTAAGTGCAAGGCAAGGCGCCCACAGGGAACATGCATTGTTAGGCAAGCTGTGCGCAGGCAGGGCTGCAGTGCCCTTGGTGCCAGAGACACCATTCATGAATCGACAACACGGTACATCAAGGAAGTGGAAGCAGAAATTTGCCAATCTGTACATGAGGTGGCCCTGGAAAGTACTGTATTAGCATTGCTAGTGTGGGATGAAGCTATGGAAAAGATAGGAAGGGCTAAATGTGTGGATTCATGAGATGAGGACTGGTTGAAAATAAACGGTAGGGACAAAAGCACTGTTGTGAGGCTGAAAGCCCAATAAATTTATGATCATATTACTCAGGGTCAGGAAAATGCTAAACCCTTCTCAACTCATGTTTTATTATCTATTATTAATTATTTTTAAGAAATATATATTCAGTAAGGTGTCTTTAAACAGAAACACACATAAAACAGGGTGACTTATCGATCAGTGGATACAAGTGTTGTGGCCATGGGCTCACGGGGACTAACCCTGTGTTTTCCCTGAAAGCGATGGCCAGTATTTGCTAATTCCATGTTTGTGGTGACTTTAGAGAACATAACTACCGTGAGTAATAAGAATCGGCCAAACAGTTGGCCCTCGGTGCCCACAGGTTCCACACTCATGAATTCAACCAACCAAGGATGGAAAATATTAAAAAAAAATTAAAGTAATATAATAAAACTAAACACAAATTAAAACCAATACAGCATAACAACTGTTTGCATGATATTTACATTGCATTAGGTACTACAAGTACTCTAGAGATCATTTAAAGTCTATGGAAGGTTGTGCATAGGTCATATGCAAATATCATACCATTTTATATCAGAGACTTGAGCATCCTCAAATTTTGATATCCGCAAGGGATTCTGGAACCAATCCTTGCTGATACCAAGGGATGACTGTAATTTTTTTTTATTACAAAAGTGATACATGAGGAAAACTTAAAGGATGAAAGTCACAAAGGAAAAAGTCATCTGCTGTCTCATCTCCTAGAGATAAGGACAATGAAAATTTTGGTTTATGCTCTTTTTGCCTTTCTCTGAGCTTCCAGTGTTTGTGTATATACTTTGCACCATTGGAACTTTCTATTTTCTTCTTTTGATGCTACCTTAAAAGCAATGCCTTGTTCAATAAACATTCTCCTACCACCTGATAGCTTTTTTAGTCATATAATATTCCATCCTATGTATTTATGCTGATGCTTGTGTCTAATCCTCTATTTTACGACAGGGTTTCCAGGTATGGCTGTGCAGGTTGTACACTGCACAACAGCACCCAACAGACATCATGTGAAGGATGAATGCAGCTCACACTCAACTTGCCAAGCCATGCACCTGGCTGGGGCTGTAGCTTCTTGGAGGAAGGGGCACTTGTCAGGCCATGAGCTTGAGGCCTGAGGCCTGAGGCCATGATCCTGACCAAGACAGCACCCCTTTTTCCCATTTCCTTGGGGAGACTACATGGGCCAGAGGAAGGTCTCTGGTTGTGTTACTGGGGGAGGGTGTCCAGGTTCTTGGCATTTTGAACAAAGAATTGGACAAAGCACACAAACAAAGCAAAGAAAGAATGGAGCAACAAAAGCAGAGATTTGTTGAAAACGAAAGTACACTCCACAGTGTGGGAGCAGCCTGAGCAGCAGCTCAAGGGCCCCGATACAGAATCTTCTCCAGTCCAAGTACCTGCTAGAGGTTTCACACTGGCCACTTGGTGTTCACCCCATGTAAATTAAGTGGTAGCCCCCAATCAGCCTGATTGATTGCTTTCCACAGAGGCTGAAGTGAAGTTACAAAGGTCACATTCATATGCAGACATCTGACTGGTTGCAGAAAACAACCAGTCAGAGACTAAATTGAAGTTACCAAGTGGCACTTCAATGCAAACGAAGACTTGGCCCGCAATCAGTCTGATTGGTTGTGGAATCAGAGGCTGAAGTGAAGTCACAAAGTTATACTCCTATGCAAATGTCTGATTGGTTGCTTCTTGCCAAGGGAGTACCCTCTGGTCCTTTTGTTACTTAAGCATGGAAAGTTAGGGCTTTCCTTTCAATTTAGTTCTAAAAAGTCAATGTGAAATGACCTTAGGTTCCCTGCCTCCAGACCCTATTCTCCTGCCTCAGTAGGACATCCAGGCTGTTTCCAGATGAGGGCTCATGAAACCAGGGAGGCTGTGAACCATTTTGACTCACGACTCCTCCTTGCTCAAATCACTGACTGTTCATTATTGAGCAATTGAGAGTTAAAACGCAGCAATTTCAAATGAATAAACCAAGTGAGAAGTGGAGTAATAACTTAAAAATATATTTATTAATTTAGAATCTACCATTTCAGGAGATATAATTCAGATGACTGTAAGCTAAAGTAAACTCTAACTTTAGAAAGGTTCTTACCAAATAAATTAAGTAGGTCAAGATTTAGATTAGAGGCAAGATGTTAAAAACTAAAGGAGCAAATCTTTTTTGTTTGTTTTTTTGTTTGTTTTGAGACAGAGTCTCGCTCTGTTGCCCAGGCTGGAGTGCAGTATTGTGATCTCGGCTCACTGCAACCTCCGTCTCCCAGATTCAAGCAATTCTCCTGCCTCAGCCTCCCGGGTAGCTGAGATTACAGGTGTGCACCACCATGCCTGGCTAATTTTTGTATTTTTAGTAGGTACAGGGTTTCACCATGTTGGCCAGGCTGGTCTTGAACTCCCGACCTCAGGTGATCTGCCCATCTTGGCCTCCCAAAGTGCTGGGATTACAGGCATGAGTCACCTTGCCGAAACCAGGAGCAAATCTTTCAGTGACCCTAACCCTCCCTCTAAGAAAGCAGCATTGATATGTGAATAAACTCATTCTAAGTCCTTCTCATTTATTCATGAATGCTGAGACATGGGCAGGGTCCTCCCTGCTCAACCCTGAACAGACAGTATGACTTGAAATAAGGGGAAGAGAGTGTTAACAAAACACCAGGGGTCTGTCTAGGTCCTGCTGCTTGCCACACAGAAGCCAATCACTGAGACAACAAGTATCACCAACTAAGAAGGCTTTAATCAGGTACTGCAGTTGAAGAGATGGAAGATCAGTTTCAAATCCATCTCTCTGACCCACTAAAACTAGAGGTTTATATAGCAGGGAAGAAATGTAACCATGCCTAAGAAACCAGGAACTAGAGAGGGGAAGGAAGCAATCATGGCAAATGAGAAGTGAGGCATCTTGTTGTCTGAATGCGGTGATCTGGTAAGTTTCAGTTCTTTGATACTTTTTTTTTTTTTTTTTTTGAGATGCCTGGGTGTCCTTTCCTGAGAAAGGAACTCAGATAAAACAAATGTAAGTTTCAAGCTACCACCAAAAGGGTCAATTCATATGTTTATCCAAAAAAATTATCTATGGGACTATTGGGTCAGTTTCCAGAAGCTGGCATTAATTTCAAGCCCTTTTATGCCAAAAACTCTTACTCACATTGTATCAGGGAACCTCCGTTTTTTGTCAGCTTCTTCTGAAAAATTAGATGATTCAATTAACCATGCTTCATTATTTTTCCGATTTAGAAAAATAATTCTTACATTATTGTTTGCTAAACTTTGGGTTTTATTTTGGGGCATATTCAGTAGCAGTGCTTTAACCAAGAGGATTTCATTATTAAAAGTCTATAACTCAACTTTAATTAGACCCTGCGGCTCTTTGCCTTAATGACTTATAATTAGTAAGTCATGGAATTGATGTTTTATCTGCTAAGGGCTCTGTCCAGGATGGAGAGACCCCTGGCCTGCAGCCTGACTTGTCCCGTTCCTTATCCAATTGCCATCTGAAGAGTTAAAATTCAAATGAATAAACCAGAAAATGAGAGAAAGGTTAAACTACATTTTATTGAGTTTTTAGAAATAATTTCTCTCTAATTGGCTAAACTATATTCCTCTGTTTATCATTTCAGGTAGGAGCTTTATTTCCTGGAAGTCCCCTGGCCCCAGTACCCACCCTGCCTCTCCACAGCCTCATGTACACAGGCCTGATCACCTGCTGCAAGCTCCGGCACAGGAGTATAACCCAGCTAACCTGAGTTTGCAGCTGTGCAGGGGAGATGCTCCTCCTCTCCCCAAAATCCACAGGAAACAACAAAACGAATGAAAATCTAAGAGGACAATTTCTCTTCCAGGGAAACTATTTAACGCGACAGTGCAGCCAGCTAAGCAGCTAGCCGTGGGACTCCAGGTTCACGGTGAAAGGATGGGTGGGATTTTCTCTTTCTTCAAATAAGTGGCTTCTGCTTTGTTTTCCCAGACTCCATGCTTCACTTAGGCTCCACGGTGGAGTCAAAATTCCAAAAGGTGCAGGTGATAGGGAAGGTTGCCCCACAGATGTAGGTGTCAGGATTGCTGTGCCAACAGAGGGAGGTGATCAGTGGATTACCCCCTGATGGGGCAGCTGGTAGGTAGGACAGGTTGCCCTAGAAAAGAAGGTGATCGGATGGGTCACCCTGATGTTGCAGGTGACAGGATAGGTTCCCCACCAAAATCAAGGGAGGAGTCTTTAGGGAGCAAGACTGTCATTCTAGAGGCAGCTGAACCAGGGCTGGGAGGAGACCGTGAGCTAGGCTCCCTTAACACAGGGATGGTGTGAGCCTGGCTAGGAGGCACTGTGCAGGGCCGACAGGACCTCAGATGGGGCAGCATGACCACCTGTGAGGCCATGAGACCAGTGAGTGTCCCTCTTTCATGCTGAAACATTGGAGAGGGAGGGACCACGGGTGGGGGATGGAAGGGTCTCACTCGGGTTCCTAGAGCAGATGAGCAGCTGCAGCCATCGCACAGCTAAAGACCACACTCACCACGGCATCCTGGAGCCAAGGACATTACAGTCAATGCTCAGATGAAGGGAAAGGAACCATGGCTTTTCCCCGTTGTTGTTCTGGGCACATGGCACTGGGCTCAGGGAAAGCAAGAAGCCTATTAATGCCATTAATGGCAGACACTTCTTGCCAGCCTTGACGAGTCGGTACTCAAAACTGAATTTAATTCGATTTAGAAAAAACAAGTGCACCTTGTCCCCTTTTATATAAGGAAATGACCCAAACTCCAAGCCATATAAAATGAAGACTATAAATATTTCACTGTAGAACCAACTTGTTTAAATGGATGTGCAAAGAAGAAAAAATTATGCTAAGTCTCCAGACCCACCTGGGCCTCTCAAAGGCAAGGCTTCCAAGGTCCATGTTTAATTGCTCCAGGTGGAGATGATTTCAGTTCCTCACAGTTCCAATCAGCTTCCATAGCATCTTCCATTCCACATGACCTGTTTTTTAAATTGTTTTCCAGTAGGTGAATTAGGGTACAAGGGGAATACATTTTCTGTCTTTGCTGCACTGAAAATGTAATAATTTTTTTTTTTTTTGACGGAGTCTCACTTTGTCACCAGGCTGGAGTGCAATGGCACGATCTCGGCTCACTGCAACCTCTGCCTCCTGGGTTCAAGCGATTCTCCTGCCTCACCCTCCTGAGTAGCTGGGACCACAGAGGCACCACACCCAGCTAATTTTTGTATTTTTAGTGGAGATGGGGTTTCATCATGTTGGCCAGAGTGGTCTCGGTCTCTTGACCTCATGATCCATCTGCCTTGGCCTCCCACAGTGCTGGGATTACAGGTGTGAGCCACCATGCTTGGCCAACAATGTTATAATTTTGACTTCACTTGATGGATAGTGTTGCTGGGTATAAATTTTCAGGTTCAAAGTAATTTTCTCTTAGAACTTTGGCATTATTCTTTATCTCATGATGCTGAGGAATCGGAAATAATCTGAATTTTATTTTAATCTCTTTATAGCTAACCTGTTCTTTCTCTCAGGAAGCTATTAAGATTTTTTAAAATTGGCCGGGCACAGTAGCTCATGCCTGTAATCCCAGCACTTTGGGAGGCAGAGGCGGGCAGATCACGAGGTCAGGAGATCAAGACCATTCTGGCTAACATGGTGAAACCCTGTCTGTACTAAAAATATAAAAAATTAGCTGGGTGTGGCCGCATGCACTTGTAGTCCCAGCTACTCGGGAGGCTGAGACAGGAAAATGGCGTGAACCCGGGAGGCAGAGGTTGCAGTGAGCTGAGATTGCGCCACTGTACTCCAGCCTGAGTGACAGAGCGAGACTCCGTCTCAAAAAAAAAAAAAAAGATGTTTAAAAATTATGCTCAGAGTTGTAAAATTTCAATAGCACATACCTAGGTATTGGTCTTCTTCTCTTCCTTTTTTCATTACTCTTTCTTGGTGCTTGGTGCTCCCCCCTCCCTTTTTTAAATAAAAAGTGGTATTTTTCCTAAGCTTAATACATTTTTCTTCTATTATTTTTTCCCTCCGTCATCTGCTTTTTCCTTCTGAGACTCCTGTTACAAGGATATCAGATGTCCACAGTATATTTCCATTTTTATGTATTCCAGGCATATTTCTACCAACCCTTTGTTTAAATATATCTAGTAAATCAAGATTCACTGCTTCTTGACAGTGTACTCACCACTGTGAAGCTCTATTTATTAAACATTTCTTTAAAATATTTATTTGCTGGGATTTGGGACTGGAATGGACAATAAATAACATTCTTTCTCTATTCCTCATTATTTACCAGAAATCCTCCTCCTAGTAACTTGTTGGTTCTAGTTCTATAATCAGAATTGCATAGAAGACCTCTCCACTTAAATTACTTTATACACAATATCCCTCTTTAATTGTTTTCAGGGCCCGCTGTGCCCCTGTTCTTCAGCTGTTCCTTGAATTCCACAGTTTGCACATCCATCCTCTTGGCACCTCCCCGGTCCCTCAGTTATTACTGTCTGCGGATGTACACCACATCTGCTGCTTGGCCCCACGTTCCGGGAAGTGATTCCACAGTTTCTCTAAGCCTGGACACTTAGTCCCTTTGCACAGAAAGATACCCTCTTTTTGTCCCTCCAGCTATTTCACATCAAAATTATGATTTTTTTATTCTTTTCCTCTTCCAATCTACAGACCATTGTTCTTGTTTAGGGAAACAGGAATTAGGAGCCTGGGGCTCTCCTCCCAGCTTTGCTATTGAATAGCTGGGTAATCTTAGGCAGTGCACTTACATTTTCTTGGCCTCGGTTTTCTGAATTAGTGTACTTCCCAGACACCAGTCCAGGGACTGGGGCCAGTAGCAAAAATGATTTTATGACTGCATAGCTAAATGAAAACCCTGGAGACAAGAATATGTGTGCATTAAAGAACTTACTCATGTGCCCAAATACCATCTGTTCCCCTAAAACCTATGGAAATAAAAAATAAAAATAAAGTGACAAACAACCTTAGACAGAACTCTCACCATTTTAAATCTGATTAAACTCTATGCCAAACAAGGAAGAAAAAAAAAAAGACTATGTGTGCATGTAATTAAAACTGCTAGTTTGTGGAAATTTCTATTCTTTATTCTGATATCATAACTTTCTAATGGGATTTTATGAGTGTATGTGTGAGAGAATACACACATTAATGAAATCATCATCATAATTATTTACAGTTTAATTTTTATCTTATATGAATAAGATATGAGTAAGGAAATATCTTTATATGAGAAAATTCGAAGTTGATGATTGTATTGTTGCCATCCACTTTATCTTGCTTGTTGTATTTAAGTGGTCTCTTAAATCCCAAAGTCCAATAGTCAATAAATTAGACTTTGTATAACAGTTTTCATATCTAAAACTACAGAATTATTTTACAATAACTACTAGGTGTCTAATATTCTTTTCTAAAGACATTTTCAGCAATGATTTCCAAAATCTTTGCATAAGTCCACATGAAAAACTCCTTCAAATTTGAATAAAGTCATTAATTTGATCTTCTTTGAAGAAAGATACTCTTTCTTTTCCAAGAAAAAAGTTAAGTTTTTTCCTTTCCACATTGTCCATTGGGAAGCTCAGACCTAAATGTACTGGGATGTTATAGGAACCTTTTTATGTATGTTCTGTATGTTTACTTATGTTTTATTTCTCTCCCTTTCTGTTACTTTTGGTCTATTTTTGTTTTTAAAATCTATTTTTATTTTTAAAACCTTTTAAACAAATAAGCTATACCAAAACCTTTTTGAGATAAGGGCACAAATAACAAGTACAGAATAAAAGAAAAAATTTTAACGTAGACTATAAACACATGGGCCAGGCGCAGTGGCTCACACCTGTAATCCCAACACTTTGGGAGGCAGAGGTGGGTGGATCATCTGAGGTCAAGAGTTTGAGACCAGCCTGGCCAACATGGCAAAACCCTGTCTCTACTAAAAATACAGAAATTAGCTGGGCTTGGTGGTGGGTGCCTGTAATCCCAGCTACTCAGGAGGCTGAGGCAGGAGAATCACTTGAACTGGGAGGCGGAGGTTGCAGTTAGCCGAGATCATGCCACTGCACTCCAGCCTGGGCAACAGAGCGAGACTCCATCTCTCTCTGTCTCTCTCTCTCTCTCTCTCTCTCTCTCTCTATATATATATATATATGCACACACACGAATAAAAAATTTAACAATCTTGAGCAAGAAATTCATATGAATATAAATTGATAATGATTATATGAAACAAAATTTAAAATTATTAGTAATCAAAGAACTGCAAGTTTACACAATAGGAAGATACACTTCCCCATCCCTCATCCCAAAATGAAAATTGGTACAACTTTTCTGGCAGACAATTTAGCAAAAAACACCAAAACTTTAAAATGTGCGCGGCTCTTGACCCCAGGCTTCTACTCCTTGGCATTCTTTCTAAAGAGCATGATTAGGGGTGTGTTTGATGTATTAGTTAAAAATATCATTTTAGTCAGGATGGTGATAAGAAAAAAATTTGTAACCAACCTGAAGGTACAATAACAGCTCTGGATTTGTCCAACAGCTCTGGATAATGCACTCCAGCCTGGCCGACAGAGCGAGACTCTGTATCAAAAGAAAAACAACAACAAAAAAGGCCACGGGGTTTTACACAGAGGTTGCTTCCCACGGGGTTGCAATCACCTGGTAAGCCCCATTCTGGTTCCCACCACCTAACCTACACCTTTGCAACTAGCCACCTTCACAGTCCTTGGGCAACCGTGTGGCACCATTTGCTGCTGTTACCACCCAGAAGCCGCAAGGAATGAGAGGAGGGGAGAGGAACAGGAGCCCAGGGGAAGGCACTTGGTGTGGAAGGGCAATGGGATGCCCGTGAGGGAAGCAGATGTCTCCCGCATAAGAAAGCAGGAGACGCGCAAGCCCAGACCCTGTGCTCCTGCCTCTCTCTCTGACCTCTGCCCGGGAATCCCCATTGACGGATCCCAGCCCGAAGCCAGAGGGTAAAGGAGCCCCATGCTGATCACGCAGGCCCGCGCCCAGCACAGGGAACAGAGGGAGACAGACGGGAGCAGAGGGGCTGTGCTGGGCCAAATGGCCGGCAATGTGCCGAGCGGTGCTCAGCACTTGGGAGCACTCAGAAATGAGCCGAGCAAACACAGCCCCGCACACACGCACTTGTTTGTCGTCGCGGGAGTGCATCCCCTTCTCTGCCTCACAAATACTGGGCACCTCTCCAGATGCGGCCTGGGTTCTTTCCTGGAAAGCCGTTTGCAGCTTCTCTCTACTTAGAATGCCATCCACATTCACCTAGCACGGTTCTCATCACACACTTTGCTTCCTTGACTGTTTTCTACCCCTAGACTAAAAGTTCCTTCAAGTCAGGAATTGCCTTATTTGTCGTTATGTCCTGGGCACCTAACAAAATAGCTTTTTGCTTAATATTTGTTGAAAAAGTACAGAATCAAACGTATTATGGCAATACCTTGGGAATTTTAACAAATGCATATTTTTACTTTTATATTTTATTCATTTTTATCCCTTCTACCACAGACTAAGGAGGGAACAGAATAGTACATTTTAAAAATAATTATATAGAGTGAAGACTTGGACTCCTTTGCTCCATCAAGTTGTAGCAGAGATGTCCAAATGCCTTCCCACCCCCACTGGCTCCGTGATTCAGTGGACATGTGACCAGTTCTGCTCCATGGACTATGGCCAGAGCTGGCCCATGTCACCTCCAGCCACATGAGTCTGACTTGTCTATGTTCTGTTGTCCTTGCCACGGGCACCTGGGGACCTCATGTTCTAGAAGGTGCAGCTACGAGCTTCAGGACACTCCGTCAGCCTGGGCCTTGAGTGACTGCATGGATCCAAGGCCCCCACAGACCCTCGCTGACCAGGTAACGTCAGCATGAAATGAACCTTGCTATTTTAAGCTGCTGAGATTTCTTGATTTGTTCCCATAGACTTGCCTAGCATGAAGAAGGCACAAAATGCACATTCCTCTATAAAAAGGACAGTTGACAAGTTTATCTCTAAGTTCCTTTGTAACTGTTATGGGCTAATTTATGTTCCCCCCCAAATTCATGCATTGAAATCCTAACCCTCAGTATCTCACAATGCCACTGTATTTGGAGACAGTGCTTTTAAAGAGGCAAGAAGGCTGGGCGCGGTAGCTCATGCCTGTAATCCCAGCACTTTGGGAGGCCGAGGTGGGTGGATCATTTGAGGTCAGGAGTTCCAGACCAACCTGGCCAACATGGTGAAACCCTGCCTCTAGTAAAAATACAAAAAATTAGCTGGGCGTGGTGGCGGGCACCTGTAATCCAAGCTACTTGGGAGGCTGAGGCAGGAGAATCACTTGATCTCAGGAGGGGGAGGTTGCAGTGGGCTGAGATCACACCATTGCACCCCAGCCTGGGGTAGAGAGTGAGACTCCATCTCAAAATCAAAAACAGAAAAACAAAAAATGAAGAAGTAAGGAGTTTAAATTAAGTAATAAGAGCAGGGACCCCATCTGCAAGCCAAGAAGAGAGGTCTCAGGAGCCGACACCTTGGTCTTGGACTCCCAGCCTCCAGAACTGGGAGAAATAAATTTCTGTTGTTTAAGCTGCCTGGTCTGTGGTGCTTTGCTCTGGCAGCCTTGGCTGGCTGATACATAACACTAATATTCTGTAAGTTTCATCTTATATATGAATGATTGGAGTGGGGGAGACTCTATGAGCAAGACTCATGGAATAGGGGAACAATGGCATACTATTTTCTCTTTTTTTAGAGTTCCTTATTAACAATAGGATAAAACTTTCATAAGGCAACATTCAAGAGCAAAAGAACACAATTCTCTTTTTCCTCTCTAGGCAACTTTAACTCTCTTAGCATTCCAATCAAGGCTGTATGATGTAATTTCAGAAAGAATATATCTTTATCTTGAAAAATACATTTTCTATGGGTGTATACCTATGATGATGACAAAAATTTGGCCCTAAAAATCTAAGGATGCAGACCATATTAGTTATCATTTATACAGCATCACAAATCTTTCTTGGGAGTCAGATTTAAGAGCTTTTTTTCTGAATGTGGGGACTGATGTATTGGTTCACGCCAATGCAGGCATAGAACAGTAATGAATGAGCATTCCAGCAAAGAAACAATGAACCAGGTTGGCAGATCGGCTGCATAAATGCCTCCATCTTCCCTGCCATGTCCATCACACATCTCGTTACCTTGTCAGTCATCAGGGCGTCTGTCCCCAACCCAACCTGCACATGGCTCACAACCCTCCTTAACAACTGAGCTGCCACTGTCACTGAATGAGGGAGGCCACGTGCCCTAACACCCATGCCCGCAGCCTTCATCTCCAACTTCCACCCCAGAGATTTATCATTTGCTTGCTTGCTTCTTGTTCTTTGATGTCTTGTTCTCCATTTAGTCGCCTCTTAATTCTGTATGTGTCCCTTTGCTGTGGGTCCAATTATGTTCCCCAAAATATATGTTCAAGCCTCCTGTGAATATGACCTTATCTGGAAATAAGGTCTTCGTTTTGCGGATGTCAGTAAATTAAGATGAAGTCATACTAGATTGGTGGTGTGGGCGGAGTGTTGATCCAATGATTGGTGTCCTTGTAAGAAGGTGAGATTTGGATACAGAGACACAGAGGAGAAGCATCCACAGGGAAAGAGACCACGTGACGATGGAGGTGGAGATTGGAGCGAGCGCTGCATCTGTGAGGACAGCCAGGGATTGCGCAACCACCAGAAGCTGGAAGAGGCGGGGAGGAATCTTCCACGCACCTTCAGAGGGAGCCTGGCCTTGCAGCACCTAGACTTATTCCCAGGCTGGAGTGCAGTGGTGCGATCTTGGCTCACTGCAACCTCTGCCTCCTGGGTTCAAGCAATTCTCCTGCCTCAGCCTCCTGAGTAGCTGAGACTACAGGCACCCGCCACCATGCCCAGCTAATTCTTGTATTTTTAGTAGAGACGGGGTTTCACCATGTTGGCCGGGCTGATCTCGAACTCCTGGCCTCAGGTGATCCATCCGCCTCAGCCTCCCAAACTGTTGGGCTTACAGGTGTGAGCCACTGTGCCCGGCCACACCTTGACTTCTGACTTGCACCCTCCAGGAGTGGGAGATAATAAATGTCTTCTCTTTGTAGCCACCCAGCTTGTGGCCATTTGTTACAGCAGCCACAAGAAACTAATACACTTTTTTTCCTGCCAATTTCTTCCTGTAGTGTGGTTTAGCATCAATGGTAGTGGTAGGTCTAGGTAAAGAAGAAGACACACATATGCACACGTGCACATTAGGTATGCACACACACACACACACAGAGGATAATAAATGAAGAAGTCCAGGATTGTGTAATGCAACATGCTATAAATACACACTTTTTCCTGACTAAAGGAGCATAACACTACATAGTTAATCTTAAATGAAACTATGCTGACACATATGACCTCCATTTGATATACTGCCTTCTATATTGGAAGGAGAAATGCACTTTTTATTTGCCATTGGCCAAAATCAACTTCAAAAAAGTTCAACTTATTCTAGCTTTTTCCTCTAAGCACTCTTAGACTTGTGACAACATTTAAATGACACCTCTAGGAATAAATCCTGCATTTGTCCTCACAGATATCCATGTTGCTAAAATTATACAATAAAACAATAACCTAAGTGATGAGTGGCTTCCTCATTTCTAGCCTCTATGTCTTTGAGTGGGACTGAGAATCAAAGTCAAGATCTGGAGGGTAAAGTCATAGTTTCCAGTCACTGAAAGGAGATAAAATGTGATAATTTATCAGAAACAAAACAAAAGTTTAATTTTTTTTAAACTTCATACCTAACGTGGTAGTGAAAGAGCCATGAAAAACAGACATTCACATTTTCCTTCCTACTTTATATGCTTTAATTTTTTCCTAAGTTGAAAGTTTCATAATGGACCATGGGTAATGTCCTAAGCAGCTGAGACAATTCTGGAAAGAGAAGTTATTTTACACAGCAGGACACGTGTCGTGGAAAATCAATGTCCTTCCAATCATAGAACCTTTTGATTGCCTTGATGAGAAAATTTTAATCTTCTGCAAGGCTTTATGGTGTAATGACTAAAATGGGCAAATTAAGGTTATTTTTAATTATTGTTTTTCTACAGAGAGCTTAACACCAGAGCATTCTTTTGCCAGATTCATAAATCTTAAGCAGTTTTGGCCTGCATAGGCAAGCGTTGAAACAGGGATGCAGGGCAATGTTGAAATACTTAGCAGGCTGCTCAGAACCATTCCAAAGCTGATATTTTTAGAGTGAAGTTTTGAAAATACCTCTCAATCGTAATCCATAATCAGAAATGCTCTCCATAACGATGAGAGCAGGAGATCATCCGCTGAGTGGAAAATTCTGGAATAAACACAGATCTTGGGGACCACAGTTCTGAATACCGATTGCTCTGTGACCATCAGCCTGTCCCAGACCCATCAAAACTGTGCGTGTGTCCCTGGCAGGCCTGGTTTCTCCCGGTCATCAGCCTATCAGCAGGACAGTGCCTGCCCGGTGCCTCCTGGTGCAATATAATCTCCTGGCTGCAGAGGTAATTGCTTTAAGGAAATGAGACTGTACCTGTGAGGGATGCTTGGGTCTCAGCTGCCTCCCAGAACCCATACATCCTCAGTAGGAAGGGGTCTGCTGCACTCCAGCATGGAAAACAGTGCACTTGCATGGAAAACAATGGCAGCTCAATCAAGAGTGAAAGTACCGAAGCAGAACCATGGGATCCCCACAGCCAGGGGTCAGGGCTGGATTTGGGCATCTTAAATTCCTAAAACGTGATCCTCAACCTGTAGTTGATGAACCTCTGTGTTCATCAACTACAATGGCAGGCAACAAAGCAGACTTTCATAAAAGCTCATTGGAAATGGTTGCTGATGCAGAAATGCACCATTCAGGTGAACCTTCTAGAAATGACTTGCTGCCCAGTTGGAGGAGCATGTTCAGCTGGCATTTCCAGCTATGGACTCCTTCAGGGTCCACCTCAGTGTAGAGCTCAGGTCATGTTCTCCTTCAGGCACCATCAACAATGAGCTAGCAAGGTGTTGCAAGGGCCTGGCTCTTACCGCCCAATGCAGGGCTCCTTGAATGGCAGGACATGCTTTGCTCCAAAGCCCCCTCCAGGCTGGGGAGGCTGGGACTTTGCCAGGCTGCACTACAGACTGATGGCTTCCTCTGCCCAATCCTGCTTCCTCCCCGTCACTTTCACAGCTGTCATCTCAAGCAAACCTCTTCCATCCTAACTTCATCTCAGCACTGCTTCCCGGATAACTCAACCAATTCCGACGTGATCAATTCTCTACACAGAGAACTTACTGAATCCTCAAGGATCTCCAGTCAAAGAGAACAAAAGGAGTCAGTGTTGGTGGCTTATTGGTAAAGGGAAAGGCATTGCAGAAAGAAAATGGAAACTGGGCCCACGGATTAACATACATTTAGAAGACAGAAAATAGAATTTCATAAGATTGAAAAGCAATGACCATCATAGTAACATTCCCAGATACTTTAAGCCCTCTTCTTAGCCTCCTAATAACTTAAACAGTATTGATCTCCCTTTTATAGATCCTATATGCTATATCTTAAATTGTGATGTTAAGGGCTCAATAATGAAATGTATCGTCGCCAGTCTGCAGTTCAAGCTCTGTGCTTATACTAGGCCCTTTTAAGATCTTTAGGGACCCAAGACACTTGAACCTGAGGAGGAAAGATCCTACGGAGAGACCAAGAATCAAGAGATGAGCCGAAGAATGGGAGAGGAGGGAAAGACAAGAAGAAAAAAGAGACAAAAATGCATGACCAAGGAGGTAAACAGAGCCCAGAAAAATATTGAAATTTGATTATAATTCAATGTGATGAGTTGTTGAAAGTCTACTGCAAGTAGACTGCAAAGACATCACATGCATCTGCATACAGGAAGAAGGAGAACGTGACCTGCAAACGTCCTTCCCAATACTCATCCTAGACCCCATGCTCTGCTGACCCTCGACCTTTGACCCCATGCACCATTTCCTTTTGTCTTCGCCCTCTACTCTGATGCTTTGATAACCTTCACATACGGTCCTCACCCAAGTGAGCCGTGCGCACCCAGTCTGGTTCAGAACACACTCAGGTCCCACACAGCTGGGCCTCTCCAGGGGCTGATTCTGACCTCTGGTTCTTTCTCCCTGCACCCTGTATTTCTTGCTCCGAGTCTGCCAGCTTGCAAAGAGAATGAGCTCTATCTCTCCTGCCGTGATAAATGAAGCACCAGACAGGCATTTTCTCTCTTTAAGCCTAAGCCAGATTAATTTTGGGAATGGCATTTGCAGTCTAATTCCTAATGACTGTATGTAAATGGATGTTTTTTATTTTCTGATGATATATTCTACTGCCTCTCTCACAAAAATGGCAAAGTGAATGAATGTGAAAGTGATGGATGTAGAGGATCTAACTGTAAACAAAAGTCCGAGGCTTTTCTCCAGTTCCAACTCTCTCAATTTGAAGGACTCTGGTTAATATTTCTATGCAGCCTCATTTGCACCATTAAGTGGTTGAAATAGATGATCTAAGACTATATGACTTCATGAGTTTCTAGGATTTTATAAGGTGAGACCAGGACAAAGCTTCTTACAGCAGGCAGGTTCTTTTTTTTGGCCACTTACTACTGGTATCGTCATGCAAGGGAAGATGTCAGAAGCAGGACTTAGAAGGTGGGGCCTTCAAAACACAAACCCACTCTCATGGGGTTGGAGTCTTGGTATTCCAAGGAGACTCAACAGCAATGACACAGTGTCCACCAGAATCTGTCAACTTCAAGTTCCTTTAAAACGTCTGATCTGCCCAGTGAGGTCAGGGGCCTGGCTGACTAGGGTTGTTCATGATCTGTTGGAGGTTTTTTTGTTTTAATATGATTTTTTTCATTATAAAAGCAGAACAAACGTTTGTGAAAATGTAAGAAAGAAAGAGAGAAGGAAAGAGAGAGAAAGGAAAAATGAAAAAGAAAAGAAGGATAAAAGAAAAACAAGGAAGAAAGAAGGAAAGATAGAAAGAAGGAAGAAAGAAAGAAGGAAGAAAAAGAGAGAAAAAGAAAGAAAGAAGGAAAGAAAGAAAGAAAGAAAGAAAGAAAGAAAGAAAGAAAGAAAGAAAGAAAAAAGAGAAAGAAAAGAGAGAGAAAGAAGAAGGAAGGAAGGAGGAGGAAGACAGGAAGGCAGGAAAAAGAACTTGCCTAAGTGTTCTAGCACCTAAAGCCAACAGTTGACATTTTGATATAGTCCCTACAGTTGGTGGTAAATGCATGATTTTTAAAGCACAGTTGTGTGTACTGCACTCTGCTTTCGTTCTGCCACACCACAACACAGCATTTAGAACAGACGACCAAGCAGATGGCTGTGCTCATGGATGGACATGAGGATCACTCAATGCCAGTATCAATCTTCAGAGAATAACTTTGTTTAAATAATGAAATAGTCTTTAAAAACTAAGAAAAGGAGAACTAGACTAGAAAATAGGAATGGAATAAAGTTATGCATATATTTTAGCAAAGCATTTGGCAATCTCTTAGTGCGTTCTTTTCTACAAGAATACAGAAATTGGGACTGTGAAATGAACAACTAAAGCAGAGTGGAAATGGAGCGGTCTCACCCCCAAGGTTTCCAGGAGCCCACCCCTTGGGCCCTGTCACCGCTGTTTCTGGTGCACGCATCCGTCCAATCTGGGCTTGCAGTCCCTGGTCCTGGACTCTGACCTGTGACTTGACAATGTGCTCAGATTTAGATCCAGAGACAGGCCACGTGTTTCTGGATGCGTGACCCTGCTTCTCAGCCGCAGCCTTCATCTTCCCCTGGGCTGCATCCACCTCTGGCCCCAGGGCCCATCCCTGGCCCAGAGGAGGGGGCGTGAGCCATCTGAGCCAACCAAGCTTATTTGGGGGCTCCCCTGTCTTGTCTGCTCTTGGTCTTGGGATTTGCCTGCATACCTGGACACTTAAATCAGTTCACAGAGACCTTTGCCACAGTGCCCTGATCCTTAGCCCAGCCCTGTCCACCATGCTTCATGGGCTTTACCTACTGGTCCTCACTTCTGCCTCTCATCCCACTCCTCTGGGCCCATCTCCGCACCGACATCTCATTCCAATCACAGTTTATCACCCTCCTGAGCTGCAACAAGAGCTATTTATAACTCGAGGGACTTACTCATATCATGGAGAAGGGAAAGAACAAAATAGGTGTTCTCAGAGGAGCCACCTCGGAACTCCTCTGACAAACTGTTGGATGCAGTTCCCTTGTCAAATCCCATGTCTCAAAAGCCACCGACATCTTTCCAAGTTTCCATCACCTCCAGCAGCTTTCTGAGAAAATCAGATGATTTCATCAGAAAGGGCTGATTCCATTTGTGGTTTTGGCCCAATTCTCCAAACTCCATTTCTTTAAACCCTGCATAGGCACAAACCACTGGTGTGCCAAGTGGGTGTGCCTCGGGAAGCTCTGCGCATATGTCTCTTACGGGTGCTCCCAAGACCAGCTCTGTGTCTGCAACATCATCTCCAGTCTTGAAATGGGCTGACGTTTGGAGAGACAGTCACCTTCCCATGGAAGCAAGGCTCCGAGGATGGGCTCCCCGTGGGGAGCAGTTCCAAGGTGAGGAGGCAGGAGGGCTTCAAGTTGATGGAGGCAAAGCAGGTGGTGAGTGAAGCCTCACTGGGCTCCAGAGAGATGATGAAGCAAGTGTGTCCAAGTATGGAGGAGATGGGTGGCGTGGCCAGAGGGAGGCTGTCAGCAGTCGTGATTCCACAGTACCTTCACGACCGGGTGGGATGGAGCCCAAGGAAGAGGGAAAAGGCGGCCAACTGGAGAACAACTCTTCATGTCCTGGTTCTGCTCATTGAGATGTAACAATGGAGAGGAGGATGAGGGCCCAAGGGAGTCACCAAGGGGAGGTGTTGGAAGCAAGAAAATAGATCTTTTCTTGAGTCTAACATCAAACCCAGGTGCATGTGTTGTGGACAACGTGATGGGAAGCAGCCTGCCAAGGGGCACATGAGCCAGGTGGGGCCAGCCACACTCAAGCTTGGTGCATCTGGAGACACACTCCCTGGCAGTGTTAAACTTTTCTGCAACTTCCGTCTGTGCTTAACAGCTTGTCCGGTTTGTCTTGTGGGTGCTTGTGGTGAGAGAATAATCCAGAAAGCTTTCCCAGAGGTTTACAACGGCATTAGAAAGCTTCAGAGAAGAGCAGCCTGGCCCAGAGGAGCTCATAATTCTGTTTCATCACACAATTATCAGCAATGACCCCTTTCCCACATTTCCAACAAAACATCTTGAAGGACTCATATTTCTAAAATTCACCCATCCACAAATCTTAATTACTGCAAAGAATTCCACATTGCAGATGCCTCAGACTTAAAAAAGAAAAAGAAAAAATCCACGAAATGTGTTTGTTTTCTCACGGCTTCGTTTAAAACCGTTCAAAGGCAACAGATTTTGCTTTACACCGTTGCGCTCTGCGTGCTCAAGCTGCTTCGAAGCTGTTGACTGAGCTGTGATTGCTATGAGTCATCTGCTCACTCGACAAATTCACTAAAAACCTGCTTTGCCTAAATGTTAGTTGTAACTTGAACCTATTGTTTCATTGAATTTAATTTACTTGGGAGAGGGTGGGGAAAATAAACTGTAATTTTATGATTGATTGAAATGGTTAAAAGTTTATTTCCCTGCTCCTAAAGTTTTTTTTTTTTTTTCTCACTTTAAGATAAAAAATCCATACTAGTATTTCAGAACAAAATGGGCCTATTCCTCTGCTTTGCAGAGAGGCTTTTATGGGCCAGAGCTGGCAAGCTTTGCAGGGATAACTGCAACCCGGAGCTCGTGGGGACCTTCGCGGCCAAGGGAGGGCGGCCGAGCCAGAGTCAGCCAGCACTCAGATGGCAGCACCAAACTGAGCTCTGTCCTTATTGCCAAGAGTTTAGAAGAGAATCGGCAGGTAAACAGTCGGTGCCTGGGTCCATATGTGCACGGGGCGCCTCCTGTTTTGCCTTCTGAGGTCGTCCCGCCCGGTTCTGGGCTAATTCAAAGCAGCTCTGCGTTCCTCGGGCTTCTCTCCAGAGAAGCGTCCTGGGCGGTGCTTTCAGGGGCTCCTTGTGGTTCTCCAGCCTTGTGCCTGCCCCTCCCCTCCCCACATCCCCCTGTGATCTGCATTTGAGAAAAGGCAATCTCGCTTGCTAGTTTTCTGGAAAATATAGGATCAACGACCCCAGGCCGGGGGTGCTTTTCCTGTCTGGCTGAGTGGAGGGGGCAAAAGTTCTCCAGCGCCAGCAGTGCTGAAATGCAAGGCAGGGAAAGAGCATGACTTCCCCAGGCTCCTTGGGGCCCCGTTTCAGCCAGGCCATTGGGTGCGAGGGTGGCCATGGGAGTTAGAGGCGATGCTCACGAGAGGCCCTGTCTGGGCTCACGACCTGGAGCTGAGGCCCTGTCTGGGCTCACGACCTGGAGCTGAGGCCCTGTCTGGGCTCACGACCTGGAGCTGCCAGCGCAGTTCCACAGCTTGTGATTTCCCCGCCCCGGCTTGCGCTGTTTCTCTGGTCACAGTATTGCTGCATTTCTATAGACCCCGGGGGAGGGAACAGGGGCCTCTGTAAACACCGACGGGCCTCTCCTCACTCTGTCTCGGTCCCTTCAACTCTTGGTGCTTTGGTAAAAGTGCCGATCCTGAATGAGATATGGATTTTGTCCTCTCCAGCTCCTTTGCCCTTATTGATGATTTGTACACAGTACTAACCAGTCCTCAGCTACCTAGATATCCAAGATGCCTGGTCTGAATGTCTGTGTCCCCCTAAAATTCACTTATTGAATATCACCAACATGATGGTATTAGGAGTGGAGCCTTTGAGAGGCAATGAGGTCAAGAAGGTGGAGCCCTCGTGAATGGGATTAGTGCCCTTATTAAAGGGACCCCAGAGAGTTCCCACACCCCATCCACCATGTAAGTACACAATGAGAAAATTGCCATCTGTGAACCAGGGAGGGTCCCTCACCAGACATGCACTCTGCAGTGTCTTGATCTTGGACTTCTCAGTCTCCAGAACTGTGGAAAATAAAGTTCTATTGTTTCTAAGCCTCAGTTGATGGTACTTTGTTATGAGAGCCCAAATGACTAAGACGCTCCTGCTTGGCATCTTCCTTCTTGACTTCCACCTCCAGTCTCTTTGGGTCCCACCCAAGGTTCTGAACCCCATGTGTTGGGGGCTCCAGTTGGATGTCTCTGGAATTGTGACTCCATACCAAGTTCTGCCTGCAGACTGTGGGTCAGGTACATCCCACGGTCATGGACACCAGCCAGAACCAGCCTGAAAAGAGTAAAACTTGCGAATGGATAGCTGGCCCTGCCCTGTGTGATAGCAGGTACTCAACTGTTCCCCACATCATCCCCCAGGTCTGAGCTCCCTCCTGCCAGCCAGCTTGAAATCTTTTTTTTTTTTTTTTTGAGATGTAGTCTCATTCTTGTTGCCCAGGCTGCAGTGCAATGGCGTGGTCTTGGCTCACTACAACCTCCCCCTCCCAGGTTCAAGCGATTCTTGTGCCTCAGCCTCCCAAGTAGCTAGGATTACAGGTGTCTGCCACCATGCTGGGCTAATTTTTTTGTATTTTTAGTAGAGACAGGGTTTCACCATGTTGGCCAGGCTGGTCTCAAACTCCTGACCTCAGGTGATCCGCTCACCTTGGCCTCCCAAAGTGCTGGGATTACAGGCGTGAGCCACCACGCCCGGCCCAGCTTGAAATCTTCACTTCACCTTGAGGCTTTTGCCCAAGCCATGAAAGGGATGTCACCTGATACATCCAGACTAAAACTTTTATGAATGTAACACACAATTAAAGCTGGAATTTTGAAACAACCAGCTCATTACTGTGCATTTTTACATAAGACATAGAAAATAAACTATCAAAATTTTATCCTGTGACCGGTGATCATTAGCAACATCAACCACAAGTATGGCCTTAGTGCCAATTGCACCAGGATCCAGGAAACATCCTTTTTCAGTGAAACAGGTTTGGAATCACAGTTCTCACGGAAAACAAGAAAACGTACCTCTAGTCCCCACACAAGAGGCTCCCTTTGGAAGTTGCCTGCACAGAAATCCTGACCTGCATCAGAAGTTACATTTTTAAGTTTCTTCCTCTACCTACTAATAATGTGGGATTTAATACTTCTTTTCGGAAGTTTTGTTATTTACAGCAAGACCTCTGCTGCGATGTTTATCGCAGTAAATCTCCCATGCTTTTCATATTCGTTGCCAAATCCCTCCACCCCCCAATAATCCAAACCCAAAAGCTGCATCGGAAATTAATAACCATGATCATAAATCAAAGTGAAGGTTTTATCCTTTCATTTTGCATACGACATCATGACTAAATGAGTACCCCCATGCACACAGGACTTATCAAAAAGGAGGAAAAAAGCCTTCCTTAATCAAAGGCATATTTCATCTCTGAAAAATTCATCAGAATGTGTTATGGAGTGACTGTACGTCTTGAAAATCTCTCTCTGGCACATCTGGAAACTCACATTTTTTTTTTCCATCATTGTATTCAGGAATACAAGCGGTTTTGATTTGCATGCATAAAGCGGTTTCTTCATCTCTTATCTTGTGTGCCAGGGAATGAATTCCTGTGATCTATGGTTACAATTACCAAAATACGGATTAAGGGTGCCTGCATTATGCAGATGGCTGCTGTGATCAGATCAAGAAGCTGCCGGAAATACAATACGGAGCTGGAGAATGCTCCACTGTTTCATACAACACTGACCTCTTTCACAGAGTCCTGCCTGCTGCCTGCTATCACAGCTTTCATGAGTACCTGAACCCAGACTTTTCTGGGACATGATCAGGAATGGAGCTGACAAGTCACCCTGCTCTTGAAATCTTTTGTTCAAAGCCAGTTGCTGAGATGCCACCTTCTGATTCCTGCAGCCCATCAAACTGAATTCTTCCCTTTTCTCTGGCAAGGTGCTCTGCCACTTGTCTATAAGTGACACACCTGCCTGCCCTTGCCAAGTCCTCCAGGGTGGATGGTAAGTGCATCCTTTTCTTGTAGATTGGATGAAAGCAGGGACCAACATCTCAGGGGAGAACTTTCATCATTTATAATTGTACCCATTTTACCTATTCATGGTATTGGAGTTGGTGCACAATATTTTGCACCAATGTTTTGCACAATATTTTGCACTAAATGGGGAGGCTTGGAGAAAGCAGTTTGTGTGCAACACTGCAAGGCATGTGAAATGTGGTGGTTATCACCCCTTCCTCCAAAAACAGGGCTGCTGGTGCCCATAATTGGTATCTGTAGGCAACATTCCTGTCTACACCAGGGTGACTGCTGAGCTCACATAGAGACTCTAAAGATAACTTCACACCTGAATTCTTCCCTCACAGCAGTTAGATGAGCTTGGAGAAATTCCTTACACTCTGTTGACCCCCAATGTCCTCTGCTTTGATGATAATTGTGTCCAGTCTGTTAGTTTCCCAGGGCTGCCATAACAAAGTACCACAAACTGGGTGGCTTAGAACCACAAAAATTGGTTGCACCACTGTCCTGGAGGCTGGAAATCCAAAATGAAGATGGCGTCAGGGCTGCGCTCCCTCTAAAACCCGTAGGGGAAGAATATCTCCTGCTTCTTCCAGCTCCTGGTGGCTACAGACGTTCCTTGGCTTGTGACAGCATTGCTCATCTTGACACGGTGTTCTCTGTGTGAACCTTTACACAGCCCTGCCTCTGTGTCCAAATGTCTTCTTTTTACAAGGACACCAGTCCTGTTGGACCAGGGCTCACCCTAATGACCTCATTTTAACCTGATTACCTCTGCCAAGACCCTACTTCCAAATAAGGTCACATTATGAGATACTGGGGTTTAGGACTTCAACCTATTTTTGCAGGGAACACAAGGCAACCCCTAACCTAGGATGTGGGGTCATAGTGAAAATTAGAGGTGGTGCACATGGGCAGAGCTAGCTCTGTGCTTGACACCACGGTGACTTATTGATGCCGTCTCTTCCACCTCCTCCCAGGGTCCTGGGGACAGGCACGCTGGATGTAGCACGGTCACTTCTTTATCAGCATCCAGCCTAAGGTAACTGAAGGGATTCAGTAAGGGCTGGAATTCTGCAGGAAGTAGGAATGCTATGCAAAGTGAGCTGCAGCCATCATAGTGGGTCCCTTGGTGAGATGTGCAAATTCAGCTCCAGATGATCCTTGTTGCATCTGCAGCTGCCCCTGACAAGGCATTCCGGGGTGGGAGTCATGTGAGCATCTGAATATGGCACAAAACCTGCTTTCTTTTCAAGTAATGGGCAATTATTCTCCCTGAAAAGACCAAGATTATTTATTGTTTTTCAATGAAACGTGAAAGAGATAAGAAGTCTAAATAAAGCATAACGATTGAAAACTGCCAGAAGGATGAATGTCATACAAGGTAGTTAATGTTTTGAGCAATCATGGGCTAAACGCACATTCCTCTTGAAGATGGTACGATGAAACTCACATCTAGGTCACACCATGGTCAAGGTTGCGTGGTTTTCAGCATGGTTTCTGCTGTTCTAACTCAGCCCAAATGAACTCATTATCCTTTTTTTGAAAAATTGTTAATAAACAGTATTAATACTCGATATTGTCTTGTTCCCTCCTGTGCCACTGAGTTGCACTTTGTCATTAAACCTTCTACATGTGTGTATGGAGGCCATAAGAAAAACCCTTGAGGACAGTGTGTATAGAACTGAAGAAGCCACTGTGATAAGTGGTCTCCCTCTCCTCTCTCTCTCTCTCTCACACACACACACACACACACACACACATCCAAGAGGAATTTTGCTTCCCTGAGGGACTCATTTGTTTTCTGTTCACAAACATCGAAATCCAACAGAGGATTCCTGTTTCTGTTCTTGCTTTGGCTACCAGGGAGATCAGAGCCCAGTTTGCATCTTAGCTTTGGTATGGGTGAGACTGTCTGGTCCCATATAGCTTTTCTGTCTTCTTGTTCTCCACAGTTCTGTCATCTTGAATGTCTTTCTTAGATACTAGAAAGCTGAGAAAGCCTAACTGGGGTTTCCAAGTTAATCCCCTCTCAATGCCAATGTTAGTTTTCTGCCATTAAAAAAGAAAAATAATAGCTCCTACCTTACTGGGTTATGGGATATTCATAATTTAGTCCATATAATGCCTTAAACATAGTGCCCAGAATATAGTGTATACCCAGTAACTGTTAGCAGCACCTGTGGGTGCTACTATTATTTTAGTTAGTAAGAAATGCTAATATGATTAATAGTAAGATCCAGTGTGCTATCAATATCGCTGAAATTACAGACAAAAATATTACACAACAGAGAATGAATGACAGAGACCTGCAGAAAGCCTGAGGGCTGTTCCCTAACTTGACAGCATTTGGCCCCACTTCAGTAGAGTCCGTAATCCCTTACCAATCCAGCGGGTTCCCTCAGCACTACAGCCAAAGGACCTCATGAGAAATTTTTCAAAAAATGTTGGTTCCATCCCGATATATTATGTCTACAGAAGGCCTCAGCCCTGCAAGTCCAATTTCCCTGTCAAAATAAGGAAATGAAACTAATCTTGCATGATTGGCCCTTAGTGAACTCCCGCTGGCTTCAAATGATCACCTTCCCTCTCCAGGGCTCTATAAAGCATCTACTTGAAAGTTGTTTCTTTCTCGATTCTTGCCGTTGGATCCAGTTCCCAGGTCTGTTGCTGGGGAAGACACTTCACTTCCTCCTTGCATAGAAAGTGTTATGTCAGAGTTTTCAAACGAACCACATGCTTTACAGAAATAACTACCACGTAGGCGTAGTTGCCTAAAATGGAGCCAGCACTGCTGCAAGATAACTTCCATGCTAATTATCTGAACAATTTTCCAGTTGCTCAAAATAATATGTTGTGTCCATCTTCAGTGCTAGAGGAGAGGAGAGCAGGAGTTTTTCATAATAGTGATTTTTTAAAAAATCTTCTTGGATTTGGCTTTCTAGAAGATGTGGGGCTTATATTAGTCTGATAAAAACATACCTGAGACTGGGAAGAAAAAGAGGTTTAATTGGACTGACAGTTCCACATGGCTGGGGAGGCCTCAGAATCGTAGTGGGAGGTGAAAGGCACGTCTTACATGGTGGTGGCAAGAGAAAAAATGAGGAAGATGGAAAAGTGGAAAGCCCTGATAAAACCATCAGATCTTGTGAGACCCACCCACTACCATGAGAACAGTATGGGGGAAACCGCCCCCATGATTCAAATTATCTCCCACCTGGTCTCGCCCACAACACACGGAAATTATGGGAGTACAATTCAAGATGACATTTGGTGAGGACACAGCCAAACCATATCAGGGCTTATATTTGAATCTGATTGTTCTCAGTTCCCTTAGAAGATGCAATACTTGGGCTTAAATTTTTTAAAAGATCACGATTGAGTTCTTAGCTTCATCCCCGCCATCCAGGAGATGATGAGTTGGTGCCACTTCACTGCCCAGGCTGCCACCAAGGTCAACCCAGAGCAAAAGAAGCCGAGTCCTGGTGGAGATGAGTCCATAGCAACACAGGCCGGTGGGGGAATGCAAGGGTCATGTGAGTTATTTGTGGCCTGGGAAATAGAAAACACGAAGAATATCTGGGAGGATATCTGAGATTTCCATCTGCCCTGCGTCCATTTTCCCGTCTTCAAGTAATAGCACCTGGACTTCCTTTCTGGGACCCACCCTCCTCTACTCTTAGATAAGGTAGTTCCCTGGGGACTGACCCATCCCTGACTCTCAGGCAAAGGCTAAGAACTAGGCCTGGACCAATGAGATGTCACAGCCGCTAGTCCACACTGATTAATTTGAGACATGTGGCACATGACCCAAATCAGCCAGCCATAGTCACAAAGCAACTCCCCAGGGACTTTGGTTGAAATTCCTGGGACAATCTCTCCTCTGGTTGTAAGTCCAAGTCTTCCATCTTTGGGAGACTGCTTGAGAATAAACTAACACAGACAAAAGCAGAGCCAGGCAGTGTAGACTAACTCCTGACATCATTTTCTGAATATCTGGAACTATTAATAGCTTTTTGGAAAGCTAGATTTAGCTTTCCACTAAAACTTTCAATCACATAAGCCAACAAATTCATTTCTTCTTAGGCCAACCAGAGTCACATTTCTGTCAGTTGCAACTAAGAGACCCTTATCTGATTATCCACAGAACCTACAGAGCTTAGACAGAGGCCAGGCAGGCCAAAGACCAATGGCATTGTGGCAGTCATTGGTGATATTCACCAAATATCTCCAACTCTCCATTTTCCAAGCACATATTAGGATGGCCCTTCCCTGCTCCCTTTGAGGTTAGGTGTGGCCATGTGACTTGCTTTGGCAAATGAAATGAGATCAGAAGGGCATAGATCCCTTTCAGAGAAACGTCAGAGCAAATATTATTCAACATATTTCTCTTTTTTCTGCCTTTCTATCATGGAAGCATAGGAATGGAGCTTCTGTCAGCCAGGGTCTGTGAGATGGAGATGAGTCCATGCCCCCAACCAGAAAGCAGTGGACATGTAGAAGGACAGGGTGGAGAAGGGGACAAACAAATGAAAACAAAGTTTTTAATCCCTTGATATTTTGGGCTTGACTGTTACTGTAGCATAGCTTATCTGGTCCTGACTGATACAAACATCCAGCCATGGGATAAGCAGTAGCAGCCCAGAAAGAAACCAGGCAAGACGGTCCTCTTCTAGGTGATCTACCAGCTGTGTCTGCCTAAGGCGCCATAAGAGGGGAGAAATGGGAGAAGGATCTTGAAGATAAGCAGGACCCAGAGGGCCATTAGATAAGGCATGTGAACGTGCTGTTCGAAGAAGCAAATAAAGGAAAGGGTGGGAGGGAAGAATTGTATCTGTCAGTAGCCAGGCAACATTGGAAAATATCTGGGAGTAACAGCAGCCAAGAGATAACAGAATTGGAATTTGAAAGAAAATGAAAACGATCACACCCAGAGGAGAGATCTGAATAGACTAATGAAATATACTTGAAATGTACTGTGTGTATTGTTCTGTGAGTCAGAGTCCCAGCTCATCCACTCACATGTTGTGCTGGAGCACCATGAGTACTGGAGAAGGAACTGAAGAGACCGTAGTTCCAAGAGTGTGATTATTGGGATGATCCTGTCCTGCAGGGAGGTGGGGTCCTGGTTGGCTAAGAGAGTTCCAAAGACTATCAAGGCACAAAGTAATGTGTTTTCTTTTGTTTGGAGGAATTCTAAAATAGCTTTTTGTTTTACTTATCTGTTGCTGTACAGCAAATTATCCCCCAAATGTGGCTTAAAACAATGAATATATCTATTATGTTACCTTTCCTGTGGGACAGGAATTTAGGAGTAGATTGGCTGGGTGCTTCTAGCTCAGGGTCTCTCTTGAAGTTACAGACAACTTGTAGCCATCTGGGCTACAGTCCTCCAAACGCTTGATCGAGGTGGGGAGTCCACTTCCTAGACCATGGCTCACTCACATGGCTGCTAGCAGGAAGCCTCAGTCCTTGCCACGTGGGTCCTCTATAGAGCTGCCGGAGCATCCTCACACCACGGCAGCGGATTCCCCCAGAGCCAGTGATCCAAGAGAGAGCAAGGAGGAAGTCAGGATGCCTCTTACGACCCAGTCTCGAAGTTACAAACCTTCACTTATGTCATCTTCCTTTGTTAGAAACAATTTGCTAAGTCCAGCCCACAATCAAACGGAAAGGAATTAAGCTCCATCTCTTGAAGGGAGGAAAAGCAAAGAGGTTGTGGATGTATTCTTAAGCAATCACACTCATGCATGTCTTTTCTTAGTGTGGTAGACAGAATAATGGACTCCAAAGATGCCAACATCCTAATCCCCTAAACCTATGAATATGGTATCTCACATGGCAGAAGGTGTCTTTTGACACACCCTGAAGGTGTCAGTGAGTTCAGAAGCTCGAGATGGAGTCATTATGCTGGCTTACTTGGATGGGCTCAATATAATCACAAAAGCCCTCATAAGAGGGAGACCCTCATAAGACGGTCAGAGTCAGAGAAGGAGAAGTGACCACAAAAGCAGAGATGGGAGTGATATGAGGAAGAGCCCATCAGTCAAGGAATGCAGGCAGCCTCTAAAAGCTGGAAAGGCCGGGAATCAGAGCTTGCAGAAGGAATGCAGGGGTCAGAGGATAAATGTGTTTGTACGTGTGTGTGTGGTTTTTGTTTTGTTTTGTTTTGTTTTGTTTTTTTGTTTTTTTTGAGATGGAGTCTCACTCTGTCGCCCAGGCTGGAGTGCAGTGGCACAGTCTCGGCTCACTGCAAGGTCCACCTCCCGAGTTCACACCATTCTCCTGCCTCAGCCTCCCGAGTAGCTGGGACTACAGGTGTCCACCACCACGCCCGGCTAATTTTTTGTATTTTTAGTAGCGACAGGGTTTCACCGTGTCAGCCAGGATGGTCTTGATCTCCTGACATCGTGATCCGCCCGCCTTGGCCTCCCAAAGTGCTGGGCTTACAGGCGTGAGCCACCACACCCGGCCAAATGTGTGTTGTTTTTAAGCCATCGAACTTGCAGTAATTTGTTACAGCAGCAATTGAAAACAAAGACACTTAGCAAGTGTTTACTGAACACCTACTGCGTGATGAGCATACAAAACCACAGGGGATATAGAGGTGAACAAAAGAAACAAGAGGGAGGAAATAAACCAGCAAACATGTTCAGGTACAAAACAAATCGATGGCTGATCATTTTGATAAAGACAATCATACCAGGTGGTGTGAGTCAGCCACTGTGAGTGGGTGGGAAGCAGCTATTTGAGATGGGATGGTCAGAGGCAGACCCTCTGTGGGATGAACGGAGGCCTTGCAAATATCCCAGAAAGGAGTCCAGAAAGAGGAAGCAGCCAAGTGCAATGTTCCAGAGGCAAAAATGATCTTGTCTTATTCCAAGGAGAACAAACAGAGTGAACAGCGGGAGATGGGTGGGGGCCGGGCTGAGCAGAGTCAAGTGTCCTGGGGCACCCACACCCCATGCTGCTCAGGGCAATGGTGTGGGGATCCACGTGAAAATCCCTGCCACTGCTCTATGGATGACGATGATGAGGGCAGAGTGGACACTGGGAGGGGAGTCTAGAAACTGCTGCAAGAGCAGAGGCAAGAGATGAGAGGGTTAGATTGCAGGGGAGGGGGGCAGTCTGCAGAGTGTACAAGGGGACTTTTTGCCCCATTTTCAGCAATTCCCATGCATAGAGTCTGTTTCTTCAGAGGAAATAGTGCCAATTTTTTTTTTTTTTTTTTGCCAAGCAGTTGCATTTGTTTTGACACTTGACTTAATTACCACATTTCCGAAAGAAAAAAAAAAAAGAAAAGATAAAAACCACCATTTTTGGCGCTTTGTCCATAATAACAGTTCAGGATATATTTTTTGAGTGAGAGTGTGAATAGATGGATGATGTGGACACTATCTGGAAATATGGATCCCGTTGGCCAGATTTCTTGATGGAAACTATGGCTCTGACAGCATGGGTTTCAGAATGACAGGGTCAAAGGATTTGTCAACGATACCTGTGGCCAAGCATTCACGGATGCCGACCATGTGGCTTAAGGTATGAGTCATTGCAAAACATTCCAGTATTTTTTAAATTACATCACTTTAAAAACCAATTACATCAGTTACAAAGGGCATGTGCGTAGGATTTCTGCTTCTCTTTAGTATTTTTGTTCTTACTGGCAATGGTTTCTACTCCTGACTAGTGGCTTTAGAGAGCTGCATGAATTAATTCACTTCTTATAAAATAAAGCATATTTGTACTCAGAATCCTAAAGCCACATGGATTTCAGAAAACAATTTCTTTGGAGCTCCTAGAAAATGATGGAATCAATAATGTAACAGACATGGGAACTGACAGAAATGTTACTGTCCCACAAAGAGCTCCTTCTACTTAAGTATTTCTGTGGCAGCCCGTACACTTTATGTTTGTTTTAACACAAGGACTAATCAAAGCTACATTCCTTAGTGAACACCAGAATGGCTCAGCTTTCTTATAACACAATTTCTTGCAGTACACATGTAAATTGATCAAATGGAAAAAGCAAAAGTAGGGAATCTGGTTAAAGTGCTGAAGTATTGCCTCTCTTCTTCCTTGCAAAGCAATTAGCCCAGCAGCATTCCATTTCGTCTCCTATTTTGCTAAATAGACAAAATCTGTGCTTCTACTCTATAGCGAATAACTCCTGGGGATATTGTTTCAAAGAGCATTGATTCAAAGAAGGAAGGTGAAGCAAAACCTTGACTAAACAGATTGCTGATGGACTGTGGTTCTGGATAATTGAATTTTCCAGTTAACCCAAGAACTCTGTCGCTCTCTGGCCTCCCTCACTCACCCGGCATATCCTCCTCGCCCGGGAATTTACCAAAACACAGCTGTGGTCTTCGCAGTTGCTTGCCCACAACCCTTTTGTTTTTGTGCTCTAATTTGCTTGAACATTCACTGTGAAGTCCTTTTGTGTCTCAGAAACGAATGTAGAGAGGCCGTAGGATGAGAACCCGCCCCTGGATCTCGGCTGACTTTCTGGGTTTGATGCGGACCTTTCACCCGTGCTCAGGTCATCTCAGTCCATTCTCACACACCTTCTGCAGGTCAGAGATAAAATTAGAGCTGCACGCCAGGATCTCAGTGAGGTAGTGGCAGTGATTATGATGGTGGAAAAGGTAGGGGTGGGAGGGAAGCCAGGCGCAGGCAGACAAGGAGGCCGTCCTCTAGGGAAGAGGTCACGAAGAAAGTAACTCCTAGGGATATTGTTTCAAAGAGCATTGATTCAAAGAAGGAAGGTGAAGCACAACCTTGACTAAAGAGATTGCTATGGGCTGTGGTTCAGCAATGATGAGGTGCTGGGGATGGTGATGAGGGGGGACCAGATGCAAGGAACTTTTTAGAAATGGTAGTGACTTTCTAGAAGCAGCAGCTTTTGGGCTGGCAGAGGTGACTCTGGAAAACAAAGACAGGTGATATCCCCAGAGGTAGATTGTGAGTAGGAACAGAAATAGGAACCAACAGACAAGAAAGGCACAGGGCGAGGGAAAGATGCTGACTTCATCCAGGACACACAATTTTGGTGTCTGTGGACCAGCTGGGCTCATTGGCTACTTAACCTACCTCAAATCCAGGGTGAGCCTTGACAGAGACTCCAGAGATGGGGAAGCAGATGTGAACAATGACACAAGCTTGAGGCTGTAGAATGAGGACGAGTGTGAAGGGAGAGGGAATAGAGAAAAGAGAAAACATCAGCAAAGGCAGAACCAAGAGCTTTCAGTATTTCTGTAAGGATCCTTTCCTTATTATGTGACTAGAAAAATAGTTAAGTCTCAGAATGCCTACAAAAATGAATTTTGGAATTAGATCCTCAGTCTTGGATTTATTCTGTTTTCACAGAAATATATAATATACATAATATGTATATCAAGCTTGTCCAACCTGCGGCCCTCGGGCCACATGCAGCCCACAATGACTTTGAATGTGGCCCAACACAAATTCATAAACTCTTAAAACATTATGATATTCTTGAAATTTTTTTTAGCTCATTAGCTATCATTAGTGTTAGTGTATTTTATGTGTGTATGTGTGGCCCAAGATAATTCTTTTTTTTTTTTCTTGAGACTGGGTCTCACTCTGTTGCCCAGGCTGGAATGCAATGGTGCAATCTTGGCTCACTGCAACCTCTGCTTCCTGGGATCAAGTGATTCCCCTGCCTCAGCCTCCTGCATAGCTGGGATTACAGGCATGTGCCACCATGCTTCGCTAATTTTTATATTTTTAGTAGAGATGGGGGGGTTTCACCATGTTGGCCAGGCTAGTCGTGAACTCCTGATCTCAGGTGATCCTCCCACCTCCGCCTCCCAAAGTGTTGGAATTAATAGGCATGAGCCATCACGCCAGGCCCCAAGACAATTCTTCTTCTTTCAATCTGGCACAGGGAAGCCAAAAGATTGGACATCCATGATGTATATTGTATAGAAAGTATAACTTTCAAAATTTTAATGAGAATTAAAGCCAGAGATATCTGGCCATATTTACATCGAAAGAGCAAAAGATCAGATGATTATCAACAGCTGAACATGTGTTTGTGCATTTGTGTATGTGCGCAGACGTATGAAAATGTATACAAGTGTGGTGGGTTCTCTATGGACCAGATATCTGTGGTTTTGGAGCGAGAGAGCACTCATTCCTTTAAGTTTCCACCTCTGGGTTCCAGGGCTCTATGACTGCAGAGCCCTGGTGGATTTTGGGGTGTGACAGGAAGCTGAACTGAAGGCTGTTCATCCCTCGGAGAGCCAGGCAGATGTGGACGTCCCTCGCACTGTGGGGCAGTCTTTCAGTGGTGTGGCAACCGGAGAAGTCAGAGGAAGTCTGATGCCAGAAAGTGCTTTTCCATTTCTGCCTGGCCCTTTGATCTTCTCACCAAAAGAAGATTTTCTTTAAAAATGTATGATGGGCCCTAAAAGAAGAAATAGGCAAATTGGACTATATCAAAATTTAAAACTGCTGCATGTCAAAGGACACAGTCAACAGAGTGGAAAGACAACCTGCAGAATGGGAAAAAATACTTGCAAATTCCATATCTGATATGGGTTTAATATCCAGAATATATAAGCAACTGTTATGACTCAACAACAACAAAAAATGGGCAAAGGACTTGAATAGACATTTCTCTAAAGAAGATATATAAATGGCCAATAACCACATGAAAAGATGCTCAACATCTGTGATGGTTAATATTGAGTGTCAACTTGATTGGATTGAAGGATGCAAAGTATTGTTCCTGGGTGTGTCTGTGAGGGTATTGCCAAAGGAGATTAACATTTGAATCAGTGGACTGGGAGAGGCAGACCCACCTCAGTATGGGTGAGCACAATCTAATCAGCTGCCCATGCAGCTAGAATAAAGCAGGCAGAAGAATGTGGAAGGACTAAACTGGCTGAGTCTTCTGGCCTTTATCTTTCTCCTATGCTGGAAGCTTCCTGCCCTCGAATATCAGACTCCAAGTTCTTTGGACTCTTGGACTTACACCAGTGGTTTGCCAGGGGCTTTCGGGCCTTTGGTCACAGACTGAAGGCTGCACTGTCAGCTTCCATACTTTTGAGGTTTTGGGACTTGGACTGGCTTCCTTGCTCCTCAGATTGCAGATGGCCATTTGATGCAGACGGCCTATTGGTGAAGCCTATTGTGGGACTTCACCTTGTGATCATGTGAGTCAATACTCCTTAATAAACTCCCTTTCATATATACATCTATCCTATTAGTCCCGTCCCTCTAAAGAACCCTGACTAATACAACATCATAAATCATTAGGGAAGAACAAATGAAAACCACAGTGAGATATAACCTCACACCCTTTTGGATGGCTACTATCAAAAACAGAAAATAATAAGAGTTGACAAGAATGTGGAGAAATTGGAACTCTTGTGTACACTCCTGGTGAGAACATAAAATGGTGCAGCCACTGTGAAAAAACAATGGTAGGTCCTCAAAATATTAAACATATAATTATCATACGATCCAGCAATTCCACATCTGGATTTATACCCAAAAGAAATGAAAGCAGAGACTTCAACAGATATTCATACACAAATATTCATAGCGGCAGCACGCACAATGGCTAAAACACGGAAGCAACCCAAATGCCCCTCAGTGGATGGCTGGATAAACAAAATGTGGTCTGGCCCGGCGCGGTGGCTCACGCCTGTAATCCCAGCACTTTGGGAGAGCAAGGCAGGCAGATCACGTCAGGAGATTGAGACCATCCTGGCTAACACGGTGAAACCCCGTCTCTACTAAAAATACAAAAAATTAGCCAGGCGTAGTGGCGGGCGCCTGTAGTCCCAGCTACTCGGGAGGCTGAGGCAGGAAAATGGCGTGAACCTGGGAGGCGGAGCTTGCAGTGAGCGGAGATCCCGCCACCGCACTCCAGCCTGGGCGACAGAGCGAGACTCCGTCACAAAACAACAACAACAACAACAATAAAATGTGGTCTATCCATACAATGGAATATCATTCAGCCTTTAAAAAGAAGAAGAGGCTGATACATGCTCTGACATGGATGAACCTTGAAGACGTGCTAAGTAAAATAAGCCAGACACAGAAAGCAAATACTGTATGATTCCACTTATAGGAGGTCCCTAGAGCAGTCAAAGTGATAGAGACAGAAAATAGAGACAGAAAGTAGGATGGTGGTTACTAGGGGAGGGAGAGGGGAGTAGGAAGTTAGCGTTTAGTGCGGACAGAGTGTCAGTTGGGGGAGATGAAAAACTTCTTGAGATGTTGACGAAAATTGCACAAAAATGTGAATGTACTTACTACTGAAATGTACTCTTAAAACGATTAGGATGATACATTTCATATGTATTTTAGCACAATTAAACATTTTTAAAATAAAATAAATTCCTTAAAAACATCCAATAAATTTTCAGCTTCTTCCCTTTGCCTCATATTATCCTTTCAATCAAGGCACAGACCTCTGGGTAAATATAAGAAGGCCTTCTTAGGGGCAGGCAGCTTTGGGGCCCATTTGGACTTCACAGTAATTCCTAAAAAAGAAGATGTGTGTAAGGTCACAGACCAGCTTCTGCATGAATGGAGGCAGACACCAGCAGCTCATTTAGGCATGACATGTTTTCCACTCATAATTTTTAAAGGTGCTCTTAAGCCAAGCTTCTTAAAACCTGGCCCCTTATAGTTACCTCCAGCAGCTTGAGTGGATGAAGTGACTTCCCACTCTACGGAAGAACATTTCCAGTCTCGGACTGCTGTGAGCATAAACCCTTCCATGACTAGAGGGACAGCCAGCAGGTCCAGGAGCAAAGTGTCCCTGTGTGTTAGTGACCTGGATCCTTCTTACCTGGGACTTGCTCCATCGAGGTCTCAGGGGTGTCACGAGGACAAGCACTGGCCTTTCTCACAGAGGTGGGCTTTGGGGATGGCCAGATGACGGTTGAGCAATAACAAAATGGAACAAGGATGCATTCGTGTCTGGGTCACAAGTCAGGATCTCAGTCCCTGTAAATCACTCCCCTGGCCAAGGACACTTGGTGGCCGTCACTGCATACAGCAGCCCTCCGATGGCCCAAGGCTGCCCTGAAGAAGGAGTCCGTGTTCAACACGGCCACAGCAGTGCAGACGTGTGTGGGGTCGTCAGTTCCCCTGGCTTGGCTGGCTCATCCTTCAGATGTAGAGAGGCACCACAGTGGTTTGTTGGTTTCACATCCACCAAAGAAACACATTTTACTTCTCAGAGAAAAGAGATGTTAAACTTCTCCAATTTGGGCAAGCTGCCAGTGACTGCTAGGAGCAGAGACCCTTCCAGAACACCTCACCTTAGCAGGTCCTGCTGAGGAGGAGAAGAAAGGAAAGGTGGGGAAGCACTCCTTTGTAACTTTATTTTGGTCTCATTTAAATGTGTTAAAATGAACATGCATTACTTCAGAAAATAAAAAAAGAAATGCACACATCCCCCAAAGGTGAAAACAACTGGTGCTGGTTACAGACGCTGGGTGTGAGCTGCCCCTGGGGCACATTAACGTATATTCACTATCAGGGAACAGGCCGGGGTGAATTTGAATATCAGATTTCATGTGAACAGATGTTAAAACCAATGAAATAATATTTGTCCTGGCAACGCTGCCCAGGATAAACATGATTACTGATTTAAAAAAAAAAAAAAAAACAAAAAAAAACAGTATCAGAGCAGATGAACACATACCGGGTCTACTGAAGTTGAAAAACAGCTTATTGTGAGGCTCGCCTGAGTCAGAAGCTTCTCCTCAATGTCAATAAAAGAAGACAAAGTCAAAAATCTCTTTGCTCCTTGCGGGAATCTAGAAAGAAATATGCCAAGAGACACCGGGCATGACTCATGGTTTTCTTATGATTCCCACAAGGAAAAACCAAAAGCATAGAGCTCAGTCCATGACAAATCCCAGGAGAGGTGACCTGGCAGAGTGGTTCCAGTGGGGCAGACACAGGGTTTAACCAGAGGCCTGTGTTTCTAGAGCCAGTGGCTGGTGGATGATGGAGAGACAGGTCTCAGGGGAAGAGTAGACCACGATACTTAAAAGGTTCAGCTGTAGTTTGCACACTTTTCTGGGGAGAGAACTTTGGGGTCTACTAGCCAGAGAATAATAGAATTTGGTGGGAATAACAGCTTCTCACCAGAGGCTTTTTGTGAATGTCTAATTCACATCTGCAAGGTCTGGATCTCAGTAGAACGTTTTCAGAGGTTTGAGTGCCACGCAGCTACACTTGCCCTTATGAGGCAAAGGGAATGGAGGCCACAGGCCATCGCCCTACTCTGGTTACGTAGTCTCTCACGCTCACCACACTTCAAAATCCTTGATAAAGATAGTAAAACAATTAACCTTTATCCTGTGCCATAGGCAAAAGCTGCTGCCAACGAAGCACCCCCTAGTCTTATGAAAACTGCTCCATCGAAGGTGGATACCTTGCCATGCAGCCCACCTTAGTGGTCACAACCCCGGCCTGGACCCAGCTCCGGCTTCCCACTGTGGGGATAACCACGCACACAGCCCTGGTTCACAGCAGGCTTCCAGGAGCCCACTCAGATGGGAACCTTGGAAAATGCCTACGAAGGATTCCAAATGAACATCATTCCAAAGGTTCAAATAAATTCCATAACGTGTCTATGAAATGTCTTTGAAATGGGTTAGTGCCTATGAAATAGACAAAAATAATACCTCTTAAAGTACAAAAGGATCATAAAGTGTTTGCAATTCTTTTGTAAAATGTCAGGGATTATTCCCACATTTGCTCACTTTCTTCTCTATAGTTATCTTCTCAATCACTGGGAGCAAAGGCATGAAACATCTTTGTCTGAAGATCTCTAATTTTACTCACTGTAGTTAGAAGTATAATGATTTTGTTTGTTGGTTTTGTGTTGCAGTGTTCTTTGAGGAAGAGTAATATAACCGTTTTTCTTTAACTTTTGTCAAGAGCCCTTAGGATGTTAGAAACCCTCAGAACTTAAAAAAAAAAAAAAAAAAAAATCCCTGCCTGAGAGTCTGTAAGTTGCTACAGCTGTTGTTTCTAAAAATGCCTGTAACCCTCGTTTTCCAGAAAAGGAAAGTATAATACACATTTTTAACCAGTAACTCTCATAAAATATCTACTATGTTAACAGGATTTCACTAGATTATTAAAAATACACAAAAAAGCAACTATTTCCACATCTTAAATGCTCAAATAAATTATGACCTATCTGCACAGTGGGAGTTGTTAAAATACAGCTATTAAAATTATGTTTTCAGAGAATTTTTAATATTGGAAAAATGCTCACTATATGACGTCAAGAGAAAGTAAGCCGGATATTAAGCCCTATACACAAACTTCATTGTCCTGATGAAAAATTGGCTCATTTTAATGTAGTTACAATGTATGGAACACTCATTATATGCCAGGTTAACAGGCAAAACTCAGCTTAGTTTACCTCATTTGTTCTTTTCAAACTTTCTACAGGTAGATACTATCCCCATTTTATATGAGAACACTGAGGCTCAGAGAGGTCAAATAATCTGCTGTCAGCACTCTTGCCTGGTAAAAGTGGCATTTGCAGCCCAAGTCCCAGCTCTAACCCTCCATATTCAAACGTGCGGTTCCAGGACCCGAGCATCAGCACCAGACCCTGCCCCACTCGCACCTTCTGAATCAGAGCCTGAATTTTCTCAAGATCCCCAGATGATGCATATGTTCCTTCAGCTTTGAGAAATGGCTCTAAACCATGCTATAAAGAATAAAACCTCCGAGAAAATGCATTGGAATGTTAACAGTGATTAACTGTGATTTTACAAGTGATTTTCATTTTCTTTTTTACATGTTTTTATATTTCCTAAATGATTTCCATGAGCAAATATTTCATCTACAATAAGAAAAGTGTTGAAGTGAACATTCCATCTTCTTCATTTGTTGATACAATAGAACGTAGATCTACAACATCATAAATTGCAAAAAAATAAATTTGAACCAATTCTCCCCCCTCTGCCCCTTATCACCCCCACTCCACCCCTCACCACCCCCATCACCAAAGTCCAGATTTATGAAACGCAACCACGGATATTCATGTAACCAGGGGCGGGTGCGCTTACCTGGAGCTGTCTCTCCCCCAGGGTGGCTGCAGAGGCTGTGGCTGCACCTGGGGTGACGAAGGGAAGACTTCACCACATTCATCAGTTGGTTCAGGGGCTGGGCAAGTGAGTGGATTCAAGGATGGCATGCAATCCATGCAGACGGATGCTGGATTCTTGGGAGATGACAGTGCTGTCACAGCCTGATATCAGAAGCCTGTCCATCCGCAGCTGGCAACATGGCCCCCACATGCCTTCCACCCGCGCATGGGCCCATCCTGACATCGCGCTGCATGAGAGGCTTCGTGATGACAACACTGAGCACAGTGAAAAAGACCAGGCCAATGGCAGGCAGCTGTGCCGCTGCTTTTCCCCTCCAGCCATTGCCACGTCATCAAAGCAGCTCAAAAAGCACCAGGCCTCTTAAATGCTTTCTAAAGGGCCATTGCTGTGGTTGCAGACTTATCTCTGACTTGGTCCCCTGAAAGTGTTCTCCTTCATACTAAGCCTCTTGTCAAGTCCTGACACTTTAACTAGCATTGAATGGCCTGTGGGCTTCTCTGTCCCCAGGAAGGGAGCTCTGCCCAAGTGGCCATCTCCAGGAGCAAGCGTACGCGGTGCTGTCCACCCCAGGCCCCAGCCCCCACAGCATCCCATTCCCCACCCCTTTTATCCCCATGATATTGAAGGACAGGTTCCAGCCCCCCAGCCACAGCTGGTTCCCCAGGAGGTGGACACTTGGCCCAAGCCAGGCCAGCAAACCTCTCAGAATTTTTTCAGTTTGGATCTAAGAGATCCCAAGCCTCGTCAGCGTTAAGAGCTTTACAGTTAAAAAGGCCAGGAGGCAGCCTGACCAACATGGAGAAACCCAGTCTCTACTAAAAATACAAAAAAATTAGCCGGGTATGGTGGAGCATGCCTGTAATCCCAGCTATTCAGGAGGCTGAGGCAGGAGAATCGCTTGAACCCGGGAGGCAGAGGTTTGCAGTGAGCCGAGATTGTGCCACTGCACTCCAGCCTGGGCAACAAGAGTGAAACTCTGTCTCAAAAAAAGAAAAGAAAAGAAAAAAAAAGGCCAGGAGGTATCGATGGCCTCTTTTCCCTTCCCAAGCCAAGCGCCAGTCTGTCCAGAGAGAGCCTGTGAAAGGTGTTCCGATGTCTGGCCTGTCATTCCTGAGGCCTGCCTTCTGCAGGCCCCTGGGATGTGTCCGTCTCCTCCTGGGAGATGCTGAGGCAGCACAGCTGGCGTGAGTGGGTTTCTGCATCAAGCACAGCGTGAACTAGAGTGGATCCAGGGCAGGAGCCATCCCAGGGAAGAGACCAGCCGTGCCGACATGGACAGGGCTGGGGATCTCTGGATGGTGATCTGTGTCACCAAATGTGCTCAAAGAACATGTACAAATCTCACCAGAAAGAAACACAAGGTCTGGCGACTGGGTGAAAAGGTGCCTGCTTCTTTTCTGATGGGATGATGAAGCCCAGCCACCCTCGGTGGAGAGGTGTTTGAGCTGATTTCTTTCTCCTATCATCCTGTATTAGGGTGGCCCTAAATCCTTAAAAGAGAGTTTATAACAGCACATAGACACAGCAGGGATGGCCAGGAAGATGAGGCAGATTGCAGGTGCAGCCCCAAGCCAAGGAATGCCAGGAGCCCCCACAGCTGGAAGAGACAGGGAGTGGAGTCTCCCCTAGAGTCTGCAGAGGGAGTGCGGCCAACACCTTGACTGTGGGCTCTGGCCTGCAGAACTGCAGAGAACAAGTGTCTGTTGCTTTAAGCCATCAAGTTGTAGTATTTTAGTACAGCAGTCCAAGGAAGCTAGCACAGGACTCGCGTGCTGACATAGACGTTTGAATTGAGCACCAAGTCGTGCTGAGGACAGATATGTTGCAGTGTCAGCAGGAGGGACAAAGGCTTCTGAAGAATCAGCCACCTGAGACGAGTGATGAAAGATGCATAGGAGGCGGCCACTTTAGCAAAGACTGAGGCAGGAACACTGTCCTAATCGAGCCGTTCTTGAAAGGGCCAAGTGCTGGGGTAGCCCTGGGGCAGGATCTTCACAACCACCAGCCAAATGACCAGCTGGACCAGTGCATCCCATCCTAAGGTTTCTGTTGGTGAAATACATCAATAAACCTGCCACCCAGCAGCGTGATCACACAATGCTTTCGTCCAGGATATCTCACTCATTATAAAGGAAGTTGCAGTGATAGGAACTCCACGTAGACAACGACGCAAGGAAGTGACCAGAATGCCGTCTGTGGACATGGAACTGGGTGGCCCGAGTCACACATGAATCAGGGGACGGTCCCCTTTGATGCAAAGGGGTACAGAGGGTCAGGAGCTCCCCACCCTTTGCAGGAAAATGTTCTGTTCACAGAGCTCAAAATCATTGCAGATAGCAAGACACAGAGCTTCCGACATTGCAGAGGGGAATACAAATTTTCTGCTGGCCTTGGAACATCCTCACCACCTGGGAGGAGCGGAAATGGAAAGATCCTCTTTCTTGTTTCTCCCTTGCATGGATAGTCTCTTTCGGGGCACCTGTGGACTTGGTTTGGAAGTGCACTTCTCAGAGGGGAACCTGGCAGGAAGCAGTCCCTTCCCAGAGCAGAGAGCGCTGGCTCCCCTCAGCCATGGTAGGGCTGTGGCTGCCCCTGCTAGAAGGCAAGAGCCAGGAGGGCTATCCAGCCCTCTCACCTCCCTGTCTCTCACTCTCCCACCTCCAGGCATGGTGCCCCATCCAAAGGGGTATTGAGGGAGTGGGGACCCTGGAGGTGGCCAATACTCTATATCTGAACCCAGGCCCTGCACCCAGCACTTTCTCCGTGGCAGCTGGAATGCACACGCTGTCAGGATTGTGGATTCACAAGAAAGGAGTAGATCCTTAAAAAAAAAAAAAAAAGAGAGAGACAGGGCGCAGTGGCTCATGCCTGTAATCCTAACACTTTGGGAGGCCAAGGTGGGCAGATCACTTGAGGTCAGAAGTTCGAATCCAGCCTGGCTAACATGGTGAAACCCTGTCTCTACTAAAACTACAAAAAAATTAGCCAGGCGTGATGGTGGGCGCCTGTAATCCCAGCTACTTGGGAGACTGAGGCAGGATAACTGCTTGAACCCGGGAGGTGGAGGCACTGAGCCAAGATTGCACCACTACACTCCAGCCTGGGTGACAGAGTAATACTCCATCTCAAAAAAAGAAAAAAAGAAAGAAAGAAATGTGTCTTATTTTAACTGTTTTAGCTTTATTGGGGGAATAATTCACAACTAGAAATTGTGCATATTTAATTTGTACAATTAGTTGTTTTGATAGATGTACACATTGTGAAATGATCACCACATTCAAGCCAGGTGACAGACCCATCACCTCACATTGTTGCCTCTTTTTGTGTTGAGACATTAATTTTCACTCTCTTAGCAAATTGCAAGTGTGCAATGCAATATTGTTCCCTATGGTCACCAGGCTGCACATTAGATCAGCAGAACCTAGCTTGCACAAGGGAAATTTTGTACCCCTTGACTAACATCTCCCTATTTCCCCAGCCCCCAGCCCCTGCCAACCACCATTCTACTCTCTGCTTCTATGGGGTTGCCTCATTTTAGGATTCCATGCAATGCATATCTTTCTGTGTGTGGCTTATTCCACCAAGCACACAGGTTCTTCCATGTTTCTCCAGGTTCATCCATGTTGTGGCATGTGTCAGAATGCCTTCCTTTTTAAGACTGAACAAAATTCCATTGTATGCATATACCACATTCTCCATTAACCCACGGAGGGGCATCTAGGCCGTTTCCATCTCTTGGCTGTTGGGAATGAGACTGCAATGACCATGGGGGCACAGATAGCTCTTCAAGATCTAGGTTTCCATTTTTTCAGGTGTTTATCCAGTAGCAGGATTGCCAGATTCTATGGTAGCTCTATCTTTAATTCTCTGAGGAACCCCCATATGGTGCTAGTAAATTCCCAACGGAACCCCTGGTAGCACACACAGCCCTGGGTCCACCCTGGCAGAGCTGTGCATGCTTCCACCTGCCCCTTGGATCCCTCTAAGTCCTGAGTCACTGCAGCCTCACTGTGAGCCTGGCAGAGCTGAGCCTGCTTCCACCTGTCCCTCGGATCCCTCTAAGTCCTGAGTCACCGCAGCCTCACTGTGAGCCTGGCAGAGCTGAGCACTGCCATCTTGGATCCCTCTGAGCTCTGAATCACTGCAGCCTCACTGTGAGCCTGGCAGAGCTGAGCACGCTTCCACCTGCCATCTTGGATCCCTCTGGGCTCTGAATCACTGCAGCCTCACTGTGAGCCTGGCGGAGCTGAGCACTGCCATCTTGGATCCCTCTAAGTCCTGAGTCACTGCAGCCTCACTGTGAGCCTGGCAGAGCTGAGCATGCTTCCACCTACCATCTTGGATCTCTCTGGGCTCTGAGTCACTGCAGCCTCACGGTGAGCCTGGCGGAGCTGTGAACACTTTTGCCTGCTATCCTGGATTCCTCTGGGACCTGAGTCACCGCATGCAGCCTCACCATGAGCTAGTGTCTGCTCCACCTGCGGTTTTCAGACCCCGACCCAGGCAGGGCATCTGCAGACAGAGACAGGAATTTTGCCCAAACCAGATGCAACAAGCACATTCACATTCTTCTCCCCTGAGAGAATGCAGCCTTTGGAGCCTGTCACACTGACCCAGCTCATCAGGTTTGAGCCACCCCCAGGGTCAACACACTCAGGGGCAGGGAATTTGTATCCTTCAACCTAAGGGGATCTTTTTAGCTCTTATTTGTCCAGAGTCACAGAAGATGAGCAGTGGGGGGAGGAGGATGGTATCTCCGATTTTGTGACCTCACCCCTGCCCATTGCCCTGGGAGAGCATCTGCAATAAACCCACCCAGGGGAAGGTGCTGGGCACCCCCCAGCTGTTCCTCGATTTGCTCAGCATAAACACCTGATGGCCATTTTTAATTACCTTCCACGGAGCTGGTTCCCGAATGTCACCAGAGGGAAGACTGCATCCTAAAGTTTCTAGATGCCTCCCTGTCTGCTCCCAGTTCTCCTAGGAGTGGGCACCAGGTAGGTCAGTGCCCACCTGCCAGGGAACACTGCTTTTTGAACCATCCATGGTGAGCACCTTGAGCTCACCTCCTTCGCTGGTCCTGGAGATCCTTCCTCCACCCTGCCCGTCCTACTCTGCCCTTCATCCTGTGCCCCAACCTGGGCCCAGGATC
The DNA here is from genome assembly GCF_000001405.40 of Homo sapiens. Classification (NCBI taxonomy): domain Eukaryota; kingdom Metazoa; phylum Chordata; class Mammalia; order Primates; family Hominidae; genus Homo; species Homo sapiens. Next base: position 236,769,435 of record NC_000002.12, on the reverse strand, counting down.
TCATTGTGGCCATTTGTTTTATCCCAAGCCATTGTGCTGGGATAGGAGATATGAAGGTAAGACCCTTTCCCTCCCGCTCTCATAGCACCCATGGTCCCATGGAATGGATCCCATCGAGTCATGATGACTCCAACACTTACCTAGCTGCCCTTGTCTGAGCCTTGGGGCCAGACATCTGGATGCCCAGCTGCCATCTCTGTCTGATTTCCTGTCCCTCAGCACTTCCTGATGAAGCCCCCCTGCCCCATGTCCCTCCTGCAGGAACTTTTCTTTACCCACAGGACAATTCTAGACTTCAGATCCCCCTTTTTAGCCTTATCTCCCCTCCAACCACCCCACTGCCCCTCCCTGGACCTAGCATCTTATTGCAGATGCTCCTGGAAGCCCCTCCCTATTCCCCTTGGCTCCTTCCTCTCCAGGAATCTCCTCCTTCTGCCCCCGCCATCTAGAGCTCTGCTGGCATCTGCTCATCTGGGACAAAAAAAAATATTTTGAAAACCACAGCTATTTCTCATGCTAGGGGGTAGGGGAATAATAAGGCCTTGAGAGAGCCAATATTTGGCACAGAAAGCATGGAGTCATGGAGAGAGAAAGGCCAGGGCCTCTCACAGAAGGAAGGGCTGGGATGGTGGGGGATGAAGGCAGCCTGCATTGCCTGGGTGCAGAGAACATCATGGCTTCCACTGGGAGAGACACCCTGGGAGAGGACTGCACTGCCTTGTGTCCTGCTGATCAGTGGCCTGACTCTGGTCACTTGGTTCTAAGGCAGACAGAGGTCATCATCGAAGCCTGGGGAAGCTGGGGCACTTGGGTGACATTCCCAGCCCACCACGTGACCACTGCCTGCTCCTGATTATGTGCCTCATTCCTGCCACAATGTGGAGAAAACCTGTGTGGGTCAGAGAGGTATTTGGGCCAAATCCATTTTTCCACAATGCGGTGCCATACCAAGAGAAAAGGTTTCTGTGTTAAGGTGCAAATCTGGAATTGGAAGCATTTTTGTATTGTCAGCAGACACCATGCCCCTGGGGAGGCAAAGAAAGAGTGGAGGTTCTGAAATGAAGACACTCAGCCCTGAGCCTGGCATCATCTAGGAGCTCACCCAGGGAGCACCAGCCAGAAAGAGGGACAGAAAATTCGCCCTAAACCTCAGAGCTGGTGCCGAAATGTGGCTGAGTCCTGGGTGGGCCAGTGACCTCAAAGACAGCAAGTTTAACTCCAAAGCTGAACTTCACGTTGGCCGACACCAGCAGGCTCAGGCCAGAGGCTGGGATGGGACGGGCCCATAGGTCAACCTCAAGAGTTGGAGTCTAAAAGGAGGAAGGCAGGAAGGGCCGTGGGTGTCTGGAAGGAATTACTTAATGCAGTGATTCAGGTTTCCCCTGACCCAGGGATTCTTTGATGTGTAACCCATGACCTCCAGGGCTTCTAATTTCTGTATGAAGATCTCACAGCCTCCAAGGGCACGTCACAGCAAGAGGCCCTGGGGTTAATGGCCAGTGCAGACACGGACACAAGGTCATGGACCCATGGGCCCACTGCTTTCATATGCCATGGTCGTCTAGTCATGTGACACTGTGCTCCATGGTGCATTCCTTGATTAGAGCTGGAGAAGCACCCAGTGACAGGCACCAGGCTTTCAAGATGGCAAAGGGAGTCCTGCCTCCCAGCCTAGACAGGGAGGCAGCCCACAAGCACACAATTACAAAAATAATCCAGGATTTGTGCACCAGGTTTCCTCTATTGACCCAAGAGGCCTAATTTCTCACACCACTCTCCCTGCTTCCCCTCCCTGGTGTGGCCAGGGATCCAGGTCCCGGTTTCATTAACCCCACCCTGTAACTTTCTTGTGTTGTACACAGCACCCAGCAGAGTGCTGAACATGTCAATTAAAGCTTGGTGGGTTGCCAAAATTTAAAACTTTCTGCATCAAAGGACACTATTAACAGAGTGACAAAGCAGCCCACTGAATGGGAGAGAATGTTTTCAAATCATATATCTGATAGGGATTGATATCCAGAATATATGAAGAATTCCTACGGCTCAAGAACAAGAAAAACAACCTCAATTTAAAACTAGGCAAAGGACCTGAGTGAGTGTTTATCCAAGGAAGAAATACAAATGGACAATAAGCATACAAAAGGGTGCTCAACACCCTTAATCATTAGAGAAATGCAAGGCAAAACAACAATGAATTACCACCGCACACTCATTGTGATGACTATTATCAATTAAAAACACAGAAAATAGCAAGTGCTGGCAAGGCTGTGGAGAAACTGGAAAACATTTCTTTTGTACTACTGTGGGATTATAAAATGGTGCAGTGTGGAAAACAGTATGCCTATTCCCCAAAAAATTAAAAATGAGATGACTATATGACCCAGCAATTCCGCTCCTAGGTATATGCACACAAGAAGTAAAGCAGAAACTCCAACAGATATTGATACACCCATGTTCACAGCAGCCAATAAGCAGAAGCAACCCAAGTGTCCATCAGTGGATGAATAGATAAATAAAATGTGGTCTATATTCTTTTCTTCCTTAAAAATAAAGAAAATTTTGATACATGCCACAATATGGATGGATCTCAAAGCCATGTTGCTAAATATGCCAGTCACAAAAGGACAAATAATGTATGATTCCTGTTACAGGAGGTACCTAAAATAGTCAAATTCATAGAGACAGAAAGTCGAATGGTGGGTTCTAAGGGCTGGGGGAGGGAGAATAGGTACAGAGTGGGGAGGAAGATGAAATGGGTACAGAATGGGAAGATGAAAATGTTCTGGAGATAAATGGTGGTGACGCTGGCTCAATAATATGTATGTGCTAATGCCACTGAACTGGACACTTAAAAATGATTAAAATGGCAAATTTTGAGTTACGTGTATTTTACTACAATTTTCAAAAATTTTGGTGGGTTAAATTCAAGTAACGAATGTAAGAACAGTTTTGCTTTTGTACCAAGAAACAAAAGGAGTCACTAATCCATCCAAGGGTAATTGCTGTGTTTACGATCTCTGTTTCCCTCCCTCTTCTTTGCTGGGCTTTGTAGCATGTTGTTAAGGAGGTCTCTGATATTCCTTTGTTCCATGAACCAATTACCAGTGTTCACAGGAGAAAAGAAGCCCAGCTGCTATGATACCGCCTTAAGATGGACAGAGGGCTTCTAACATCAAAAGTGATGCCTAGTATTCTTGGCAGTGTTTATTTACTAACCTGCCTTGATGGTCCTGAGTCCCTGAATGGCAGCCCCAAACACCCACGTGTCTGGATAGTCCCACACTGGGGCAGAGTACTGTGAGCCTAATATTTACCTGTGAACCACATGGGTCAAGTTTCTCTTGCTTTTTTAAGTGCAAAACTGTTATAAAACTGGTCTTAGTCTTTTCATAAGACACACATTGAATAGAAAAGTTGACTAATTTTTTATTTCAAAACCTGGTTTATTCTATGCTAGGGTGGTCCTCATCACTCCGTTCTCTGATCCTGTTTATCAAGTTTTGCCTTTAAATGCCCTTCAAAGACTATTTATGGGAGTGGGTTTAAGGCTTTGAAGATTGTTTGTTCTTTCAAGAGATAGACACATTTAAAACCCCTGTCACTGGACCCAACTGATGTGGTCACATGGCTCAGTCCAGGGAGGGTGGGATTTGTCCAGCTAAATGGGAAATATGACAGAGATTAAACTCACTGTAAACAAGAGGGATTAAGAGCCCAGAGCTGGGGGGCAGGGTGGGATCAAATGGCTTTGGTTGTCAGAGAATAAAGGCTCCTCAGGAAGTTAAAGAAATGCCTTTGCAGAGCCCAGTGCTGTCATCTTAGGCTATGCTCATAAAATCAGCCATCATGTACTTAATGGAACCATAAAACAGACAAAGGGCACAGGCAAGAGCGTCTGCACTTCCAAAGCCAGAAAGAGCCAACGTTGAGGGCCAGCTCAGCCAACATCTCTAGACGCTTTAAGCTGGACACTCAATGAGCTGCCTGTCACTTTTTGGCAATAAAGGCCCACTAGAGAGTATGTGCAGCATCATGATCACTTCTGGAACTGGCTCTCAAGCACCTGAGGGTGTTTTTCTGGAAAGAAAACTTTAGGAAGAGGGTCTTTCCCAGTTGATTTTCTCAGCATGCATCTTCAATCACATACTAGCAGGTACAGATGTACCCACTACCACAATCTCTCCAGCACGAGGCTTTTTCATGGTGGGGTTAGGAGGTTGCAGGTACAGAGAGAGGGTCTGCACACAGCCAGCTGAGGGCTACACCTTGTAGGGCCAGGTATCTAGATCCTATGGCTGTGTGCAGAGAGTTCAGCCCAGGCCTGAGACCTCTCTGCCTAGCTGGCCAGGAAGCTTGTGGTCTCCTGTCTCCTTTTGAAAATAACAAAGACCAAAACAAACAAACAAACAAAACAGAGAACACCTCCACTAACACCTGGGTGCATAAACTTGCCAGTTTCAACATGAACAGGGAAAAGGAAACTGGCAAGTTTATGCACGAAGGCATCCCACGCCTTTGCTCCAGCTTTGTGCCTGGGAGCTGCTATGGCAGGGATGGCAAGGGAAAAGGTGCAGGAGTAAGGGAGATGGGCCAAGCCCTGGGAATTGGCTCTTGTGACTTGGAGGGCAGAGTCACTTAGCAACATAACCCTGGAGGTAAGAGCAGGCATTTTTTATGGATTTCCTAGCCTCATTGCAGAGGGAAATGGAGAAGCAGAGAAGGAAAGCAGAGGCTTAAGGTGTCTGAAAGGCACCTGTCAGGAACATCTGGAGGTCCCTGAACAAGGTCTGGAATAATCTGGGAGATCGCATGGGAAAGGGGTGCCGATATGACCAACATCAACCATCCCCACCTTTCCAACATCACAGATGGACACGTACACACACTGCAGCATCTGTTGCTTGCTGCAATTCACTCAGCAACCCTAAATTCGAACAATTCAAAGCAACCCCGAAGTCCCTAAACTGGGGAATAGATAGCTGTTATGTTGCAGCCACTCAGCTGTTATGTTGCTCGAGCTTTTGGGTTGAGCAGGGCATGTGCCACCTGAGTATCTGACATCCAGGGGCACAGGAATTGCACAGCAAAAGTCAGCTCCCTGTAACCTATGTGCCCTAAGTCTGCTACTTCAGATCAGAGAAGGCAAATGGAAGGCTTATGCAGTTAAAGGGAAAACTCTGCCCCTTAAGCACCTTTGCTAGGCCCAAAGCCTGACAAAGTGTGGTCTGTTGTCATCCCGCTTCTGAGAAGACAAATGCTGCACGTGGAAACCATATGTGGTTTGCAAAGAGTCCACCCATGTTATTTATTGTACATGATAGATGCTAGGACACTGCATCTGAAATTTAAGAAGAAACACCAATGACCACATCGCTAAATTCATATTTTCTAAAGAAGGGTGCACGAGGCACACACATTTTCCAACACCATTAGGAGCTCCGGGGCTGCCGCTAGTGGAGTGATTTGTGCAGCCTGCCTGGGCTGTCATCTCACCCAGTGAGTGATGAGACCCAATTTTTCCAACAGAAGGGACAGGCAGAGTAAGACAAAGAACACTATGTAAAATCATTAAAAATCAGAAACTCTTAAAATTATACTCTTTTTTACTGTTAAGCTTTACTGACATGCATATGAAAATTTAGAAAAATTGATGGAGTTTTAGGTGCTCTGATGCATAAAAATCAGCTGATTGTGTCAGGATACACTTAGCAAATGGGATTCACATGCTGGCTTTCATTTGCTTTATTCTGTGAAAAATGCACACGAAAATTTTCTATCACCTGCTCCCTGTGAAATTAAGGCTTTTCTCTTAAAAATGTGGCCAAGAACTTGGGAATCTTGTCCTTGTGGGAACAGTGCACAACCACATCCAGAAGGCAGCAAACCACTTTGCTGAATTTTCTTTACAAATGTCCAGTGAGGTAAACTGTTTTCAATGTGTTTCTCAAGACTTACAAGTACTGTATTCTATTTACTGCAGATATTCGAAACACATGGAAAGCAAGAAGAAAGATAGTTAAGGGGCAAAAAAATTAAATCTCCTGACGCAAAACAAACCTTTATTCGCTTATTCCCAAATTGAAACCACAGTTATGTTTAGAAGATGAAAAAGAAAAGAATAAACTTTGCCATCTCTGTGGCGTCTCCTAGTTAGAATTGCCGTGATATTGATGAGGGGCTCACTTTGCTGAGGCATGTGAGGCCCTGAGGGTGTGAAATGTGAGGAGGTGCTGCCTTGTGGGCTCTGCACATTGGCACCTACCCACCACAATGTCAGCATGAACCCAGGGAGCACAGGGACAATGCCAGGTGTCCTGGGGACAGTCGGCAGCATCCCAGTGACTTCCCCTCATACTCTTGGGGCCAGAAGGGAGGGAAGACCTTAAAGGGACAAATGGGGCCTGCCCTTCCAATCCTACATCTGAACCCTTATATGATTATGATTTAAAAAAATATGAAACGCATCCTCCCCTGCTTTTATCTCAGGCCTCCAGGATGTTGGGGAGCTACAGTGATGGGGGTTTTGTGGAGTCATCATCCTATGTCTCAGCAGGTGACGTCATTAGGCAGGGACCCAGCCATCCCGGAATCCAGGATTCTGGTCAACTTTATTGCTACTGCCCAGGGCAGTCACTCATCACTCTCTGTCTCCACGAAAGTTGCTCCACCCCTGACAACAAGCCTCTTCTCCATAAATCACCAATCCACCACACCCTCCGTGAATGAAAGGAGTTGAGAGCAGCCACCAGACACCAGTGCCTTCACCAACCCTCCACACATAGGACCCTCACCCACATCATCCTTCCACCCAGGACAGATTTCCACCGTCTCTAAAGCCGGCCTCTCTCTCTGGATCCTGGATTCCATCTCTTCCCAACACTCCAGGCTGGAATTCATTCCTACAAATGTTTCACCAACCACTACCACTGCCAATATGCCTTCAAACACACACTTCACACCAGCAATTTATCTTTTATTCAAACTCATATTCCAAAATATGATAAAAGTAATGCATGGACATGGTAAAAATATTTCACTCAGTACAGGAAGATGTTAAATGAAGAGAAAAAGTTATTCCTCCATTCCCCCTGCTCCCCACCCCACAGTGCAGAGACAACCTCTGTAAGCATTTCCGTTTGAGTTCTTCCTGGGGCTGTCATTACAGCACTGAACAATATACTTACACATCTGTGTCCAAGCTCATCACCCATGCCTGGTAGGCCTTGGCACTTCCTTCTCTTCTGAGAGATGAAAGGCACATTGCAAGTATGCTTCATCCCTCCACCTGCCCTAGATTTTGTTTTGTTTAGCATCTTTAGTGTTTCTCCTATTCACCCTCTGCACCTCTAAATTATATGCTTCAGATAGGAGTTCTCAGCCTTGATTGATAACCTGAGTGACACATGAAGAATTTTTAAAATACAGAGAAAAGTCCTTCCCTCCTCAGACCAGCTAAACATCCCTGGCATCTGTAGTGAAGGTTTTACATCATAGAGATGATTCTGATGAGCAGCCAGGGGTGAAAACGATGAAGGGAATTTTTTAAAGTCAAAAGATCAATGTGAAGGGACAATAGGGGCAGGTAAAATCAAGGTGAGAAAAATAAGAGAGAACACAAATCGAGAAAAACAAATGCAGTTTTTAACAAATTAAACACAGACATCATACGATCAACCAATCCCACTGCTCAATATTCACCCACAAGAAATGAAAACATACGTCCTTGCAAAAACCTACACACAAATGCTCATAACAACTGTAGTCATAATTGTCAAAAATTCAAAACAACCCTAAAGTCCCTAAACTGGGGAATAGATAAGCAAACTGTGATATAACCACACAGTGCCACACTACTCAGCAGTAAAGAGGAATTAACTGCTGATACGTGCAAAATCATCAATGAATCTCAAAAGCATTAGGCACAGTGAAAGAAGCCAGACCCAACAGAACACAGACTGCCTGATTCCATCTCTGTGACATCCTGGAAAAGGCAAGTGTGTAGGTCCAGAAAGCACATCCATGATTGTCAGTGGCTGGGAATATGGAGGGGAGTTGACTGTGAAGGAACGTGGTAGGGTAGATGCCACATTCTGCCCATTGACCGTGTTGTGCTGTGCTTTTCATTAAGGTTTCAAAAATGTTCAGAACAAGGTGGGTTGTCCTCTATACAGTGGACATGTAGATGTGTTCCTGGTTTTGTAGACAATATACTGTAAGTATCCTCACTAATGCTAGGTATGGATTTTGGGTAGATACTAATTATCACACAAGGGAAGTATTTTTCTATTCAATTTACCATAAGCTTTGGAAATAATTACATTTCCAGCTTTACCAAAAGCCTTCTTGCCATTACTTAGGATAATCATATGGCTTTTCTCCTTAGCTTCTAAACTAGGTGAGTTCTATGAATAGATCACTTGATGTGGAATTAACTGTACCTTCCCAGAGTAAAACCACAATTTTAATATATTATAAATAAAATATATTAACTATATTTTGTTCCTTTGTCATGCTGAGTCTTCTGTAGTTGTGGCCTACAAATTTTATTCTGTTTTAAAATCATTTAATAAATGAGATTTTTTTCTAGGCTTTATTTTCTCAGGTATGGATATCAGAATTGAACTTGTAATATCACTTTTCTTACACCTTAACAACACATTTTTTCTTTTAAGTTGCATCTTACTCATATTTCAAAATTAAGTAATTTTTCCTACTTCATAATTAATGTATATTTATTCAAGAAAGAAATTTGAAGTGCCGATGAGCAAAAAATACAATAAAAATTATTGTCCCCTTTTCCCAGTTGACATGATGACACTCATTTGGAGTAATCACAGCCAACTCTTCTTCTCTCTCTCCCTCTCTCCTTCCCCTCCTTCCTTCCTTCCTTTCTTCCTTCCTTCCATCTTTCCCTCCTTCCTTCCTTCCTTGCTTCCTTCCTACCTTCCTTCCATCTTTCCCTCCTTCCTTCCTTCTTCCCATCCTTCCTTCCTTCTTTCTTTCCTTCCTGCCCTCCTTCCAGCCTTCCTTCTTCCCTTCCTTCTTTCTTTTCTTTTCTTCCTTCCTTCCTCCCTCCTCTCCCTCCCTCCCTCCCTCCTTCCTTCCTTCCCTCCTTCTTTCCTTTATTCCTTCCTTCCCTCCTTCTTTCCTTTATTCCTTCCTTCCTCCCTCCTTCCCTTTCTTCCTTCCTCCTTCCTGAAACTTTCATGGGAACAGCCACCAGATAGAGTCAAGAGAGGTGGAACCCCAATAGCGGTGGAGTCAAGAGAGGCGGGATCCCAGGCTGTGTGTGAGAAAGAGCAGTGGTGGTGATGGCAGTGCCACTCATCCTGGGGCTACAGCTGGAGCTGGGTGAGGAGTCAAACCAGGAGGGGAATGGGGCAGCCAGGCACGGAATCAAGGGACTGGTTACATAAGTAGAAGAATACAAGCAAACTTATTGATGAGAATAGGATAATGGAGTTACAAATATGGGAAAGCAGTCCAGGCCGACCATGCAGTGTTGAATTGGAATTGAAGTATCATCATGAACTCACATACATGTTGGATCTAGCTCTGCCCACTAACGGGACATAACAGCAGCTACACCATGATGGCCATGAACACTTTTAGCACCCAAATGGTGGTGTCTAATTACTGTTCTCTACTGAAACGAACCACAGCCACTTGGAGAAATGACTGACTTCAGGACTGGTAATCTCATCTAGAAGCCAGGTAGAAAGCGCTTTTGCAGGCCAAATACAGAACAAGTTGAGCATTAAAATAAGTAATGATACAGTAAATTATGACCCACTGAATGAAATAGAATGATGAATAAATAAATAGGGAAAATAAAACATTTTTTCTTAGACTCTAAAGACAACTAATAAGCGTGGAAGGTATGGTAGAAGTAGAAAATCACAATTTTTGTCAACTGACATAGTAATGATTAATTCATTTCCCCAAATCAGTGGGTGCTAAAACTAGTAGGCAAAAAGTTCAGCCTGGGCACAATGGCTCACACTTGTAATCCCAGCATATTGGGAGGCAGAGGTGGGCGGATGGCTTGAGCCCAGGCTTTAGAGACTAGCCAGGGCAACATCATGAGACCTCCATCTCTACAAAAAAAGGCAAAAAATTAGCCTGGTGTGGTGATGCATGCCCGTAATCCCACCTTCCTGGAAGGCTGAGGCAGGAGGATCACCCGAGCCCAGGAGGACAAGACTACGGTGAGCTGAGATCACACCACTGCGCTCCAGCCTGGGAGACAGAGTGAGACCCTGTCTCAAAAAAAAAAAAAAGTATTTGAAGAGGGAGAGTATATTTACATATATCCTCCCAAAATACTTATCAATTACAAATGGAAATAAATTAGAGAAGGTTGGCACACACCAGCTTAACCAAGGGATCAATGTCAACACCACCAATAATTGGATGAATTGAAATCATTGGGCACCTGGTGGGATGAACTGAGGAGAGCCCAGCATTGCAGCTATGATCTTCTGCCAAATATGAATGATGGAATCTAATCATGAAGAAGCATCACACAAACCAAAACTAAGGGCCACATCACATCATAACTATCCTGCAACCGCCACAGGTGTCAAGTTCATGAAAGTCAAGGAAAGGTTAGGAAGTTGTTCTGGAATTAAACTAAAAGAGAGGACAAATGTAACCCATAATCCTAGGTGGAATCATTTTGATCTAAAGGACATTATTGGGACAACTGGTAAAACTTTAAAGAAATACAGGAATCAAAGAATAGTAATGTATCAACTTTAATTTCCTGACTTCGGTGGCTGTGCTATGGTTGTACAGGACAATGGCCTTGTTTGCAGAAAAAACATAGTAAAGTACTAATGGGTGATAGGGCACATGGCGCAACATCCTCTCCAATGGTTCAGGGACAAAGTTCCAAGTGCTGTTCTTGTAACTTCTCTGTCTGGTTAAAATTATTTCAAAATAAAGTGTAAAAGAATAAGCTCTAATTATTGTAAACATTCAACAATATGTATCCAAAAACTCAAAATCCATATATCTTTTGACCCAGAAATGCCACCATGAAAGATATATCCTGAGGATATAATCACAAACGTCTTCAAAGATTTAGCTTTAAACTGTTCATCCGGAGTTATTTATAGGTTAAAAAAAATGAGAACCAACCTACACACACTGTAGTAGGATTTGGGGACATAAATTATGATATAACAATGAAATGGAATACTCATATAGCTATTAAGGAAGATGTTTGAGAAAAATATTTAATGGCTTGGAAAAATGTTTATGTTATATATTGAGTGGAGAAAGCAGATTTGACAACAGTATATCCAATGTGTCCCACTATTGAAACAGCAGAAAAACAAGCATCGTGTGTGTGTGTGTGTGTGTGTGAAAGAGAGAGAGCAAGAGAGAGAGGTGGAAAGCAAGTAAAGTAGATTCTTTACTACAAAGAAGCCCAGAGCCCTTAGCATGCCAGTGTGCACAGCAAATCTCCAAAGTTGGGATAGGTAAGCAGTATTTCCCAAATGTATTTGACCTTAGAGCATTTTCGGCTTCAGAACCTCTGAGCCCAGTCTGGGCTTGTCTCTAGAAATTCCTGGGACTTTGAGTGCTCACTTTTCTTCCTCTTAGTACCCTTTCATTTGCTCTCACTTCAATTTCCTTATTTATCCTACTTTTTCCTATTATGGTATTCTGCTATATGTGTGTATCTTTGTAAGTTAACTCATATTACTTTTCAAACACAATGCATAGGATTATAAATAATAATTAGCAACAAGAATTAGACCATCCTGGGGAAGGTCCAGGCAGCCTTGGGAAAGCTTTGAGGAGGGAGATGAGCTGGGGATGTCTTTTTATTTCATTTGGGCACCATCCTTCAGACCAAGAGCTCCCTCCAAGTTCCTGAGGGAGGTGAGGGTTAGGTGGGGCTCTACTCCTCCCAATGCCCCCTCCACTACCATCCAAAATTCTATATTTTGGTTTGAAAGGTTTCTTACTCAATTCTAACTTGAAAAGGCATGAAAACCACAGACAAGAAGTGTGACCTTGGCCCTATGTTACCTGGGCCCTGTGTCTGGCATGGCCAATAGAAGGGGCTGCTGAGTGACCATCAGTCCAGAAACGGGCTAAAGAGTGGATAAACATATTGTAGGATATCCATAAAATGGAATCCTATTCAGTAACAAAAAGAAAAGCCTGATATATGCAACAACATGGATTAATTGAAAAAACAATTATACTGAGCAAAAAAAAAAAAAAGCCAGACACAAAATACTATATATTGTATAATTTCATTCCTAAGAAGTTCTAGAAAAGCAAAAACTATTCTATGGTAAAAGAAATCAGAACTGTGGTTGTCATTGGGTGATGGGTGGGGACTGACTAGGGAGGAGCACAAGAAATGTTTCTGCAGTGCTGGACTTGTTCCATCTTGAGAGGAATGTGGGTTACATAGGCAGGTGCAATAGTCACCAGTCATCGAACCACACACTTGCGATCTGTGCATTTCACTGTATATCAATTAATCAATTATACCTCAATTTAAAAAAACAACTGGAGAGCCCGGGCACAGTGGCTCACGCCTGTAATCCCAGCACTTTGGGAGGCCAAGGCGGGTGGATCACAAGGTCAGGAGTTCAAGACCAGTCTGGCCAACATAGTGAAACCCCGTCTCTACTAAAAATACAAAAATTAGCCAGATGTGGTGGCAGGCACCTGTAGTCCTAGCTACTCAGGAGGCTGAGGCAGGAGAATCGCTTGAACCCAGGAGGCGGAGGTTGCAGTGAGCCAAGATCATGCCATTGCTCTCTAGCCTGGGCAACAGAGCGAGACTCTGTCTCAAAAAAAAAAAAAAAACTGGAGACACAATAATTTTTCTATTGATCTTTCAGTCCACTTATTTTTTTCTCTGTTTAATGGGATCTGCTCTTTATCCCATCCAGAAAATGTTTTATTACAATTATTACATTTTCCAGTTTTTCATTCTAAGAGTTCCACTTAGTTCTTTTTTATTGTTTTCATGGCTGATGAGATTTTTCTCTTCTTTGCCAGTTACACTCATATTTTCCTGAGCTTCTTTAACATATTTACTATAGGTATGTTAAAGTCTTTGGTAATTCCAGTATGTGGATCATCAGTGGGCCTGTTTCCATTGCAGATTTTACTCTTGACTGTGGATCATATTCTCCTGCTTCTCCCATGCCTTACCATTAAAAAAATTGTATGTTGGACACTGTGTCTAGAAAGTAAAGGCTGAAACACACACACATGTATGAAATTCACCATCAGACGGAATGTCCTTTCTTTTATTACATATCTCAGGTGAGGAGCTGATTAGTTAAACTCCTTGTGTTTAAACATTAAGGCCCTACAAAGGCATAAAAGCCTTTTAAGGCCTCCTAAAGGAATACAATCAACTCAACTCCAACTGGATCAAGGAGATCTCTCTTTGCTTTTCAGCTTAGCCTCCAACTTCCTCAACTCCCACTAGACTGGTATCTTTGATTTCATCTGAAGTTGAATTGGGTGGAAACCTGCTTGCAGCTTTGCTTAGTTGCAGCCTCTCTCTCAAGAAAGGCTCTGGGCTTAAACTCCTCAATATTGCAAGATCTCAAAATGATAAACCTTGAGGCTGTGAAATCTCAAGACTGTTAGATGGAAGAACAGCCAGTCACATGACTTTGCTATCCCCAACCCCTGATAACTCAGAGGAATTCCCATAGGAGAGAGGCAGACAGAACCCTTAGCACACTGGAGTTCCTCCACAGCCAAACCCACACACAAGCCTGGCTGACTGGCAACATTTGCCTGCTTTCTCCTTGATTTGGCGAAGACTGGCCTCTGCGGGGGGCTTGCTCTTTTCCTTGCTGGGCCTCAACCTCAACAACTGGCCCTTGATCATGCAGGAAGGGCTGGTTCTTCTGGAATTTAGCTTTTTACACATTATGGGTGTCAACAATTTCACAAGAGTGTTTGATTTTGATTTATCTAATGGTTTCTTGTTATTGCAAAAGGAGAGGTCTTATGTTTCCTTCTACAGCTTATTTTCAGGCACAGCTCCCAGGACAGTACCATCCTGTGCCAAGTATTGATCCAAACATATTTTTCTATATTAACTGAATCCCTATAGCAAGTCTCTAAGAAAGATAAGACGCTTGAGCCTCGAACGATGTGGAGGTTAGGGGTACCAACCCCTGAGCAGTTTAAAATTCACACATAACTTTTGACTCCCCCAGAATTTAACTACTAATAGCCTACTGTGGACTGGAAGACTTACCAACAACTTAAAAAATGAGTTAGCACATGGTTTGTATATTATATGTATTGTATACTGTATTCTTACAATAAAGTAAGCTAGAGACAAGAAAATGTTGATAACAAAATCATAAGGATGAGAAAATATATTTACTATTCATTAATTGGAAGTGGATCATCATAAAGGTCTTCCTCCTCATCCTCATGTTGAGGAGGCTGAGTAGGAGGAGAAGGGGTTGGTCTTACAGTCTCTGGGACGGCAAAGGTGGAAGGGGAGTCAGGAGAGAAAGGCAAGCTTGGTGTAAATTTTATTTAAAAATATCTGTGTGTAAGTGGACCCTTGCAGTTCAAACCTTGCAGTTCAGTGTTGTTCAAGGGCCGACTGTGTTATGCGCACTCTAAATATGAACGCACAGAAGCCGAGAGAGTCAAGTGGCTCTGGCAGGGTCCAGGTAGTAAGTGGAGGAGCTGGCATTCACATCCAAGGCCCCTCCTCTCCTGCCTCCGCTTCCCCCAGTGAGGAATCCAGGCAGCTCTCGCATAGGCCCAGAAGGCTGGATGAGGACAAGGCTAGTTTCAGGAAAACTGAATAGAATGAAAGACCCAGGGGACTCCAAGCATGTTAGGAAAGGACAAAGTTCTATATTGAACAGCAAATTAGTGAACCAAACAGTGAGGAACAAGTGCCAGGGCAAGGCCAGGACGAGATCAGGCAAGAGAGGAGGGTGCACGCACACACTCTCAGGGTTGGGGACATTCAGGATCTGTCCTGTGCCTGGGAAACAGGCCATTCATTCCCTGAGGTCAGAAGGAGTCATGCTCAGTGAGCCGAGTAAGGGACTCACACAGGTGCAGCCTGAAGACAAGTGGCCACAGCTGGCAGAGGCTCTAGTCGACTGTGGAGCATCTCCTCCCAAGGCAGATGCCATGTTGCAGCAAATAAACAGAGACCAGTGTTCCATGTAATCAAACTGGATAAATCACGGCCCCCAGAGACTCTCTCCCCAAATAGATCCCTCCCTTTTCAATGAGAGAAAGCCTGGCTTAGGCAAAGCCACTGACTTAATGTCTGCCAATGCTTTGATATCCTTGCAGTGGGCACATTCGTAAAGAAACAAGAACTTTGATTTCAAAGATGGGCATATGAGCTATTAGCAGTTAGAATGCATGTGCATTTTTTAAGACAAAATTTTACACTGATGTTTGACCTCAAAACCTGACCCTTCTAAGATAAACAATAGGGTGAAAATTCATTGTTTTCCTTCACCAGTGCATGAGAGAAAGAGGGCATGGAGTCATTGCTGGCAAACGTTTGAAAGAGCCTGTCTAATTAATCCAATGCCCTCTCCCCCTGACTGATGGATTAAGAGGAAGTGACAGATGTCATCTGTGTTGACTTCAGCAGAGCTTTTGATTCTGTTCCACATGATTTACTCATCAACCCAAAATAAACAGGCCTCTGCCTCACAGCTCAGAGGTGGGCATGAGAAGCTGGGCGCCTTGGCATTTTGGAGTCTTATGAGTGGGTTCTCTCTCCGTGGGGGGGTCCCAGGAAAGGCTGTCTCACAGACCAGGTGACATCAAAGGGAAGTCTTGAAGAGTAAGCAGGAGAGAGGAAACAGGGTTCTCTGGAGAAGAGCTGGCTGGAGATGTCATTCCCTGGGGACGGAGAAAGCACATATCCTGCTTCAGTCTGAGCATGGAAACCACTTTGGGATAGGGCTCAGCCCAGATGCCAAGCCTGGGTCTGAAGGACAGTGAGGCCGAATGGGAATTAAGTACTGCAGGGACCCAAGGACTCTGGAGGAGGGGGAGCCCTCAGGTGACTTCGTTACTCCTGTTTAAATCAGTGCCAAAATAAGGGATTTGGGGCGGGGGAAGGAGACGGAGGCACACTCACTGCTTTTTGGATGCCTCATTTTTGCCCAGATCTTTTTACTCCAAGGTGGAAGTAGTCAGTACCAGACAGTGGCCCTCCAAGCCCAAAAGCCCAAAAGCCAATGTGGGGACCAGGAACAGGGTAAAGAGCCCCCAAATCACACTCCAATTCTGCCACTGATGCAAGGGGCTGTGATTCTAGGGACCCAGACAGTGATTCTAGGGACATGAGGTAGGGCCAGTGTGAGCTGTCAGGGGGTATGTTTGATTATTCAGCCCTTAATTCCACCTGTGTCTCCTGGAGTGAGGAGGGCTTTGGGGGCGCTGTTCAGTTTGCTGAGCTTTCCTGCAGGGTCTCAAATGCACCTGTGCAGAGAGTCCAGGCAGGAAAGGAAATGGGTAAAGTAAGCCAAGGAGAAGACAGCAGAGGAGGGGAGGCTGCCATTAATTGGGGAGAGGGAGCCCCCACTAATGTGGTCAGCACCACTTACCTCCAGCAGACTGTGGCCTTACGGGAGAATAACTTGGTCCTGATCATCCACATTTTCAGAAAAATATTCCAAGTTTAAATTTTCTGTGAAGCCTAGCAAATATTAAACATTGACAACTCCTTTCAACTGGATGGCCCACACCAAACCGGTCTGTGAGTCAAGTTCAGCCTAGGGGAGGCCAGCTCCTCACTCCTGGCCCAGGTTTGAGGCGCACGGGTCCTGGGGTTCCCCAGCTCCACCAGCAAGACAAGCTCCTGGTGCCCTCTGCCACACTCAGCCTTAGAAACGGCCAACCCTTGACCCTGGTCACTGAACAACTTCTCAGTGACTTCTGCCTTGGAATCTGAAATAAATGAAAGATTGCACAAAGAAAACAAGAAGAAAATTCAGAGGATTGACCACAGGAAGGGAAAAAACCTAGTTTTTCGACTAGTCCCTGTGTTGACTAGCAACATGTGCACAGAGGAAGCCAACCATAAACTGAAGTTCTGTTGGGCAGACACATCCCTGGCTTTCGGCCCACGACAGGGCTCAGAACTTCTGTCCCGCTGGGCACCCCTATTCCTCCAAATCCTGGAACAGCCCCTTCTCTTCCAACCTTTTTTTGTGTGTGTATTTATAAGGCGGGCATACAGGGTGTTGTTTTGACATACACGATGTAATGGCTACTACAGTCAAGCAAATTAGCGTATTCATCACCTCGCATAATTACCGCTTTTCACGGTAAGGGCGCCTAAAATTTCTTCTCTTAGCAACTTAGACGGAGATTTAAAATCTTACCATCTGAAGTCAGCTCCCCCCAATTTTTTTTTTTTTTTTGCCCCAACAGTGCTTTTAAAAATGTGAACAAATGCTAGTATTTAAAAACTGGTAAACTACACATAGAAATCCAGATTCTCTTGAAAACTCCAAAGGCCCAGATCCCACACCCCGGCCCTCCCTGCCCCAGGGCAAAGACACCAGAGCTGAGTGGTCACCTCTTTCCTTGGCAGAGGTCCTGGCCTTTCCACTTTACCCAGCCCCTACCTGGGCTGCTTCGCTGCATGCAGGGAGGGCAGGGGTGAAGAACTCAGACTGCCCAAGCCAGGTTGCAGAATCTCTTTGTGCCTCGGTTGATCTCTCTGTAAAATGGGAGTGATGGCATATCACCTCATATGACTGCAGGGTGAGTCGATGAGGTAACGCAGGTGAAGTGATTAGAGCAGGACCCAGGACACAGGAACACAGGGCGGGGGTGGGGCGCCGTCGGTGTATACCATGTGTGGCCTGCATTAGCATCAGGCAAACCCCTCTTTAAAATATGAGAGGCTTGAGGCTCTGTGCTGGCTTTCTCCTCTGCCTTTGTAAGCTCTCCTCCAGACTTGTCCAAGGCTAGATTGCTGGAGGCTGGTATTACATCCTCCTGCTAACAACTGTCACATTTGTGTCTCTGGCCAGGCATTCCCCCTGAGCACCCAGGTTTCTCCTGGTGCTCAGGACAGAGAACTTCTCTGACTTCTCTGATACCTCTTCCAGCATAGCCGCCAACATGCTTGACATCTCCCGTGGGTGGAGCTACAGTCAGAATGTTTGTTTCCCCCCAAAATTCATACATTAAAACCTAACCCTCAAAGTGATGGTATTAGGAGTGGGGTCTTTGGGAGGTGAGTAGATCGTGAGAGCAGAGCCTCATGAATGAGATTAGTGTCCTTATCAAAGAGGCCCAAGAGAATTCCCTCACCCCTTCTACCATTTGAAGACACAGCAAGAAGGTGCCATCTATAAACCGGAAAGCAGGCAGGCCCTCGCCAGACACCAATCCTGCCACCACCTTAATCTTGGATTTTCCAGCCTCCAGAACCATATGAAATAAATTTCTGTTGTTTATAAGCCACTGAGTGTTAGGTATTCTTTACAGTAGTATGCATGGGCTAAGACGGAGGACTGAAAGGCACATCAGACAGAACTCTGAGTAAGTCTTGCCTCATCCCTTTCCCAGTCCTTCTTCCTTTCTCCTGATCCCTTTCAGAGCATCTGACTCCTCCATTGCCAAGTCTACAAGCTGGTCAGCCGGTTCATTACCAAGTCCTGTCCACTGGACCTCTCAATACACCTGCCCTCTGAAGCCTCACCTTCATGACTCACCTGGATCCAGCTTCTGCCTGCTGTCTTTTCCTCCAACTCCAGACCACGCCAATCTCTACACAGTGTCCCAACTGACCCTTGAAAAAGCCAATCTAATATGGGATAAGTCTAGACCAAAGGCCTGGGTTTCCCGTTGCTTTTAGGATGAGGAGTCATGTCCTTGCCTGGTCTTCAGCCCCTGTGTGCCTTAGCTCCACCTACATCTCTCTGTGCTCACTGTGAGGACTCAGGGTCTCCCTCCACCTGATTTGAGGACTCAGGGTCTCTCTCCACCCAGCGTGGGGACTCAGGGTCTCTCTCCACCCAGTGTGGGGACTCTGCTTCTCTCTGCCCAGTGTGGGGACTCAGGGTCTCTCTCCACCCAGTGTGGGGACTCTGCTTCTCTCTGCCCAGTGTGGGGACTCAGGGCCTCTCTCCACCCATTGTGGGGACTCAGGGTCTCTCTCCACCCAGTGTGAGGACTCTGGGTCTCTCTCCACCCAGTGTAGGGGCTCAGGGCCTCTCTCCACCCAGCATGGGGACTCAGGGCCTCTCTCCGCCCAGTGTGGGGACTCAGGGTCTCTCTCTGCCCAATGTGGGGACTCAGCCTCTCTTTGCTCAGCGTGGGGACTCAGGGTCTCTCTCCGCCCAGTGTGGGGACTCAGGGCCTCTCTCCGCCCAGTGTGGGAACTCAGGGTCTCTCTCCACCCAGTGTGAGGACTCAGGGTCTCTCTCTGCCCAGTGGGGGGACTCGGCCTCTCTCTGCTCAGTGTGGAGACTCAGGGTCTCTCTCCGCCCAGTGCGGGGACTCAGGGTCTCTCTCCACCCATTGTGAGGACTCGGCCTCTCTCTGCTCAGTGTGGGGACTCAGGGTCTCTCTCCACCCAGTATGAGGTCTCAGGGTCTCTCTCTGCTCAGTGTGGAGACTCAGGGTCTCTCTCCGCCCAGTGTGAGGTCTCAGGGTCCTTGCATGAGCTCTTTCCTCTCCTGGGAATTCCTTTTGCTTCCGGGCTGACACCAGTGATCCTGGAGGTCTCCATGTGAATGTCCCTTCCTCAGGAATCCTTTCCTGGCCATTATTCCTCAGCAAGCACACTTTCCTCTCCTCAAAACTCTTCCCACAATTGTAACCAAACACCGACTTGTGTGAAGCAGGTGATTTGTCTTCCTGCTGCACTGTGAGTGCCACGGGGGCCTGGAGCACGTCTCCCTGTGTGTCACCAAACCACCAGTGCCTGACTCAGAAAAAGCAGCTCAGAAATATCAGGGGAATTGAATAATTCATCCAAATATCAAATTTCAAAAGCATGGTGCAGAAAAATATCAGTGGCTTTCATCAACCACACACTAAAACATTAGATGGGTCTAGATGCAGGCATAGTTACAAATGTGGCGTCCCCACGGAGGCATGGCCCCGTCACCCTGGGCACCAGCCAGGCCACACCCTGAGTATTCTAGTTGTACCATTCTTCTTTAAAAAGATACTGGTTGAAATACATGTGGACTGGGACATGCTCTCCCTTCTGGAGGGTAAGGTAGCCCACATCTTACTTAATGCAAAGCGCTGCTATTTCCACTAAAGTTTTCAGGAGCCTAGTTCTAGTTACCTTCATACAATGCCTGGCCCACTGTAGGTGTTCCCTGAAAGTCCAGGCAGCAGGCCAGCTGCAGCGTGAGCAGCTGCAGGGAGGGAGCCTCAGGGCTGTCCCTGAAGGAGCCAGCCCAGCCTGGCCACCTCCAAAGCCCGCATGCTTCAGGGGAACATGAGGCGCTCAGCCCTCCTCTGGCTCAATTCAGGCAAAACAGGAGAAAACGCATATAACGTTAGCCTGGGGGACCTGTCAAAATGCTTTCCAGCCTTAAGCTTCTGCGATTTTAAAATTGTCTTGGGCTAAATGGTCAGGACTCAAAGGAGGGATTGGGAGGGTTGGGGGATGCTTACAGTCGGGACCCAGCCCGTCCTGGAATTGGACATAAAACAGCCAATTGAAGGAAAAGAATTGGGAGGCCCTGCTGGGATTCAGTCATAAGAGGAAATGAAACCAAGGGAAATTATTTAATACCGGTATTTCCTAATCATAACTTTTTGCTTCTTTGAACCGCCCTATGGGCCAATCTCATTGCAATCTTGCATTGAAGGAGGAAGAGGGTGGAGGAGAGGCGGTTGCTGCGGCATTTGGCTCTGCCTCAGGGTGACACTTCCGAAGGAGGTCCCCACCAAGCCCTGTGTCCAGAGCTGGGAGCGTTCTGAAAGGTAAACCCAAGGTCAGAGAATGACTCCCCAGTGCAGAAGAGAAGACGGATGACTCCTGCAGTACCTGAGACACCACCTCCTGAGCCAGCCACTTCCTGCTGGGGGCCTGAAAAAGACAGAACCAAGACATGAGGGATCTGGTGGTGTTTCCTGGATGTCTGGGGCTTGGGGATTCTGTGTGCATGGTAGAGAGGGGGTCCCAACTCCCAAACTCCAGCAGCAGTGAGCAGAGCTGCACAGGTTGTCCGAGCAGAAACAGGAGAAAGGAGGTCTGTCCCCATGTGGGGGCCTGCACGTCTCACACCTTCAGTGTGTGGGCTGAGGATGAGGCCTCAGGCTGCAATGAGCATGCTGTCCCCAGACACTAATGTCGGCTTTCCCTTTGCCCAGACCTGGACAGTCACTCAGGTGTGGGGTCAGCGCTGAAGCACCGGCTGTTTCCTAGAAACACAAGCACACCCTCAGGCCTCCCTCCCTCTACAGGAGAATGTAACCAAATATTCCATTTCTCCAGTGGATCTGTGTGCCAAGGGAAACTTAACTGCCACTTGGAGCATAACTGAAGGGGTGACAAATTATTTAGGGGATATTTGGGTTGCAAGGAATATCCTTTTAAAAACAACAAAGTGCCATCTTTTGCTTTTATCATGATGGCACATGGTGGGGGGGAACTACATTTTTATTTGCTTGTTGTTGGGTACAGAGTTGCTTTCACGTTTCTCCTTCTCACACAGGTCCAAGTGCCCAGCCTCCCTCTGTCACCTCCCCATCCCCCTGTCAGAGCACTCAGGCCTGTCCCCAGGGAGTTCTACGGGCTCCCTGCAGGCCCTCTGAGGGGCCTCCCATCCCACGGGACCTGCCTCCATCAGCCTCATACAACTTGCTTTGCCTCTGGCCACTCTGATCCGCGCCCCCACGTTTGCAGCGCTTAATTATGTGTGGACTCCTGTGCTTGCTAGTTCAAAAAAGACCCTGAAAATAATCCAGTTTAACCTCTTCATTTTAGAGATAAAGACACTAAATTAAGTAGGTAAGGAATTTAAGTTCCACTCAGGGTCAACCCAGACATTTAATGGAAGAATAAAAATCAACCCCCTCATCTTCCCATCACTCTCTGCCACACCACGATGGCATCTGACTGTTTCATGTTTATGTCAGATGCACCATTGATTTGATAAGGGGCTTTGACAATACTTTTTAAAATAGAAATAATAAGGAAACACTTCCACATAAATGGAATTGCATCCTGGATTTCAGAGAAATGCTTAGGTGAGGGGAAGAGGGGTCTTGCGATCCAGGAAATGTCCTTCTACAGCCCTGTCCACTACCCAAAGCCTCGCCTGCCCCACAGCCCCGGTGCTGAGATGGGGTTCTGAGATGGGGGGACCGTGTGTGGTGGTCCTGCCAGGTAGATGGAGCGATTCGCTAGTGTGGCTCTCGGGTCATGACCCTCCCTGTTGTGGGTCCCAGGGGGTGGGTTATTGGAATTGCAAGCTCCCCGATGTCTGGCTTTGCCGGCACCCACCTGCAGCCTTGCCATGGCACTGTCCCCTCAAGCTTCTGCTTAGAGGCTGTCACCCGGAAGAATTGCTGAGGCCAGCCCTGCCTCTCACCTAGGGTATTGACGGTCATTGTGAAGAGCATAATGCTTTCCACTAATCCATCGAGATGAGGCAACATAACAGCACTATTCCTATCCATAGAAATAAATAGAAAGGAGCTGATATCCTCATCTCTTGATGTGATGGGGCTACATGCTTTGATCATCGAAGTGCTTCTGTATACTTGATCTCAAGAGGGGAGAGCAGTGCAGAGGGAAATAGTCAACTTTTTTGTTTTTGTAAGTAGCACAGTAGACTTTTTTAATGATTAAATGATTTTTTTCCAGATTTGATAAAACTGAAAGGAACTTTTGTTTTCTGTTTCTGTTGGGCTGATTTAAAGAAGAGATGAAATTAAAAAGATAAATAACAACAACAAACAACAAACAAAACAGTAACTGGGAAAGCTTCTAGAAAGCCAAGGGTATCTTTTCATCTTCCATCCTAGCTGAATCTCCTACTCTGTCTTCTGCACTGATTTTCTCTTTCTTTTATACCTTAGACAGGGTTCTGCCTAGTCCTATTTTTATATCTTTACAAGACACAAGATTACAGCCTACTCCCCATTTTAGGACTCGAATGACACTTTCACTATTTGACATTTGTTTTGGTCTGTCGAGCTAAGAATAATTTGTGGGAGCCCAACAGCTGATTTTAATAAAAGAACCATGGAAATAATATTCGAAACAAACACAAAGCATCAGCCATCTCCAGCAAAGGAGCTGGCATGCAAATCCAGATTATCTTCCCCACCTGGCCACCCTCATGCTGGCCTGGGAGCTCACAGCATTCAGCACACAGGTTCAATCTTGACGGGATAAGCCTGCTTGTGTTTCAGAGCTGGGTGGCAGACAGGCCACTGGTGCAATTCTGTGTCTCACGCCCTGGGGGATTGTTCACTGTGCCTCAGCCCTCCTACCAGAGAGCTTATTCATGAGACAGGTATGTACTTGGGCAAACACAGAAAGCAATGCAGAACACGATTAGAAAAGCAAATCTTTTGCCTTTTCTATTTAGAGCTGGGGATGAAGAGGAATGTGTGTACCTTTGTCTTAAGATACACAGAGATACCATCAGTCTGGAGGAATTACTAAAATGAATTTATTTAGAAGACACAAACTCCTGGTATAAATTTTGTGAATTTTGAACTTTATTTTTAGATCCAAAGTAAAGTAATCTTGGGTTCTAGCCTAAGAGGCTTCCAACAGTTCTATATTCTTATACCATTCTGTCCAGAGCAGGAGTGGCAGCCCAAGGAGCTATGGAGCCTGGCCCTCCTCTTTCAGATCTCCTTAACACCACTTTCCCTGCAAATAACCTTCCTTGTTAGTTGGGACTTGTTGGGTCCTTGTTAGTTAACCCCACAAAGGCATCTTAGTTGTCCAACCGAACATCAAGAAATTCTAATCTAAATTAGAATTTATATTAATTATTTAAGTTTCATTGCTATTCTATTAATAGAAGAAGAGAGATGCACCCCCCAAATCTACCACGACTAATCTAACAAATCCCCAATGATTTTTTTCCGAGAAATTACTGCACTAGCCCTTCAAATCTATGTGAAATTTCACATTGATATAGTTGTGTGGATCTATTTTCCCAGATTACTTTTTTAGGAGGACCATTCAGAAAGTTTTATAAAGCCCTCCTAGAGACAGGAAGAGGGAAAGTCACAAAGAACTGACAGAAACAAATTCCTACTTATGTGTTTCCTGAAATTATCTACCCTTGAAGACGCTCTCCAGCAACCTAAGAATGGTACTTTAAGAATATCTCTTAACAAATATCTAGGTTCTAAATGGAAGCAAATGTTGATTTACTCCTTTGGTGATAATGTCTACAAATTCTGTAAATAATTCACATTCTTACGGCTATTAATATTGTAAAGACCACCCAGGTTGATGAATAGAAGTTTTTAGCTAGAAGAGAAATAGCAACTGTGGCTTGGAGGCTAAATTCCATTGCAGAAGCTCAGCATTAAGGAACATCTTCCAGGAGACATGGGGTACCTGAGGGTGGGGAAGGGGGGAAGTCATGAATGTGTGTTCAGAAACCCATGGCAGGGACACTGAGTGGCTGTCCACCCCACCCCAGGCTTGTGTGAATGTTGTGTTTATTCTTAGCCTTCAGAGCAATTAGCCAAAGTTCAGTGATGAGTGGAAATCTGGGGCAAACACCAAAATAATACATTTAAAGGGAATAACCTCAAAAATGCAACAAGCTGCATCTCTCTGTATCTCCCTAGAAACTATTGTGCTTTGTTTTTTCTGAATGAAGCAATTTTCCTTTGCATCTCTAACCATGTTTTGTTTTGTTTTCCGCTTTTTGGCAAAGAAAGAAGAATCTGCAGGCCTTATTAAAGCACTGATAAATGCACGCAGCCCCTCTCTTTTGTCTCTTGGCCAAGGTGTCTGTTGTGGGGGTCTGTGCGCTGACTCAGCAACCGCACACAGTAATTCTCTCCAAGAGAACAGTCAATGGTCAGCAACTTCATATTTGTGGTCAAAATGAAGCGCTTAAGAAATGTCTACAGCTAATGAAGTACAGCTGACATGCAGAAGCATTCGTGAATGGGATGTGTTGGTGATTTTCACGAAGCATTTTTGTATTTGCAGGATGAATTTTGATTATTTTCATTCAGAGTTCTTTTTGACAGCCCTGAGAGTGAATTCAGTAGCATGGTGTTCTTTCAGTACCAATAGCTAAGAAAATCAAAGGGTTGTAACTTAGGAATCTGAGGCATATTAAAAGCCAAAGGTGTACAGCCCAACAAAGCAATTATACAATTCCTCAGCTCTGCAGGCTTTGGCATGATCTCCTTTTTCAAACCATGACATAAATGAGAAGAGACAGAAATGGTGCCCAACAGACAGTGATGCCAGGTTGCAGCTGGATTTTCTCCTCCTATCCTTACCCATGAACTTGTATCTTAATAGTCTAACAGAGTTTTAAAGAACTGCGTGTGTGTCCCCTGATATAGTAAGAATGAAGATAAATCTCTTCTTTTCTGCTAATGACACAGTTTTATTATCATGAACTAGGAGTGATCTCAAAAGATCTGACCACAGCCAGGAAGAATGAATCAAGCTGAATTATGTCAGACCTAAAACCATTGTTTTTGCAGACAATCTCCACAACTCATGGGTCGCCACTCTGTAAGTTCATGAGCTAGTTGATGTGTTAAGCTCGGTTGTCCTGGTGAGAGCCTCCACATCCTTAGCTGCTCCAAGACACGTAAGAGAAGCTATCTCCGGAATCTTCCTAGGTCTCCAGTGACAACAATTGGTAACACTTACACTCTAGATGTTCCAGGTGCTAATTGTCTCTGCTGGACTCCATAAAGTGTGGAACTCTGGGGTCTCACTAAGAACAAGATTTAAAGTCAGACGAGTTCCAAAGATACTTCCTGAAGAGACTCTTGGATTTTGCCTGTGACAGCCCTCCCCAGGACGAGGAAGGCAGCCTCCCCTTGGGACAGCACTCTACGGACTTCTCAGTGTTGGAAAGAGCTGGTGGGTCCTGCCAGCCCACCCCTGGATTTCCTAGTACACCAGCTGTGCTCCGTCAGCAGTGAGGAACTGCAGACCTCAGGCCTTTCCAGGGAGCTCCAAACAGGTCCCAACTAAAAGAAGTGACGTTGAGCCGTGGACACAGCTGCCCTGTGTCTCTCTTGCTTCCCTCAGATTAATCTCTGGATCGCATTAAGATATCAGAGGCTGCATACTCGGACGACAGAAATTTAACCTAATCCAGGATCTAATTTATTGAGTTACACTTTCATGCCAATGCCTGGCCTTTGGTTCATTGCAAGAAATTGTCATAAGAAAATAGCTCTTAGATCTGTTGTAAAAACACTGTTTAGGCCTTTTCTCATTATGTTATCCATCGTCCTGCAGTGGAATTCTGGTTTTAATAATTCATTTCCAGAGACAATTGAGTCAACCCTGAGGAACTGAAATACTTCCTATTTTCTGAAAATGGAAACCATGTCATATAACTTTTTGCCTCATTTTTCTCTCTGTTTTTTTGGGATGCTCAGAAACAAATGCAATGCCTATTCTCAATGTATTGTCCATTCTGAGGAATACGTTTTCTTCTTCTGTTTCTGGGTTCTTGCTTTCTAATTTGTTTGCTATACTGTTAACCTTTGGGGCTATAGGCCCTACATCACAGCCAAGCTTTTTCGAAAATAGTGTATTTTTAAAAGTAGCCATTTACAGTAGCTTCTAGATTTATGTAATTAGTGGTGAGAAGCAGTGAAGATAATGTGCCATTTCTGCTCTTCTTACAGGGACTCCTACAGGGAATTCCTACTCTTCATATTTGTTCTCTGCTAAACCAGAGGAGACACATCTTGCTCTAGAGTTCCCCAGAACCTGCTCTTCTGGGTCAGCCTCCTGCTGTCTTATTCTTCCATCTTTTCTCCACCTATGCCCAAAGCACAACCAAGGTCACTTTGTTTCTTGAGCTGAGTTCACGCTGGAGCATGTGAGTACATATTTGCTTCCACAGCCTTCTGAGTCAGTCACATGGGCTGAGATGTAATGGAGTTTCTCCCTGCTGGAGTGGGTCTTGTGTATTTCCCATAGGCTGGTGATATCTCATTTCCCAGTGGTTTACAGATCTTCACATGGAAGGGCAGGCTTCTGTTGGAGCTTCCTGGCTGGAGCACTTGCTCGAATGCAATGGCTGATACCCGCAGGTACAAGACCAGTCCATGGAAGCACATTGATACTCTATAAGATACTGATTTTTCTTACCCTTAAAATATTACTATTGGCCCAGTGCAGTGGCTCATGCCTGTACTCCCAGCACTCTGGGAGGCGGGCGGATCACGAGGTCAGGAGATTGAGACCATCCTGGCCAACATGGTGAAACCCCATCTCTACTAAAAATACAAAAAAAAAATTAGCTGGGTGTGGTGGTGGGCACCTGTAATCCCAGCTACTCGGGAGGCTGAGGCAGGAGAATGGCGTGAACCCGGGAGGCAGAGGTTGCAGTGAGCCGAGATCGCGCTGCTGCACTCGAGCATGGTGACAGAGCAAGACTCCATCTCAAAAAAAAAAAAATTACTATTAGCAGTTTGCATCAAAATGATTGCATTCTCAGCAGATATGGAATGTCCTGGAGGTGTGTTTCTCCAGAGTCTATTTCAATGAAAATTCAAGAGGAGTGTAGAATTAGCCCCTAATATAATCTCTACCAACAGTCCATGAAACTATGTATGAAGCTCCCTTGAGAGGTCAGACAGGGTGGGGGGTCCAGGGGAAGAGGGGAATTGAAAACTTACATCATTACTTAAAGACTGCACTGCAGTGTCATAAATGCTGTTAGCAGCTCAGGCTCGCCTCACCTCTGCATCTTAGGAAGGCGTCTCAGAACAGATATTTGGTTGCACAGTAAATCCGATGAAATGTTGCCTTCAAGAGACTCATTAAACAAAATGACTTGGAAAAGTGAAAAAGCAAAAGCATATATCAGTCATTTAGGCAAAATGAAAGGAGGGACGGCACTATCATTGCATTTAAAGCATGACTTGGTCATTTTATAGGAATTAAATACACAATCCAAGACAAAGACATCATAGCCATGAACCTTCATTGCTTTGTGATATAGCCCTGAATTATACCAAGCGAATCCTGTTCAAATATCAAGAGGAAATAGACAGAAACACAATGGATGTAGAACTTAACCCACCATTTCCATGTGTTGAGAGGCAAGGAAACACACAATATAAAATCACTTGGAGAAAAAGGCCCCGCCACAGCAACCTCATGGCCCTGAGTGGGGTGGGCTTTCCTGCTCCAGCCCTGGTGCTGAAGCAACGTGGAGGCCCTGCAGCTTCCTCCACGCTTCCACACTGAAAAGCAGGGTTAGTTTAAAAAAAGGAATTACAGTTCTGGAGGGAAACATTAAATCCCTGAAGTTAGAATTTCCTGGTGAGTACCTGAAGAGAAGGTGCCTTAGGAGTGAGTGCCCTATGGGGCCATAGTGGGGCCAGGCTGCCCCTAGGCCTAATCCACCTCCCCAGCAAGCCCCCAGTGCTTGAGAGCACCAGGAGCCTGCCAGCCCTGCAAAGCCGTCCCTCCCCTCACCTGCTGGTCTCCCTAACCTCTCCAGGCACTCAGAGGAGCCTCCCCAGGGGAGCTCTCAGGCCTTCCTGAGAAGGAGGAGAGGCCTCAGATAGCACTTCCTGCAGCACGGTCCAGCGGGAGGTGAGATGTGGGTCAGGTCCGGGGGGAGTACCCGGATTGGTGATTCCGGGTGTAATCAAAGGAGATGGGTTGGATGTCTTCCTCAAAGATGAGTGTGACCCGAGCCAGGTCCCTTTTTCTATCTTTGGTTTTCAAATACCAGGCCTGTCTCAAAGTAATTTTATAAAGAAGGGAAAAAGGAAAGAATGGTAATACACCCAATGAAAGATTAAAATACTGCTACAATAACAAAAGAGCTCAAGTCTCCTGCTAAAATCTAAAGACCCCCAGTGGCTTCCTGCCTTGCCAAAATCCTTCCAAAGATGATCACCTCCTCCCTCGGTCACTGCTCCATCCTTTCCCACTTCTCTCCAGCCACACTGGCTTCTGCTTTCTCTCCACACTCCGGTCACCTGCGTTTGCTGTTCCATTTGCCTGGAATGCTCTTCCTGTACATCTTCCCATGGCTCCCTCTGTCACTTCCCCTTCCATGGCCACTATGTCTAAAATTACAGCCTTCCCAACACACACACACACACACACACACACAAACACACACTGACCTACTTCCTTCTTACTTGCTCTGTTCTTCTTAGCATTTAGCACAATTCAACATTTTGGTTTTTATTTATTTTGTTTTCCATCCTTCCAACCCCACTGGAATATAAGCTCCATGAAGAAAGAGTTTTTTTATGGTTTCATTTTTTCCCCCAGCATCTAGATCAGTACTGGGCATGTGGTAGCCCTGAGGACATGGTAGCACTCAAGAAATATTTGCTGAACAAATGAAGAAACTTACTGTAGACCTGAGATATGTGGGTACACCCTTATTATCATAGTGCTTAGACACTTGCATCTCTGTTTGTTTTCCTTGGTTCCTGGCCATTGAATAGTCTTGACCCAGAGAGACACCATTTTATAATGGAAGGCACTTCTTGAGAACCAGAGAGACCTCATTTCTCATGATCTCACTGTGCAGGACTCAGGTAATTCCCCCAAACTTCTCTGGACAATTCCTCATTCAATTGTAAATAACAATTATAAAAAAGGAAAACAGCTATCACCTTGGGCACTTATTAATAAATCAGACACTGTGCTAATTACCTCCTGATGTTCCTGCAGGAAGCTCAGGGGTGAATACTGTCATTGTGTTATTTTACAGATAAGGAAATGAATTATCAAAGACAGTAAGTCCTTTACCCAAGAGCCACAGCAGAGCAGCAACACAGCTGGGGCTTAAACCAAGGCAGTCACACCCCAGTGTCCATACAATTGTTACTAGACAATGTGACTTCCCTGGGAAAGGGGTCATTTGGGCTAATGTCCTTTCCAGCTCTAAGAATTTCTCTCTGCCCAACTGTTCATCTACCAACCCATCCTTCCTCCTATCCACTTACCCATCTGTCCATCTACCCCCCACTCATCCACACATGCATGCATTTACTCATCCATCCATCCATCCATACATCCATCCATCCTTCCATCCGATCCACCATTCATCCATCCACCTATCCACCCACCTATTCATCCATCCATCCTATCCATCACTTATCCATCCACCTATCCATCCACCCATTTATCCATCCATCCATGCATCCATCCATCCTATCCACCACTCATCCATCCACCTATTCACCCATCCATTCACCCATCTACCCACCCACTCATCCATTTACCCACACATTCACTTGTCCACCCACCCATCTATCCATTCATTCATTCATTCACTCATCTAACCATCCATCCATACGCATATCCACTATCCACCCATCCATCCATCTACCCACCCACTTATCTATAATACTTACACATTCATTCATCCATCCATCCATCCATCCATCTATCCATCCATCCTTTCACCTATCTATCCATCCATCCATCTATCCACATATCCATCCGTCCCTCTATTCTGACACCTTCCTACCTGATGAACTATATGTATCAATAA
Source organism: Homo sapiens (assembly GCF_000001405.40). Lineage (NCBI taxonomy): Eukaryota > Metazoa > Chordata > Mammalia > Primates > Hominidae > Homo > Homo sapiens. Next base: position 236,738,731 of record NC_000002.12, on the reverse strand, counting down.
CTCAGTAGAAATATTAGATACATCCTTCCAGTCAGAGAAGCCACTCCACAGTGCATGTCCTACTGGCGGTCAGTCATTGGTGACATCTTTGTCCTCAAAGAATAGTACATCATGGCTTCATTAGCTATACCAATAATTTGGAATTTGAGATGACAGAAAATTGGCCAGAAACACAAATAAACAAACAAACAAACAAACTAACATGAAACTCAACGAAGCAAGAAATACAAGAGCTAACATTTGGTGGAAGGAGAGTAAGGGAGACGTATTTTCAGTATAGACAGAGCGGGAGCTGTCCATGCCTTCAAATGTATTCAATGTCTGGATATTTTTTTTAAATTAAGGATTAGATTGGCAAAACAACACAAAATATAGTTTAAAAGGGGGCAAATAGAAATAATTACCATCCCCTGCAAGTGTTCACCATGGGTGGTGGCAAGCACATGCTCCACTCTCTACCCTGCACCGCCTGCTCGGGGGAAGCCTCAAAAGTGAGAGACACGTGGCCCCTACCTCAAGGAGCCTTCAGTTCTTGGAGAGGAGAAAAAACATGCTTGGTCACATGAAAAGATGGCAGGGAGGGGTGGGAAGGAATGGCACAGGCATCGAAGGCAGAGACAGAAGGTGACATGTTGGGAAGGCTGGGGACAGTGCTGGGTCTTTATAGAAAGGGGGGACCTCCTAACTTGGAGATGGGCTGCCCCAAGGCATAGCTTTGCTGGGCACTTGGAGAGGGAAGCCCAGCTACCAGCAGTCCTTGTCCCTGCCAGTCCTCATCCTCACCTACAGTAGCAGGAACCAAAAGGCTGGGGAACTGATCCTCAGCAGGTTCCCCGTCACCACTCACACAACCCTCAAGGTCAGAGCATGGCAGGAGAGGCATCCACTCCATCCTCACTCACTAAAGCCAAGCCCCAGCCTGGGGGTGCCCAGCAGCTGCTCTGTGCCAAGGGTCCCAGTGCAGGGGTCAGAGCCCAGTGTCCACTCCATACCCTAGGCTTCAGGGTGCATTTGTTGTCCTGTTTCACTTGTTTTCCTGCCCATCACGAGGTTACCCTTAAATCCTGCTGAAAGCACAGGAGTTCAAAATAATACCCTTGCCTTTCTTTTGTGCATATATATATTTTTTTACTCTTTTAGAGCAAATAAATATTACTAAAGTTTGCAATTAGATATTTTCCTTACAGCACAGACTTGGATTCCTTTAAGTGTTGGGGTCTCAATAGCCCCTTGGACTTCTCATCTTTGGGCTACTGGGCCTAACACACTTTGGCCCTTAGAGGAGATGCTGTAGTTGTGTGTGTGTTTGTTTTGTTTATTCTTAAAAGCAGCTTTATTGAGATTCATATGCATACCCTACAATTCACCCAATACACTTTTAAAGTGTACAGTTCAATGGGTTTTTGGCATATTTGCAGATAAGTTTCATCATCACCACCATTAATTTAGAGCACTTTCAACACCTCAAAAAGAAATCCTGAACCCTTCAATTATCAACACCTTACCCCTCTTAAGCAACCACTAACCTCTTTCTCTGGAGATTTGCCTATTCTGGACATTGCATATAAATGGAATCATGGAATATGCAGTCTTTAGTGACTGGCTTCTTTCACTTAGCATAATGCTTGCAAGGTTCATTCATACGGTAGATTTATCAGTACTTTATCCCTTTTTATGGCTGAATAGTATCCCATTGAATGGATATAACGTGCTTTATGTATCTATTCATCAGGTGTAGACATTTGGGTTTTTTATACTTTATGTCCATTATGAATAATGCTGTCATAACATTTATATACAAGTTTTTGTGTAGATCTGTTTTCATTTCTCTTGGATATAACACCCAGGAGTGGAATGAATGGGTCACATAGTAATTCTGTGTTTAATCATTTGAGGAACTTCCAGACTGTTTTTCAAAGTGGCTGCACCATTTTCTATTCCCTCCAGCAGTGTATGAGGGTTCCGATTTCTCCAGGTCTTTGCAAACACCTGTCACCATCTGACATATCGATGTGTTTTGAGTGATGTCCTAGGGATATCTAAGGATAGGAGAGTCCCACAGAACATGAGAAGTGAGCTCAGACTCCAAGGTGGGGATCACTATCCATAACTCACAGCCTTCCCTGCAGATTCCACCAGCCATATCCCATCGGTAGCTTCCCAGATTCCTACTGCCCATTCATCCCTTCCTCAGCTTCTTTCCTTGGATCCCAGTTCACGCTTTGGCGCTTCCTGCTTTTGAAAGCTCCTGTGTGTATCTGACTCTGGTCAGTCCTGACATTGCCCTCAACAGCACACTGCAGATGTGGGCACACACACACAGCCCACACGACTAACCAGCAAGGTGGGCTTCCCCCCAGCCACCCCCTGCCCTGCCACATACACACCCACCAGTGGAGAAGGCAGGAACAATGCTAAAACCCAGCAAATGCTTTCATCTGAACAGGCATCAGCTCTGTACTGGGCTGAGTCTGAGTGGATAGAAGAGGATGAGAGAAGAAAGTTGCAGGGCTCTGCTGACAAAGCACAGGTGAGACTTTCCATCCATGGTGATGTCAGCTGGTGGGGGCAAGGCAGGCGGGGCTCTCAGGCTGTATTCATTCCTGTTTAGCCACCTTGGTGAAAGTTCACGGATAATGCTGATTGAATTATTTTGCAAAAGGAATTCAAACTTTCTGGATTTTACTATCAACTTGAACTGTGTATCATGTTTCCCCTTTTAAAAAGCATTACTGCTGATAGGATTCTTTTAATGGAATTATCATTGACCTCTGGTTCAGTTAGACTGTTTGTATGAACTTTCAACAAAGTTACAAAGGAGCGTTGCCCGGCACCCTCACACGTGGCCCCACAGTGACCAGGGCCACCTGCAACCGGGCTGCCCTAGCAAAGGGAGGAATCTGGAAACAAAGAAAATGGTCCTAATCCTTGAGAAAATTGGACCACAGCCTTTCCCAAGGAATATCCTTCAGAGCAGTAATTCCATAGGCCGGCGATAGGTAGTGAGTAACCAAGAGCCCGGTGCTCAAGCAGGCGTATAAATCACTGATTAAACACAACTTAAGTAGGTTTATTTACAGCAGCTTTTTTTTCTTTTAGTTTTTAATACTACAATGTGAATTACGAATCTCCAGGAGGAGAATATAATATGCGCTGTTTCCGAAGCTCATCTGACTACAAACTGTGTTTTAAAGAATGTCTGGTAGGACTGCGTTTTCATGGAACACATTTTAACACTAAATTACATATTAGTAATACAAACTGGAGACAATGAAATTTCATGACACTTTCCAAATGAGAAGATAGAGTCTGTCCTTCTTGTGCTTGGATCTCAGCCTAGCTGCTCTGTTCTGCCTGTGTAGTGACTGTATAATATATAACATATTTGATGTAATTCTATTGCTTGAAGAATATTGATGCCCTGATTTTGTAAACTTCATAAGGCATCATTGTACAGATACAGCGTTTTGTGTCAAATACCATGCTTTGTAAAGAAACAAGTTTCTTCTCCATCATGCAGTTTAGAGTGTTCTTCCCCATTCCCGGGACTTCTGCAAATGCCATTCAGAGTGGGAACATAGGAAAGCAACATTGTCACCTCACGGTGCAATCACAGCCTTTAGGTGTCATTCCCAGGAGGGTAGGATGAGTAACTGACAAGAAACGTGAGAAGCTTCATTTTCTTAGTAGAGAGCAGCAGGCAAAGCTATGGCTCTCAATGCTAATTTTCTGGGTGGCCACAACAGACCAGTTCCCGTGGGTCCCAGCCTATCAGGAGAATGGCTTCCAGAGTTGACCAACCCACAGACATCCATGGGAAATGCATGGAAACCTGTCAAATTAATGAAATTGATAGATGACACAAAACTGGGAAGAAAGACCAATGTACTATGTGACTGTATTCGTTTCCTTGGATGTTGTAACAAAGTACCACAAAGGGGTAGCTCAAAGCAACGGAAATTTACGCTCCCACAGTTCCAGGTGACAGAAGTCTGAAATCAAGGTGTCTGCAGGGCCACCTCCCTCTGAAGGCTCTAGGGGAGGATCCTTTCCTGCCTCTTCCTGGTGTCTGGGGGCTGCCAGGAATCCTTGGCATTCCTTGTCTGGCAGCTCCATCACTCCAATTTCTGCCTCTGTCATCACGTGGTATCAACACCTCCTGAGTGTCTCTGTCTCTGTGTCCACACTTCCCTCTTATTTTTATTTTTTATTTTTTTGAGACGGAGTCTCACTCTGTTGCCCAGGCTGGAGTGCAGTGGCATGTTCTCGGCTCACTGCAAGCTCCGCCTCCTGGGTTCGAGCAATTCTCTGCCTCAGCCTCCCGAGTAGCTGGGATTACAGGTGCCCACCACCACGCCCAGCTAATTTTTGTATTTTTAGAAGAGACGGGGTTTCACCATCTTGGCCGGGCTGGTCTTGAACTCCTGACCTCGTGATCCACTCACCTCGGCCTCCCAAAGTGCTGGGATTATAGGCATGAGCCACCACGCCCAGCCCCATACTTCCCTCTTCTTATAAGGATACCAGTCATTGGAATAGGGCCCACCCTGTTCTGGTATAACCTCATCTTAACTTGATGACATCCACAAAGACCCTATTTCCAAATAAGGTCACATTCACAGGTACACAGTTGAAGGTGGAACATGTATTTTTGGGGGACATAACTCAGTACAATGACCAAGGGAAAGTCTAGAAACATCTTGATAACTGGAGCGAAGAATAAATGTAGAGAAAGACATTCAATAGTGATCATTAAAAAATGTGCACTTGGGTTCAGACATACACTTAAATGTGTACAGAGTGAAAAAGATGTGACTGAGAGAGGCATGCACGTGAGAAAACTTAGGCACCTTCACAGACTGCAGAGCTGCTAGGGACTGAGCCATCTCCTGCTGGTTAACGATGCCCTGAGCATGATGTCTGGATCACCTCAGCTCCATTACAGAAAATCCAAATCCAAAGTGCCAGGTTTAGCTACAAACACGAGGCCTTAAGGACACTAGTAGACTGAAGGAGGTTCAAAGAGCATGTCCAGGAAAAGTTCAAAATCCACCATACATGAGAAGCCATGGAAAGAAAAGATGGTGAGAAGCAGAAGGGGAAAACCCAAGACTTCAGGAGAACGAGAGAACCATCTTCAAATACTTACAGGGCAGCCGTACAGAGCAGGGTGTGGACCAATTTCCTGTGCCTGCAGATTTAGGGTCAATGACAACAGGGGGCTGTATGGGGGGCTTCAAAATACATTCCAATTTGGAGGCTGTTGAAATAGAAGAGCCTCATATGGGAATTCATGTAGAGAGGGCCTCCACGCCCAAAAGCCTGGCATTGTCCTTGATTCAGGAAAGAATAAAACTTGGAGACTGGAATTGGGAAGGCTTCCTGCCTTACTCAGAGAAGGCTCTCGGCACTGCTGTCTCACAATGCTGGACTCACGCCTTCCATCCCTGGGGCTCAGGGCTGCAAATTCAGCTGAAATAATGAGGACACTTTCCCCCAATCTGAAAAGTGGCAGGGGAGGAGGGAGTAAGGAGCCCAGGGAGAAGATTTCCAAATACATGCAAATACATGCACACAGAAATACATAAATAATAAGTTGTATCTGCCTGAAAGTTACCACCTACCTCTTATTTGTTGGACATATTGGGATTCTGGGTAAGATGTTGGTTTGTTGCTTACATTTTTAAAAAACCATTGAGTCCTAGAGAAATGAACTAAATCTAACCATATGCAGCACAGTAGGATATTAAATACGTGAATGAGAAAAATACTAAAAAGTGAATGAATGGGTTAGGGAGTAAGAGAGTGAGGGAATCCCTTCCTCTGCAGGTTGCGATGGTCCCATCGTGCACCTGAAGATGGCAACTAAAGAGAAAAGGTGTCGTTTGAATCTCTGGGCCCACATAGAACCTGCCCAAAGCAACGTGGGGCTAAAGTGTTCCCTGCCATGAACTCTGGCTTAGACAGGTGGACTCCCAGGAAGGGAGGCCAGGTAACCACCAGGAAGTCACTAGCCACTTTGAGTCACTGGCTGCCACATAAGACATCCTTGGGTAGACTTCAGTGCATTTAAGGCTGGAAACTTACTCTCATGCATTATTTCTTGTAATGTCATTTACTTGTTCTCTTTAAACTTTTTTAACTCTCTGCCCCTTTCCCTCTTGTGGCATCTCTTCCAGGCAATGCAACAGAGCTTCTATTTCCTGGCAGATGGACCATGAGCCTGGGCCAGAGAATCTGGTGCTGAGCTGCTGCAGTCAGCTGAGCTGCTTACGTAACCTGAAGGCTCTCCTGGGAGGACCATGCTGTGAAAGGCAGCTCTGGTTTGCTTCCCCTCAGATAATGTTTATATGGCCTTTTGGTCAGAGAAGAAGCAAAGATAATCCCCCTGACCCTCAGGTTGAGGAGACACAGATCGGCCTTTGCTGAGGGTAGCACAGCAAATGAGGATGCATCTCCCAGCAGGTGACGTGCCCGGTCCTGTGACTCATGCCCTTTATCCCAGTAAGTGATCTGGCTCTGGTAAAGTGCCCTAGGGAGCCTTGCCTGGACAAGGAGCACCTCGTGATAGTCTGCCCTGTGCAACCCGCTGCTGTTTCTGACGAGGTTAAGCTGGATTCAAATGCTAGGTGACAGGACCTTGCCTTGCACGATGGTTTCTTACCCCACAATATTCATCTCAGGGGTGAGCAGGCTAGCAACATTCTTGGATGACATGGCCATTCTGGTGAGATGGTAAATGCCTGGGGCCTGGACTCTGAAGATCTTCACGAGGTCACTCCCGCATGACTGTCCTGAATAGGCAAAGCAGTCTGCCTGATGTAGCCACCCCACTTTCTAGGGTCAATGACCCATCTGCGGCTCCCAGCCTGGGAGTCCTAGATGCTTAGATTAGGTTCTTTTTCTCTCTTAGGGTCAAATGCAAACAAAAATGCTGTGAGACGCAGGACATCAGGGGCATCCCAGGGCCTGAATATTCTTACTCTGACCAGAGCCGGCTCCGGGCAGCTGTCAGCCATGCCTTAAAAATCAGAAGTCTGCACACTTTTTCCGTAAAGGGCCAGGTATTAAATCTTTCAGGTTCATGGGCCACATGTGGTCTCAGATGCAACTACCCAGCACTGCCATTGTGGCATGGAAGCAGCCATAGAGACTTTGTAAATGAATGGGCACGGTGGCATTCCAATAAAACTTCATTTACAAAAACAAGCCATGGGCTGGATTTGGACTATGAGTTATACTTTGCCAACACCTGGTTTAAATTAAATCTGAACTTCCCTCGGAGGTGGACATATTCCCCCTTCTAAGTTCTCTCTTTTTTTTTTTTTTTTTTTTGAGACAGAGGCTTGCTCTGTCACCCAGGATGGAGTGCAGTGGCAAAATCTCAGCTCACTGCAAATTCTGCCTCCCAAGTTCAAGAGATTCTCCTGCCTCTTGAGTAGCTGGGATTACAGGCACCCGCAACCATGCCTGGCTGATTTTTGTATTTTTACTAGAGACAGGGTTTCACCATGTTGGCCAGGCTGGTCTCAAACTCCTGACCTCAAGTGATCCGCCCGCCTCAGCCTCCCAAAGTGCTGGGATTACAGGCGTGAGCCACGGTGCCTGGCCTTGCCTTCCATTACTAACCACTTGCCTGAAATGCTATTGAAATACACCTCTTAGTGGGTGTTTGGATTTGTGGTGCACAGGGGCTGCCAGATCGAATACAGGACACCCAATTAAAATTGAATTTCAGAGAAACAGCCCAGTGGCTATTTTTAGTTTAAGTGTGTCCCTTATACTAAAACACTATTGGTTATGTATCTGAAATTCACATTTAACTGGGCTCCTATCTTTGTAATTTGCTGAATCTGTCAGCCCTGGGTGCATTAACTCTGGCTTGGGAGGTTGTGTGCAGCCAGCACAGGGACTGAAAGGGCCTGAGGATGACCCGGGGGACTTGTTCTCTCTTAGGAAGCCTCAGCGCAGATTTAGCAGGACCAATAATGGGAAGGAAGAATTGTCAAGGTGGGAGAGTGGCTGGGCATACAGCTCCTGTGACTTCACGGGACAGTGCCCGGGGATGTGAGCCAGGCCACCGAGCTGAGCTGGCAGCCCCAGGTGACCCAGAGAACTCCAGCCGGCCTGCTGTGACCCCAGCCTTCCCTGCCGCAGAGAGAAGCCAGGTCCGTCTTCCAGACTCACAGTCCACCAGCAGTTTCTGAGGTCAAAGATTGTAATCTCATCGAAGCAACGGCCTCCTTGTCACAACATTGTTACCCTCTGCTGTTTTCGTAAGAAAAAAAAAAAAAGCTGTAGATGCACTCACCATTTATCCCCATCCTTCTCCATTAATGATCAGCCTAATTATTTCAATGTGCTGCATTGGTGGTTTGGAATGTAATAGTTAAAACCTAATGAATTATTAATATGCGGATAAACGATGTTTAATGCTCAGTGATACATTTCATAAGTATAAAAACTAACTTTTAAACTTTTAGAACATTACTGGAGGCTGTTATTCCTTCTCTGTTTCAGTTAGGGAAGCTGAGGCACTGGGAAATCCAAGATCATGCATTGGTGGACTCTGTGGGGAAAACAGGATTGGAACTCAAGGAATCTAACACACCACCCTCAAAAAACAATCTAAAGCATATTTATAATGTTTTTCAATTTAATATCCTCTTTCTGATAGTTCGTTTTGACCATATTTGCTTCTTTTATTTTAGACAATTTTGAAAATGGAAAATAAAGGGAAAACAACTGCCACCAAGGGTAAAGTTGTTTAACTTTGTGATATGTTGCTTTCTAGAGTGTTTTCCCCACACAGGTATATATACATACATACAAACACTCATAGACATGTGTGCCTCTATGTGTTTATATACCTAAACTCTTGTTAAATATATTTATTTAACAAAATTGAGAGATTCTTCTCTTCCCTGTTAAGATACGCGATCTGCGCCCAGCTTAATATTCGGGAAATGGTTCTCATTACAGAAATGGTACGCTATGATTGCACGGTTCCACAAGGCTGCCACGACAAAGCCAGGGTTTAGAAAAGTTTGAGGTTTACACATGCTCCCCAGACACCAAGCAGCATCATCCACTCAGCATTTGAGACAAAGCGCAGTAGAAACGCATTGCCCCAGCCCATGGGCTTCTGCCCATCTCGGAGATTCCAGCAGCTTTGAGACGCCTCGTCCAGGCAGGTGGGAAAGGAGCAGAGCAGGCCTTGAGTGGGTCTGCCAAGATCCTGCAGGTGGAAATCTGTCTCTGAGCCTGCAACAAGTCCTCCCTGCACTGAGGCCAGCACGTGCTGAGGGAGCAACAATCCAGGCCCTGGCTACCCATCCTGCCACCTCTCCCGCCCACCAGCTGCAGCTCCTTCCTAGCCCTGGTTCCAATCCGTCCCCAGGGGTTTGTTTTTCTTCCAGTTCCAAGTCCTTCTCAGATTTTGACAATGAGGAGCAGGTGCTGCCTTCTGCCCACTTGCTGCACAGACCCTCACATCCTGTCCTCTTTCTCCAGGGCAGTGGGACTCCACGGAAGTTACTCAGAAAGAAACAGCACACAACTGTCTTTTGCAAACGCCCTCTGTTCACAAAGGCCGCAGGGACTGTGTATACCTGTTTATCCTCATCCTGGTGTCATAGGCCAAAGGTCACAGCAGAACAACCAGGCCATGCGCTGCCCAGGGACACAGAGAAGTGCCAATTCCTGTGCTTCTGTCGCCTTTTATTCCTGAATTCACCATTGCTGATGACAAGTTCAAAGTAGGCACCACAACAAATGGGGTGGGTGGGAGAGGAAAGGAAAGAAAACAAAGAAGAAAGAAAACAAAAACCGGCTGGGAGTGGAGAAACCGTTTAACTATTAAGTGCTTGCCTAGGCCAGTGACGCAAAACAGAAATCTACGAAAGATCGGGAGGGCCATGGTCAGTCACTCATTTATTTATTCCACCTTTCACCGGACACTGTGTGATCTCTAACTCGCCCCAAATGTACATGGGCATTGAGCCAAGCTTCTCAGGGAGGGGAACGAACTGCCTCTCATGCAGGATCCGGTGTCAGGGAGAGGGAGACCCTCACATAGGGGACAATGGCACCGGGCAGCCAAGACATGAAAAGGCAGGTGGGGTGACAGCAGTGAGGTAGGGGATGCCCCAGAGACCCGTCCCACCCTGGACACCGCCCAGCATCGAGCCAAACCCTTGGAAGAGAGAACACGGCCCAGCTTGGATCCAGGTAGCTGAGGTTAGAATCTCTCTCTGGGACTTGCTAGTTGTGGAAACTAGAGCAAGTTCCTTGGATCCTCAGGACACTGGCGTGCACACGTGTAAAGTGAGTATCAGTTGCACTGCATGAAAATATCATCTAAAGCTCCTTGCACATAGTAGATGCTCAGCAAATATTACTTTCCTTCTCTGTGCTCTCTTTTCCCCAAGCTTTGGCGACTCTACCCTTTTTTTATTTTTACTTTTTGAGATGGGTTCTCACTCTGTCACCCAGGCTGTAGTGAAGAGACGTTGATCCTCCCAACTAGCTGGGACTGCAGGCATGCACCACCACGCCCAGCTAACTTTTAAAATTTTTAGTAGAGACAGAGTCTCGCTCTGTCACACAGGCTGGCGAGCAATGGTGTGATCACCGCTCATGGCAGCCTCCATCACCTGGGCTCAAGCGATCCTCCCACCTCAGCCGCTAGAGTAGCTGGAAGTACGGGTGCCTGCCACCATGCCTGGCTAATTTTTTAATTTTTTGTAAAGACAGATTCTCGCTATGTTGCCCAGGTTGGTCTCAAAATTCTGGGCTCAATCCATCCTCCTGCCTCAGCCTCCCAAGTGTTGGGATTACAGGCCTGAGCCACCGTGTGCAGCCTCAACCCATTTGCTTTTCCAGTTTTTCAGCATTGACAATTTTCCCTTTGTTCCTTGCTTAAATTCTAATTCAGGGTTGAAAAAAAACAGTTGTGTGTGGGCCGGGGGCAGTGGCTCACGCCTGTAATCTCAACATTTTGGGAGGCCAAGGCGGGCAGATTACTTCAGGTCAGGAGTTTGAGACCATACTGGCCAACATGGTGAAACCCCATCTCCAATAAAAATACAAAAATTTGCCAGGCGTGGCGGTGGGTGCCTGTAATTCCAGCCACTCGGGAGGCTGAGGCAGGGGAATCATTTGAACCCAAGAGGCGGAGGTTGCAGTGAGCCAAGATAGTGCCACTGCACTTCAGCCTGGGTAACAGAGCGAGACTCTGTCAAAAACACAAACAAACAAACAAAACAACAAAAAACAGTTGTTTGGAGGGAACCTCAGACACATGACTGACAGCAACTGGTCCTGGACAGAAACCTCACCACCAAGGGATCAGCTCCGTTTCTGCTCCATCTCACCATCACGTTTCCCCACAGTGCAGCCACACAGAGCTGCGGGCACAGTCCCCAGCTCTCGGGCACCAGGCTGTGCGAGGTGACACTCTCCTATGGCAGGTCCATGCACTGTCCACCCTCCTCTGTCCCCAGGAGGGAGCTACATGGTACTCAGGGGCCCAAGAACCCTCAACCTGATAAAGAGAAATGTCTTTCTCAGCAGACGTCGTCCCCCGTCACCTTCACTGTCGCTAAGCATAGAGGGCCTTCGCTCCTGCCATCCTCTTTCTCCTGCATGTGTATTTGATGCCATCATTGAGACACAGCATGTACTTTTGTGATGGGATCCTGAAAGAGGGGAGCGAGTGTGGGGACAAGGAAAATTATGTCAGGAGGAAGAGCTGCAGGGCCGTCCGATTTGCTGACTAGACAATAAATCTCTATATCGTTCATTTCATAGACAAAGTCTGGAACAAATCGCAATATTTAATGCACAATTATAGCTTCAATAAATTGTTCCCAGATGGCTCAGGAAAACAGCCTTAAGCGGAAGCAAGAAATGATCAGATTTTAATGATTGTTTGTTTCCTGTGTCTTGTTTCCGTCATAAATTCTAATTGAATCTGTGGTTCAAGAAGTGTGTCGGCATGCGTGTGCATAGACGTGTGTGAGGCATTAGGTGCACGTGTATATTCAACACATATAAATGCACATGTAATGAGCATATGAGGGCATCACGGTATGTACACGCGTATATTTATTCAGTGTGATTCGTATACTAGGCATTGTGCTAAGTTATCTGTATCATTATATTCTTCACGTTTATGCAAGATGATATTCTTCCCATTTTACAAATAAGAAAACTGAGTCTAAGAGAGACAAGTAAGCCACTCGTCCAAGGTCACCCAAAAAAGGAGTGATGGAGGCAGTAAGTGAACCCACCTCTGTGTGACCCACAGGCCTTTGTCCTTCACACTGGCCACATCGTCTTTGCCTAACAGAGGATGGAGATCTATCAGGTGGACAGGCAGAATGGGGACAGGCGCCAGGTGAATGCATCATCTATGAGAGCACCAGGAGAGCCTGAGCACACCAGGCTGGCTCACACTTAGCCCTGAATCCAATCTCTGCAGGCAGTGGCCCGCTCCTTAGATGCCCATGGTCAGCCACCTCTGGGGACACTAGTCAGGTTTAAATGTCACATCCTAAGAAATGCTCTCCCTGACTCCTACTCCAACCCCTCCAACTCCTCTGTTAGGTCATCCTGTTCTATATTTGTATTGCAACTATACTTCTATTTAATAATTGCCTGACCAACCCCAAAACATAAACTCCATGAGTCCAGGGCCTCATCTGCCTTCTTCATTGCTGAACCCCTGCCTATATTTGCTCAATAAAAAAATGAGGGCATGTTTGTCTCTCCCCTGCTGTCTACTACATCTTTGAAGCTTTTGGGTAAACCTCCTGTAGACACCTCTCCCTGTGGTCCTTGGGCCCCTCCAGTGGTGGCAACACTAATTCAGGCTATGTCCTTCTGTCCACAAGGGTCACGGGTCCATTGGGGGGAACACTTGTGTTCTTCAGAGCCCAATTAAGGGGCACACACAAGAGGGAGAGGGTTGCCAGTGAAGAGCTGCTCTGAGGTCTGAGGAAATCATATCAAGTGGAATCAAATGGAGAGCTCACTCCTTGCAGACGGGTGTCCCTCCTGGCCTAGAACAATGTTGATAATTAAGCCCACACATGCGTAACAGCGCGTGCCTTGCAGCCTGGATGGGGTGGGTCACACTTTCCAAAAGCAGCTCACCAGAGGGCTCAGGGGCATTGTGAGGATGGATTTCCCGCTGGCGATGTTGCTACAACAGCTCACCTCAGACGTCCTGCACTATGCCGCATCTGCTCTGTGTCCTGGAGGACACAGGTACAGACATGGACATCTTACCTCATGTGGCGGCTAGTGTGGTCAAAGGAGCAGGCTCTGGGGACCTGATGAAATCAGATGAATCTTGGCTCTGCCACTTTCAGACAAGAATGGCAGGTGTGACTTCAGACATTCCTCACCTTCTCGGAGCCAGAATGTCCTCCTCTGCTGAGTGGTTGCTCTAGTTACTCCTTCCGTGGGGCACTGAAGACCAAGAGGCAGTGTGTAGGCTACTCCACTTGGGGCACAGCATCTATGATGTGAGCACTCTATCCTAACCTGCCCCCACGTGTGAAGCACCTGTTAAAAACCAGGTATGGGCAGGTCCACCAACACCCACTACCGTTTTTTCTCTGTTCTTCTCAGTAAACAGCTTGTGTTCTGCCAGAGAGAAGGAGCCCCAATTCTGGACACAGTGATGGCCCAGTGGCTGCCCCTTCCCCCCTGAGTCTGCAGTAGGGAGAACCCCCACCACGCACAGCTGTGGAACCCGCCACCGACTAGCGGAGCGAAGGGAATCCGCCTGCTTTGCAAGCTCCCATTCTTCTCCAGTCTCATTGCCAAGCTGTCCCTCAAGCCATCAAGGAAAGAGGCAAACACAACAAGTATGTACTCCTTTCCCTCTGACTCCCTCTCACCTTGCTTTCCATCAGCATCCATGCCTGCGGATTTGTGCCTGTGGTTCCAAGCAGGTGCTCACCTGGGAACTGGAGGTCCTCATGCTCAGACAGGCTCTCTGTCAACTGCTTCCCCAGGATTCAGTGGTGAGCCCCCAAATTCCAGGACATGAGGAATATCTGAAGGAAGATGGAGAAGGGCTCATTAGAACCACTGTTTAGAGAAGCAAACAGTCACCAAAACAACAATTCTTTATTGTTGCCAACTAAACAAGTGTCAACATATAAGCATCAATCAGCGCTTACTAAATGCCAAGCACGTGCACAATCTTTCTTATTTTTGGTAACAATCTTCAGAGGGAGGTGCAACTATGATGGTTCCCATTTTACAGATGAGAAAACCAAGGTTGAAAGAGGGCAAATGACTCAGGCAAGTTGCCCGGTTAGCAGGTAGTAGATGTGAGCCCTGGCGTCCTGCCATCCAAAGTGTGGTTCTCAACAAGCAGGATCCACATCTCCTGAGGGTCTGTTGGGAATGCACGATCCGGGGCCCCAGCCATACCCACTGAATCAGAAGCTGCCCTTGAACAAGATCCCAAGCAATATATGTGCATGCTGAAGAGGGGAAGCTGGGGTTTGATAACCAACAGTCTGGCCCCCACATCCCACATTCTCCTTCCCTTACTGACTGCCTCATTCAGTTGTCCACACCCTTAGTGCACGTGTACTGAGGGTCCACCATGTAGAAGGCACTCCACAAGGCTCTGGGAATACAAAGGATGTGAAAATAAGCTTTGGCCTGGAATCCATTTTACTCAAAGTGGGGCAACAATAGAAAATCTTTCCAGCTATGAAAAAGTAATTACTTAATAATAAATTATAATGATATTATTTGCTGGGCACAGTGGCTCACGCCTATAATCCCAGCCCTTCAGGAGGCCAACACAGGTGGATTGCCTCGGCTTCTTGAGCCCAGGGGTTTGAGATCAGCCTGGGCAACATATTGAAACCGTGTCTCTACGAAAAAAAAAAATACAGAAAATTAGCCAGGTGTGGTGGTATGCACCTGTAATCCCAGCTACTAGGGAGGCTGAGGTGGAAAGATCTCTGGAGCCCAGAAGGTTGAGGCTGCAATGAGCTGGGATCGCACCACTGCACTCTAGCCCGGGTGGCACAGTAAGGCCCTGTCTCAAAAATAAATACATAAATAAACTTTGTTTAAAAATAAGAAATGGCTGGGCACGGTGGCTCACGCCTGTAATCCCAGCACTTTGGGAGGCTGAGGCGGGTGGATCACGAGGTCAGGAGATCAAGACCATCCTGGCTAACATGGTGAAACCCCGTCTCTACTAAAAATACAAAAAATTAGCCAGGCATGGTGGGGGGTGCCTGTAGTCCCAGCTACTCAGGAGGCTGAGGCAGGAGAATGGCGTGAACCTGGGAGGCAGAGCTTGCATTGAGCCGAGATCGTGCCACTGCACTCCAGCCTGGGCGACAGAGCGAGACTCCTTCTCAAAAAAATAAATAAATAAATAAAATAAGAAATGATAATGATATTATATTTAGGGACATTGTTATCTGACTCAGTTTAAATGTCAGGAGAATGCCACATTGCCTCATCTTAATTTCCGTTAGACCTATAATAGTGCCAGTCACAGAACTGGGGATTTTAAGATATGCTGCATGCAAGTGCTGAAAAAATGATGGAGGCTTGTAACAAAACGAAAACCAACCAAACAAGAAGAAGGCATTTTCAATAGACAAATCTGGGACGATTTGAGCAATAAAATAAATAATGACATCAGTGAATTATAACCCACAGAATGAAAGAAATAGCTTTCCTTTCATAGTGATACAAAGAAGTAATTTGATGTAACTAAGCTCATCCTTACAGGAGAGTTCCAATTAACCAGTGTAGAAGGAGTAGAAAGTAGAAATAGAAAATGATCCTTTCGCAACATCACAGTAGTAATTGTCATAGGCAAGAATCATCGATAGATGCTGAGTAGGCAAAAAGGATAATAAAAGACAGGATATTTGCATAGTTTTGAATCATCTCCCCATAAGATACTTAATAAACACAAAGGGGAGGCCATGCACGGTAGCTCACGCTTGTAATCCCAGCACTTTCAGAGGCCGAGGCGGGCGGATCACGAGGTCAGGAGATCAAGACCATCCTGGCTAACACAATGAGACCCCGTCTCTACTAAAAATATAAAATAAAATAAAAAAAGTAGCTGGGCGTGGTGGCAGGTGCCTGTAGTCCCAGCTACTCAGGAGGCTGAGGCAGGAGAATGGCATGAACCCGGGAGGCAGAGCTTACAGTGAGCTGAGATTGTGCCACTGCACTCCAGTCTGGGTGACAGAGCAAGACTCCATCTCAAAACAAAACAAAACAAAACAAAACAAACAAACAAAAAAACCAAGGGGAAAATAGTAACTGTGGAGAAATCTGGCAGATACCACCTTAACCAAGTAATGATCAGTAATGAGACATAGCCACATCACGTATCTCCTGTTATGGTGCATTGAGAAGGTCACAGTATCATTTCTGTGGCATTCTTGCCAAAAGTACATCATCTTTTTTTAATTATTTATTTATTTATTATTATTATTATTTTTTGAGATGGAGTCTTGCTCTGTTGCCCAGGCTGGAGTGCAGTGGCAGGATCTTGGCTCACTGCAAGCTCTGCCTCCCAGGTTCAAGCGATTCTACTGCCTCAGCCTCTTGAGTAACTGGAATTACAGGCATGCACCACCACGCCCGGCTAATTTTTGTGCTTTTAGTAGAGATGGGGTTTCACCGTGTTGGCCAGGCTGTCTTGAACTCCTGACCTCAAATGATCCGCCGGCCTTGCCCTCCCAAAGTGCTGGGATTACAGGCATGAGCCACCACACCCGGCCCCAAAAGTACATCATCTTAACCTAACTAGAAAACACAGAAAAACCCAATTTGAGGCACAGTCTATTTTAAAAATAATAATAATAAAACAGAAACAAACAATAATAATAATAAAACAGAAAATAATAAAACAGAAACAGTACTCTTAAAAATAACACTGAGGTCATAAAAGACAAAGAAAGATGGAAGAACTGTTCCAAATTAAATATGAGAAAGGAACATGAGAAATACATGCAATGAGGGATCCTGGGTTGGATCCTGAGGCAGAAACATGATCTCGGGGACAACTGGTAAAATTCAAATAAGGTTTGTATACAAGTTAATAGGGTTGTATTGATCATAAGACTCTGGTTTTGATCATTATAGTATAATGATCTGAACATTTGAGGGAGTTGGGGAAAGGAATTTAGAAACTCTGGGTACTGTTTTCACCATTTTTTTGTAGGCGTGTAGTTATTTAAAAATAAGAGTTTAAGAAAGACATGCGTCATGTGACCAGACTCAAGAGCTGCCAGACTGAATGGCACTCCGGAGCCTGCCTGCAGCACCCGAGAGGCCATCAGGCAGAAAGTCGTGGAACAGTGCCATGAGCTCTTATGGAATCGTTGGAAATTAATTTGAATTATGCCATTAAACAGATGTGCTCCGTGGGGCATGGACAACTTTTTATTTCTTAAATGTCTAACCTGCTGCCGCATCAGATGGCATCCAATTAATTACACAGACTTATCAAGGGATGTGCCATAACAAGCCCGTGCGTGGCCATACATCATCTCAAGTCACCGTGGAAGCGCTGCCAGGCTGGGGAGGGGCATGTTTTGCCATTCCTGGATCAGACCCGCCTTGACAGTGCACCTCTTCACGCAGGCCCAGAGGACATTCATGTGTGTCCAAAAACTTAAACATGAGCTAAAAATAGAAGCACCCAAATAATCGGAGACCTATATCTATGATCACTAGAATTGGCTAATTAGCAAAATTTCATTATTCACACATGAAAACGCCAGGTACATATGTGGTATGCTTTATTCATATACTTTATACTTTTCAATATAGTACTCTATATTTAGAGAACTGTTATATATGTGTGAATATTGTATGCAAGATATAAAAGAACAAGATATGTAGAAACATGAGAATAAGCAGTCTAAAGATGATTGATTGATAGACAGACAGATAGAGGTGGATGGATGAGAGAGAGACATACATACAAACATACTGGAAAAATAGAACTAAGATGAGTTAATAAACTACAAAATGGAAAAATTGTACATTATGCTTTCTTAAAAACAAAAACAATGAAAATAACAATAAAATATGCTCTGTTACCATAAGTCACTCTTTTAAAAACTATTTCTTTGTTGATGAATTACAAGGCACTCTAGATGATGCTTATCCTGAATTTTATTCTACAGAGAAAGCCTGATACAAATTTAAGCCAGAGCTAAGCTTTCTTAATGGTTAGTGCTCAGTTTCTCCAGGGAAATGGCAGGAACCCTGAGGCAGACCTCACCCCATGTGTGTTGAATGAATAAATGACTAGATGGATTCAGAGAAATCATACATACCTTTATTTTGGAGTAAGGATTAATGCAGAAGAAACTAACATAAAATACAACCTATTAAAAACATAAAATTTTCAACCCAACACAGGACTTGAGTCCTAACACAGAGAAATGGGCCGCATGCTCCCAGATCAGATTTCTATTTGCACTTACTCATTCCTTCATCCATCCATCCTTCCGTCCATTCATCTGTTCGTCCTTCGCTCCCTTCCTTCTACCCTTCTTCCTTCCCTTCCTCCCTCCCTTCCTTTCCCCCTCCCTTCCATTAATCCATCCATCCATTTATTCTTTCAGCAAATCCTTAGAGACCCCAGGGCACTATCATGAGTGATACCTCTACTAAGATGAACAAGACGCAGACTCGTTAGAGGGCTCACTAACTTTTGGAAAAGCAAACCTGTAAATCAACACTTGCCAGAATGGACCGCAGGAGCTCCTGTAAGGCCACTGACACAGCTCCACATAGGCCTATTGAGACAGGCTGAATGACGGCTTGCCTGCCTGGTGCTGCTGCTCAAGGCTGTAGAATCGTGTCTTTAATTCATTCTTTTGGCAATTATTTTTTAGGTACTTATTATGATTCTGTGCTTGGCAACGATCCTACAGTTCTGCACAGGAGAGACTCAGTGGCTATAACATGAGGAGCATTATGATGGGGATTATGGGGTCCTCAGGACACACTGGAGGGCATTTGTCCAGGTGGGCAGCCTCCTCAAGGAAGGGACATCTAACAGAGGCCTGGAAGATAAATGGGACGTGGCCAGATGGGAGTGGCCAGCCAGGGGCCAGAGATGCAGGAAGCGTTCCACCCAGAGGAAACAGCAAGTGACAGAGTAGCAGGTACAGGACAAGGGCCTGAAGACCTTGGGCGAGGCTCTGGCAATGGGGGGGACAGGGTAGAAGGACATACTGGGTTTAGCCCGAGGAGGAAAGGAAGCGGTGCTGGGTTTTGATAAGAAGTAGGCGACTTTGTCCTGAACCCAAGACCTGAGACAGAGCTCTGAAAATTTCCAAAGGCATTGTCCAGAACAATAAGCACCAAGTCCATGCACTAGCAAAGGCATTGCCCAGAACAGTAAGCACCAAGCCCCTGCACTATCAGACCCTCCCGCGGGACAGTTCTGACAGCAGGCCCAGGCCATGCCAGAGGTGGAAGAGGCGGGTCATCAGCTGCTCACTTCTCTTCAGCCCTGGAAGCCAGAAGCTGGGGGCTGGAGAGAGGGAAGATGCTCTCAACTGGATGGAAACCATTCAAAGTTTTGACATGACAACTTACAGGATTTTTTAATTATTAAAATGAGACTGATCTTGGAACTACATGCAGCTGGAGGGCTTTCAGTTATCTGGGAATGATGGACCAAAAAAACCAAACCAACCAAACAGCGATGGGACTTTCCTCAATTCATTCCGGACAAGTCAACAAAGAAGTGTAAAGGGAGTTACAGGGCACTTTGTTCCTTCCTGCTTCTCTGATTCTCCCTGTGTGCTACAAGAGATTTGCCTTTCAGATGGGTTTTTCTGGCACTGGTGAGGGGAGGTGATTAGCGGTGGGAGGGTGAGCCGAGAGACAAGCCGGGAATGGCCTGGCAGCTGTGCTTGTCATCCACACCACAGGTAAGATGGCCCGCGCGAGAGAGGACAGACAGGAGTGTGTGCAGGCTTTTGTCAATTTCTGGGGGTAGGAGAACCTCAGCAGGAAGGGAAACAGCATTTCAGGGAAGCCCAGAAATCTTTTAAATGGCCACCATGTCTGTTGGCCACTATGAGAATGAAATGGAAAAGCTCAAAATGAGTAGCTTTGGCCTCTGGCAGTCTTTCTTCTGCAAACGTGTGTGTTCAAAGCCTGGCATTTTACGTCACCTTACGATACGAAAATCTGTGTATCGCGTTGCTGAGGCTGCCCTGTCTGTGCATAGAATCCCTGGGGAACTTCAGGCAAATGCAGATTCCTGAGCAACCTCCAAGGATTCTGGCATGGAAGGCCGTACTCCTGAGGTTAGTCATCATTGTAATCAGATGACTGCACCGCAGTGATCCTAAGGTGAAACTCTGAGACACGTTGCAGTGCAACCATAGACTTTAAAGAAGACAGAACCGTTCCAGGATTTGGGGGTGTCCAGTGAGAATTCTGCTTTGTTATGTTATAGACATCTTAGTCCCTCTGATCTGCAGAAATTCCTCATCATTTTCAGCCTGTTGATGGCAGCCTTTCTATTTTCCAGTGAAGATACAGAACTTTTCCTTTTCTCACGTTTCTTTGATCATGCATGTGAGTAAGGGGAGGTAGGAGTTAAACGCTCACGAGTTACGTCCCCACCTTGCAACAGAAACCCATGCCCATATTTTTTAAGCCCTAATTAAAGCATGTCAGGATCAGCCACATTCAGAGCCTCCAGTTATATTTTCTAATAAGATAGTCAGTGCAGCTCACAGGATGATAAATGATTTTATCAGCATTATCAAATTACATGGAAAGAATGCAGGAGGGCCTTTAATATGCTGCCTGAGAAGGAAGCACACGTCCTGCGGGGAGTCTGGGCTCTCTGGGTTTCAATCCATTTCTAATTATCCTAAAAAATGACAAGACTAAGGGCACTGAATGGGCCAACCCTTCCTTCAAATTAATGTAGCTCCACTGCCACCCTTGTTTTCTGATCCTTGCTATCTTCAGGCAGAAGGTTGAATTACAGAGTCTCAGAGACCTGCTCAGCATTTCAAGGCAACAGTGTTCCTTGTAACTCCCGTCGTTGTTTGGTTGGTTTGTTTTTTTGGTCCATCATTCCCAGATAACTGAAAGCCTCATAAGTTCAAGCAGTACAAAGGAAATTCATTTATCTTTAAAAAATTAATTAACTAATTGTGGAGGCCATGTTTTCCGTGGTCAGACCAAATTCTGCCTGCTTGAATTAAATTCCAGTTTTACCAAGTCTGAGCCATGGAACCTGGTTGGGCAAGTTCCTCTGCTTCTCCGTTGATTCAGTCTCAGTCTCCTCACCTGTAAAATGGGGATAAAATAGTGTTTACCATGTAAAATATTTGTGAGAATTAAATAAAATAATGCCTACAAAGCACTTTGCACAGTACCTGACATCTTGGAAGTGGGCAATAATTAAGTGCTATCATTGTTTTTCACACTCTTGGTGAGACTTGGGACTTAGCAGATGGCGGGCTTGCCTCTCTATCCCCTGACTCCTCCATAAAAGCCCCTGAAGTAAAGCACTTATGAGCATCTAGATTTTCATGGAGATGATCCCAGGGAACTAGAGCAAAAGACCTGAGGGAGTGAGAAGAGGAAAGAAAGACAATATAAGTGTATGTTACTAAGATGCTCACCAAGGACAGAGAGAACTCAATCCTGCCTGAGACCCTTGGAAGGACCCCTCCAGGGATTCAGGCTAAGGGGCCATCATCTATTGTCTTCCTTCCTCAGTGGTTGAGGGTTGCTCCCGGCACTGCTCCCTAAATATCTACATTGCTACTTAGACAATGGGTTTCTAGCAGAGTCTACTTCCTGGGAAGCCCTGGAAAGAAATTGAAAGACACAACTTGTGCTGGAGGATCTCAGGTACAGAGACTCTGCAGGGAATGGTTTGATACCCCCTCACCGAATTCAGAAGGACACGATTTGGATACTGCAGGCTTAGGAGCCTGGGCTGGCAAGATCCTCCCTAGAGACACAGCGGGGGTGTAGGTCAGGGTCAGTTCTGATGCCATAGGGGTGGTGAGGATGGAGTGGCCAGAGCTTGTGGTGGATGACCTGAGTCAAGGAGTCAAGGTGCTAAAGACATAGTCAAGGGAAAAAGCTGAATATCAGCAATTCAGAGAATGCACAAGATAAGGATGCGGGGAGCTGCAAGAGCATCCCAAGTTAACGGCCATGCTGTTTCCTTTCACACGCTGCACGCTCACTGCCCGGGGGCCTACAGTACCCCAATACCAGCTACAAGATGGGTAGCCATCCTGAGAAATCTGAATAATGCTTGACCGTGGTCTTATGTGGTGGCTTGTCATTTTGGGTCTAATACGACTTCAAGCATTGTCAGCTTCAAGAAGTTGATGTACTTGGGCAACAAAACAAAAACACGAGAAAAGGAAAAGGGTGTTAGCAGCTCCTCACAGGCTGTGCTACTCCTTCCCCGCATCGCTAGACACATATCCTGACAAGTCCTTGTGGATACAAGGCAAAAATTTAATCAAAGCAACATTTTCAGAAGTCCAATATCATAGCCCGGATTAGCTAATAAAATCCCAGTGGCCTGACGATATTAGTTTTCTGAATTGTAATTTCCATTTTTACTGCAATTCATCTTTGTCTGAGTCCAGATTCATTTCTTTCCAGCTCTGGGCACCAGTTAATTTGAATAAATGAGACAAGTACAGTGGACAGGTGAATATCCATCATATGTCCCATGTCTCCCGAGGAACAAGGTGTCCACACCCTCCCGAGGGCCCTCCCACACGGCAGGTCCTTGCCCGATGTGCTGTGCTGGTATCTAACAGGTTCAGTTGAGGGCAGCCAAGACAGCGAATTGCCCAACAATTAAGGGTTTGGCCGGTCTGGGCTCCACGGCGCCTGATTCCCTCGAAGTTTCTGTGACGGATTAAGTGTTCACAGCTCCCCACTGCCATTGCAGCCTCCCCTCCCTTCAAGCCTGCTGTTAAGCTGTCAGGGTAAACAATGGCCCTGCCTCGGGTTGCCCTCAGTGTCCATCAGACTCGGAGAAGCAGACGGCTATTGTCACTGTTGGCTAAACTCCCATCCGCGGGCAATGTGTGTGTGTGTGTGTTTTATTTTTCCTCTGTGTGGTCCTCATCTGGCTGAAAACAACTTTCCAAAAAGCAATTAACTTTCCATTCAAAACGAGGTGAAACCATTTCTCCTCCCATTTTCTCCCTAAAGATACTTCAAGGCTGGACTATCCAGGGCTTTCACTAACTGATGCAACATGGGGAGATTTTGTTCTGGAAGATTCCATGATTTAAGGACTCCAGACCTCAACCCAGCTCCATTCCCGCAGCCCCCCAGGCATTCACTCAGAGCTGATGGGAATTTTTTTCAGCTCTCTGGACCATGGCCAGCATCATAGCCGTGGTGTCTGCCTTGCTCTCTGATCCGGGCTATGACTTCCTGAAGGCACTGTTCCCCATTCGCAGACGCATGGACCCAGCCTCTAACCACAACCACACATGAACGCACACGCAGCCCAGCCTCCTTGGAAGGATTTGCAAGGGATCGCCGTCAGGGGCCTCGAAAATCAAATACCAGAGATAAGGGGTACCAGAGGGAGCCCAGCAGCCCCTGAGGCCCAACTGCTACCTTCTCAGTCCCCTGAGCACTGACTTCATGTTGCCCGGCACAGAGGCCACTGGCTGTGTGGCTAATGAACACTGGGAACGCCCACGCTCAAACTGAGATGCTCTGAAAGTGTAAAATACATGCCCAATTTAGCAGTCAACACAAGAAAAAAAGGTAAAATATTTCACACATAATTCCCATAAAGGGTACCTGTGAAAATAATGTTGGATCTATTGAGACCAATAAAATATATTATTAAAATTAATTTCACCCTTATTTTTAAAGTTCTAAAGCTTGGATTCTAGGAAATGTAAGGTCGGGTATAGGGCTCACACTGTATTTCCTTTGGGCAGCGCTGCTCTGGATTTTCCTGAAAGCACAGCCAACCCCATTGCCTGGCCCCAAAGTCCTCTTGGAGTCTGGGAAGAGAGGTGCCCCGCAGGACTGCGTATTCTGTGGGGCAGAGGAAAGTACCCTACATCTGGCAGGCCGTGAAGAAGCACAGGGGGGTTACCCATTCATGGCTGCACAGTCTGCTTAGCCAGGCCTGCCCAGGTGAGAGCACAGAACCCATATCTTTGTAGCAAAGTTATTGTGTGTGTGTGTATGTGTGTGTGTGTACACCTGCATCCATATTCCACGAGAAACTCAGCCGTTCAGTCTGTCTGACCCTCTTTGTGGAGAACCAAAAGGTTTGTGTTGTTTATAGAGAGCCACACCCACAGCTCCTTGAATTCCATTCCTGAGTCCTTCTAGGAGGTGCATTCATTTTCTGAGGCTGCTATTTGTAACAAATTACCACATATTTGGTGGCTTATAACAACGGAAATTTATTCTCTCATAGTTCTGAGGCCAGAAGTCTGAGATCAAAGTGGTGGCAGGGCTGTGCTCCCTCCCCAAGGGCCTAGGAAAGAATTCCCTGGAGCTTCCGGTGGTTCCAGGGACTCTAAGGCTGGAAACAGCATCATTCCAGTCTCTTTCTCGCCCCCTCCCTGCCACCAGCCCATGGCCCCTTCTCTTCTGCTCGTATGAACTCCCTCTACTCCGTTCTTACAAGAACACTTGCCATTACTTTAGGCTCAAGGGCCAGGACCCTTCACCGAACCATGCTTTGTGCCACGTAAGGTAATACAGTTCCAGGGAGTGGGAGAGGGACATTATCTTCTTGGGGCCGCTGTGAAGCCCCCCACAGAAAGTGGAAATGAACTGCTGTTCAGGATTCCTGGTGAGCAGGGAACTTCTGAGTTCTCACTGCCTGAATGTAGCTGCTGTCCCAGAAGGCAGCTGGCACGTACCCCTCTAACCCAGAGTGAATATTAAATGCATTTTATATTTTAATGAACTCTTTTTTGATCTAAGTAAACATCCAACAACTTCTCATCCCAGGAATCTGGCAATAAAGTGCCTCAAACCAAAATCACTCTTATAAGCAGATAGAATTGTGTGCACATTTATAGTGCATAGATTTTTTTCTGAACCACGGTGCTGTGAATGAAGCCAGACCTCTGTCTCAGGCTGATTGAGAGCTATTTGTTGTTGTTTGGCTGGAGGCCTTCATCCAGAAAGACTGCGCTCAAACCAGACCTTCATTGTCCAAGCCCCCTGCTGTGTCTCTGAGGACAGGCTGCAGCCACCTGCCCAAGAATGACCTGGATGCTTGTAAACGTGTCCACTCCTCAACCTCTCCCCAAATCAGAACCTCTGGAGATTCCTTCCTCTGCCCCAAGAGCTGCATTTCTACCAAACTCTCCTGGTGATTTTTCAGTAAAATAAGGCTTGAGAACCACTCCCCGGCCTTCTCTTGACCTCTGTCATTAAGGGAAGCTGAGTCTATGGGTCAGCGCCCAGGGACAGGGGCAGGGCTGACCCCAGGGATCGGCCACTGTTCTGCAATGTGGGACAAGTGCAAGCCATCGAGTCATAAATCACACAGTGAGAACTTTATAGCCTCTGTCTCTATCTTTGCTGCCTCCACCTTTGACATCCAGCACTGGCTTATCTCTCAGTTTAGCAGAGAGAACGAGCAGGCCTAGAAGGCTGAGACTAGGCAGGTCACAGAAACTACCCTAAGGGTAACAGCATGATTTGGCCTTTATTCATGGTAAATGATGGTGGCTTTCAAGGAGAAGCAGTGATACTAAGGTCCCTTTTTAACATAATGTATTATGAAAATAAGTCAGGCCGGGCACGGTGGCTCATGCCTGTAATCCCAGCACTTTAGGGGGCTAAGGCAGGTGGATCACTTAAGGTCAGGAGTTTGAGACAAGCCTGGCCAACATGGTGAAACCCCGTCTCCACTAAAAATACAAAAACTAGCCAGGCGTGGTGGCAGGCACCTGTAATCCCAGCTACTTGGGAGGCTGAGGCAGGAGAATCACTTGAACCTGGGAGGCAGAGGTTGCAGTGAGCCAAGATCGTTCCATTGCACTCCAGCCTGGGCAACAGAGTAAGACTCTGTCTCAAAAAAAAAAAAAAATTCAATTTAAAGGAAGACAGAAATTATAATGCAGAGAGAAAGCTAACTGGGAAGTTGGAATTGCTGAGTCATGTTTGGAAAATACTGACTGCTTCTGAGAGTTAATTTTGGATGCTTACTTGACTGGGTTAAGGGATTCCTTGCTGACTCATAAAGTGTTACCTCCAGGTGGTCTATGAAGTGCCTCCAGAAGAGGCTAGCATTTGATTCCAGGCTGAGTAAAGAAGATCCATCCTCACACAATGTGGGTAGTACTCTCCAGTGGGCTGAGGGCCCAGATAGAACAAAAGACCAATGAAAGGTGAATTCTCTGTCTCTGCATCTGAGACGCACATCTCCTGCCCCTGGTCATCAGAACTCCAGGTTCCCTGGCCTTGGGACTCCAGGACTCTTTGTACGGAGAGTTACCCTCTCAGTTCCCAGGTTCTTAGGCCTTCTGACTTGGACTGGGCTAGGCCACCAGGCTTCCCTGGTTCTCCAGCTTGCAGATGGTCTCCTGTGGGTCTTCTCCACCTCGATAATCTCATGAGCCAATTCCCATAATAATATATATCCATATCTATGCCTATATCCCATTGTTTATATATACTAACTAATCTAATACACTGTATTTCTTCATCTAATACACTGCATTTCTTCAGAGAAACAGAACCAATTGTGTGTGTGTGTGTGTGTGTGTGTGTGTGTGTGGTGTGTAGGGAGAGAGAGATTTATTATAAGGAATTGGCTCATGCAATTATAGAGGCCAAGAAGCCCCAACGTCCGCAGTCGGCAAGCTGGAGACCCTGAAGAGCCAAAGGTGTAGTTCCAAGTCCCAAAGCTGGCAGGCTTGAGACCTAAGAAGAGCTGGTGTTTCACTCTGAGTCTAAAAGCAGGAAACTGCCCATGGCCCAGCTCAAATAGTTGGGCAGGAGGAGTTCCTGCTTACTCAGCCTTTGGTTCTAGCCAGGTCTTCAGCTGCTGGGTGGAGGCCTACCCACAAGGGAGGGTCATCCACTTTCCTCATTCTGCTGACTCAAATGTGGCTCTCACCCAGAAACGCCCTACAGATACACCCAGAATAATGTTTGCCCAAATATCTAGTTACCCCATGGCTCAGTCAAGTTAACACATAAAATTACCCATCACACTGACCACTGGAACACAAGTGATTAGGAATGAGGGTAAATACATGTGTGCAAGTGTGTGCACATGGGAATGTGTGCATGGGTATGTGTTCGTGTGCATGGGCATGGCCAGGGAGCAGTCCCTTGACCCCCAGGACTTGCTTCAGCAGGGGCAGTTAATTGTCAGGTTGACCAGATGGTCATACTGGGATGTTCGTGTATCTTCTGTCCAGGACAACCTTGCTCAAGGAGGGAACTAACACTTTTGCTCTGACCTGTAAGTGTCAACTAACACTAATAAGCAAATGGACCCATTGGGCCTGGCATCCTTGGGAAGCTCTACATTGTGAACTGATGCCCAATTCAGCTGGGGAACTGGGCTTCACGGCAGCAGCAACCGAGCACAGCAAAATCAAAAGGTAATTATCAGGCCAGTCACAATGGCTCACGCCTGTAATCCCAGCACTTTGGAGGCTGAGGTGGGTGGATCATCTGAGGTCAGAAGTTCGAGACTAGCCTGGCCAACATGATGAAACCCCGTATCTACCAAAAATACAAAAAAAATTTAGCTAGAAGTGGTGGCAGGCGCCTGTAGTCCCAGCTACTCAGGAGGCTGAGGCAGAAGAATCACTCGAACCCGGGAGGTGGATGTTGTACTGAGCTAAGATGGTGCCACTGCACTCTAGCCTGGGTGAAAGAGCAAGACTCCATCTCAAAAAAAAAATAAATAAATAAAGGCAATCATAACCCTGCCCTGTGTACAGCTAATCTGCTTTGAGCTAAATTATTGAACTAGAATATCACTACCAAAAAGGACAGCAATTAATTGTAGAAAGTGTTAATAGAAAACATTTGAGAATAGTTTGTTTATTTACAGGACGAACACTTTCTAAAAAGAAATGGCTTATGGTAAAAATATAATATAATCAAGAACTTCATGATATGACCATGTTTCCATTATATCTGAATGTCACCTAAAACTTTTACTAAGATTATTTCATTCATTTAGCAAATATTTATTAAGAACTACTAGAAATCAAGAAAAGCAAGCCTAAAGCTGAGTATTAGGGACTGTTATGTCAAATATGTAATTTTAAAAAATATATAAATCAGGCCAGGCTCAGTGGCTCACTCCTGTAATCCCAGCACTTTGGGAGGCCGAGGCGGGCGGACCACTTGAGGTCAGGAGTTCGGGACCAACCTGGCCAACTTAGCAAAAGCCCATCTCTACTAAAAAAAAAAAAAATACAAAAATTAGCCGGGCGTGGTGGCGGGCACCTGTAATCCCAGCTACTCGGGAGGCTGAGGCAGGAGAATCACTTGAACCAGGGAGGCAGAGATTGCAGTGAGCTGAGATCAAGCCACTGCACTCCAGCCTGGGTGACAGAGAAAGACTCTGTCTCAGAAAAACAAACAGACAAACATAAACTTGTCCTCTCACTGGTTTGTTCATAATCTTCAGTGGCTCTCTCTTATCTCTCAGGAAAGGTACTGTATTAGTTTATTCTCGCATTGCTATAAAGAAACACCCGAGGCTGGGTAATCTATACAGAGAAGAGGTTTCATTGGCTCACAGTTCTGCAGGCTGTACAGGACCCATGGTGCCTGCACCTCCTCAGCCTCTGGGGAAGCTTCAGGAAAACTCACAATCATAGGAAAGGCAAAGGGGGAACTGCAGCTCACACGGCAAAAGCAGGGGCAAGGCAGGCAGGTGCTACACACTTTCAAACAACCAGACAGCACAGTAACTCACTCACTGTCACCGAGAACAGCACCGAGATGGCGCTAAACCATTCATGAAGGACCCGCACCCATGATCCCATCACCTCCCACCGGCCCTACCTCCACCACTGAGGATTACAATTCAACATGAGACTTGGGCGGGGACACAAATCCAAACCATATCCAACTCTCTCCTGTGGTCCCTGAGGCCCATAGGGTCCCACCGATGTCCCCTCTTTCACCATGCCCCAGCCACCTTGTCCTATTTCTCCACAGCTGGGATTTTGGAACTTTTTCTCTAGAAGACCACTCAGTAAATATTTGAGGATACGTGTTTCGTAAGTCTCCATCACAACTATTCAGCTCTGCCATTGTACCACAAAAATATCCACAAACATTTGGGTGTGGCTGTGTTCCAGTCAAACTTTGCTTGTAAAAACAGAGAGTGGCCAGATTTGGCCCGCCAGCCATAGTGAGCTGACCTGCTCTTCCGACTCCAGGCCTGGTCCACACTCCGCCTGCCGCTGAGGTAGCCTCTTCCTTCTTGCCTGGCTAACACTTGCTCTTCCGTTGGGTTTCAGTAAATATTCCTGTCCCGGAGAGCTCTTCCTGGAGACTTTAGAATGGATTCTGTCTTTTAAAACAATTATCCCAGCTGTAATTCAAGAAAGAGAATGTATGTGTGTGTGCATGTGTGCATGTGTGTGTGTGTGCATGCGCGTGTGTGCCTGTGTGTGTGCATGTGTGTGTGTGTGTGTGATAGTTCAATGTCTGCCTCTCCATGAGTCACCAGGGAAAGCCAGCTTCACTCCCCATACTATTCTCAGCGTGGCACCTGGTGGAGGCTCAATTTATATCTGTCGATCAAATTGATAACTCGATGGAGTCATTTGATTAGAAAACTGAGTGGCTGCGTAAAAGCTAGGCCAAGTTTGCCTCCTTGATCTGACCAAGCCTAATAAATGGAAGTATGAGTCGATCCTTCTGTGGCTTCTCCTCAGCTCCCCTCCCCAGGCGAGGCGATGGGATCGAGGCCATTGGTGGTGCCTTCCTGTCCCTTGAGTGAGCTCTCTGTGGAGCACGCCAGCAGCTTTTTCCAGGTCAACGTTCCCCTCACCAGCCCTGGGGCTTGGTGTGAGTTATTGAGCTTCTCTGATCTTCCATTTGCTCTTCTGTAAAAGCGAGAACCACGCTCATCTCATGGGTCTGTTGTGAGGATTAACGCGTCGACCTTCAGGGCCTCAGGATTGTTGGTGTGAAAAGTACATTGCGTCCCATGATTTAATACATCAGATTTTCCTCTGTGTGGAAAATCTATGGTAGGCCCTGGAAGACCCAAGAAGGAAAAAGCCAAGAACGCCACTGACATTTCAGATGAAGAAGGGGAATCAGCGAATAATGATTTTCTCTGTAAAGATCTCTTTAATTACAGCTGGGATAACTGTTCTAAAAGACAGAATCCGTTCTAAAGACTCAGGAACGAGCTCCCTGGGAAACGAATATTTACTGAAACCTAATGGAAGAGCAGATGTTAGCCAGGCAAGAAGAAAGAGGCTACCTTAGTGGCAGGCGGAGCGTGGACCAGGCTGGTGTTGGAAGAGCAGGTCAGCTCACTATGGCTGGCGGGCCAAATCTGGCCCACTGGCTGTTTTTGTAAATAAGGTTTTACTGGAACACAGCCACACCCAAATGTCTGTGGATGTTTTTGTGGTATGATGGCAGAGCTGAATAGTTGTGATGGAGACTTTACGGAGCACTTAGCAAAAAATGTTTACTGTATGCTCTTTTAGAGAAAAAACATTTAAAAACCAGCTTATTTCTCCCTTCTTAGCAACATCAGATCTAGCTAAAATATTTTTCAGGAAAAATATAGGCAGAATTTGATATAAAATATATTTTCATATCTATCACAGCTATATTTATAATAGAGAAAAATTAGAAATAATCTGTGTCTCAAGTCAGGGAACAGAGTATGTAGATCATGATGCATTCAGGAAACAGGCCAGGAAAACAGGCCAGGCAAGGTGGCTCACACCTGTAATCCCAGCACTTTGGGAGGCAGAGGTGGGTGGATCATTTGGGGTCAGGAGTTCGAGACCAGCCTGGCCAACATGGCGAAACCCTGACTCTACTAAAAATACAAAAATCAGCCGGGCGTGGTGGTGCATGCCTGTAGTCCCAGCTACTCGGGAGACTGAGGAAGGAGACTCACTTGAACCCAGGAGGCAGAGGTTGCAGTGAGCTGAGATCACATACTGCATTCCAGCCTGGGTGACAGAGCAAGACCCTGCTCAAAACAAACAAACAAACAAACAAAAAACAAAACAAAACAGGAAAACACTTGTGTTCTAATGTTAAACAACAACCAAAGCAGGTTAAAAATTACCTACATAGGGATTTCATTTATATAAGAAAAAATGTATTTAAAAACACAGATTGTAATAAAATATTAAACATGTCTTCTTCTTGTTAGTGATATGATGGCTGATGTGTGTATGTGTGCATGTATGTATGTGTGTATGTGTATGCATGTGTGTATGTGTGCATGTGTGTATGTGCATGTGTGCATGTGTGTGTGCATGTGTGTATGTGTATGTGTG
Source organism: Homo sapiens (assembly GCF_000001405.40). Taxonomy (NCBI): domain Eukaryota; kingdom Metazoa; phylum Chordata; class Mammalia; order Primates; family Hominidae; genus Homo; species Homo sapiens. Next base: position 236,707,175 of record NC_000002.12, on the reverse strand, counting down.
TGCATGTGTGTGCATGTGTATGCATGTGTGTATGTGTATGCATGTGTGTATGTGTGCATGTGTGTATGTATGTGTGTGCATGTGTGCATGTGTGCATGTGTGAGTATGTGTGCATGTGTGCATGTGTGCATGTGTGTATGTGTGCCATTGTGTATGTGTATGTGTGTATGTGTATACATGTTTGTATGTGTGCATGTGTGCATGTGTATACATGTGTGTATGTGTGCATGTGTGTATGTGTGTGTGTGCATGCATGTGTGCATATGTGTATGTGTGCATGTGTATGTGTATGTGTGCATGTGTATGTGTGTATGTGTATGCATGTGTGTATGTGTGTGTGCATGTGTGTATGTGTGCATGTGTGTATGTTTGAGTTTATGTGTGTGTTCACTTTTCTGTATTTCCCTAATTTTCTACCCTAAGCAAATATGGCATTGATGGCCAAGAGAGAGGAAGTTTGTCTGATTCTGATATATGGCACCCCAGACAGAATGTGAATGAGATGGAGAGGTACCTCTTCCCAGCCTTTAAAGCCTACCTTAGACATTGAAGGGTTAAAAACTCTGGCATGAGGACTCCCGCGTGGACATCAGGCTGTGGAAGGTGCAGCCAAGTCATGGCCATTGCCACCCTGGCCACCAGCGGATTTCAGACTGGGCTGCCGGGTGCAGGTGAGGGCATTGGCTCACAGCCCAGTTCCGCAGAGCTGTGCTCTAGGGAAGGGCAGGCCCACCTGTGGGGAGCTCTGAACTGTTCTGTCCCTGGCTACCTGCAAAGGGGTGTGGGGGGGCTGCTGCCCTCTGCCAAGAGCAGAGCAAGCCCAGGCTTCAGGACGAACTGCTGACCTTCATCATGACGCATGGGCCTTCCACTCACATCTTATTAAATCCCCAAAATACGCCTTGCAGGCTGCCGCTGTTATTGTCCCCATTTTTTCCTGATAAGAAAACTAAAGGTGAAAAAGACTCAGTAAATGGACCAAAGTCTCACAGCCAGAAGTTGAATCTAGGCTGAATCCACTCTAAATTTCTCAACCTTCAAGCAGGGGACAACAGCCCTCTCTTCTCGACCTGATTCATAAGCTTCTCTGCTGGGCCCCTCTGCACTTCCAAGTCCAGTGCCCCCTGGATTTTCTTAATTGGACTTGCTATCCTGTGGGCTCCACTTTCTCCTCATGGGACCTTTATTAATTCAACACTTATGTGTTGCAAGCCTGCTTTCTGTATGACACTGTGATAGGTTGGCCTTTGAGAAGCTGTGCGGTATGCACGTGTGACAGCGCCCCAGTCCTTGAGCAGCGGGTGATGGAATGAAGGATGACTAGGTAATGGCTAAGCTGTGATTCCTATGTGAACTCATCTGAGCCTGGCAGCCCATGGGTCAGAGGCAGGTTCAGGCTCTTTTAACCACGCTGGCCATGCTCTGTCCCAGGCAGACAGCTTGACTCCAGAGGATCCACAGCATCCCAGCTGGTGGGGACGGGGAGGCTTGTGCAGAAGGGAGGCTTCACTGAGAGTGGGACAGTCCCGCATGTCAGCAGCAGTACGGAAGGAGCCAGTGCAGGAGGAGGGTGTGGAACAAGAGCAAGAGGGACCCCAGCGGAGCACATGGAGGGGAAGGAAATGAGCAAGTCCCAGGGCTCCAGAAAGAGCCTGTCCCAGACACTCACTCACTTAGACCTCTATTCTGGGAGGTGCTAAGTTGTGAAACAGCGACAGTGGGGTGAGCTGAGCCTGGACGTGGGCCCTATTGCATCTGGAAGCTTCCTCCACTGACAGTAGCTCCAGCCGGCCTGCAGATTCTCCCCACTGCAAACCATGCTGCAGGTCCTGCCAGGTGGGAAAGGATCCATTAATAAGCACAAGGGGCTGAGCCAGTCTAGCCCGAAGACTGTGGAATAGGATGTGTGCTCTAAGAAACCACCCAGCCAACACACCCCGGTCTGTCTTCAGAAACTCACTCTATCCGTCGGGGGTCCTAATTTTGTACCACAGTGATGTTTGAAAGCCGTTTCTTTTTGCTTTGTGTAAGTTAAGTGTTCCCCTGGGCTGACTGTTCAGTTGGGGTTCATGTGGCTGCGTCCTGCCTCAGGGACCTCCCACAGGGCTGGGCAGAGAATGCAGAATGCCTGGGAAGCAGCTTGGGCTCATGTTAGCCAGACCCAGGCTGGAATCCTGCCTCAGCCCCAGGACCTCAGTCGCAGTCTTTGTTACCTCCATGACAGAGTTATCATCTGTAAAATGGGATGATCACATCTAGAAGCCAGGGCTGGGGCTGGGTGAGGGGAGAGAGGTGCCTTGGGCACAAAACTGAAAGCTGCTCTCACATTCTGTGAGGGCAGAGAGTAAGCACCTCTTCAAATTGTATGCCTCTAAATTAGGCACCTTTCTTGCCTCACCCTAGTCCTGACTCTTCCTGTGTCCTCACTGGTTCCTGAAACCCAACCACCTGCCTACTTTCACCTTCGTGCCCAGAAACCTGGGCTCAAAAGTCCCCACTGGTGTTGGGGGTAATTGCTTAAGGCACCACTTTGCAAATGGAGGGTCTCCAACTATGAATGTAAATGGATGTCAATTCAATGTAGATGGCCATGACCAACATTTAAAAATTGAAATAGACTAGGCCAGCCTGGAGTGGAATAAAAAAAATCAAAGAAGAGATCAGAATGTATCTTGTGTGATTTTGATAAGATGTTTGTTTCCATTCTGTGTGTGTGTGTACAGTGCATGTGTGTGTGTGTGTCCCTGCACACACACTGTGCTGTAATGTAAACTGTATTCCTGACCTGAGCGCATATCCAGGCTGAGGATACACCTGCTCCTCCCCACCTGTTGGTCTCTACCTGCCCTGTCCCTGATCACCCCAACTTGCGTCCAAGCACACAGATGGCTGTCATTCCCAAGGGCAGACACTGCCTCGGGCAGGTCTGTGTACAGGGTTTTATGGGCGCTTTCTTCCTTTGTGGGGGCTCGTGCCCTCAGCAGCCAGCTTCCGGGGATGACAATGACCTACCAGGCCTCACCACAGTCATGGCGTGGGAGGGCCAGACCTATAGGCAAAGCTCACAGTTCCCAAGCAGACTGGACACAGGCCTGCGGTGGCCCAGGCCCTGGGCGAGGTTCATGGGGACAAGGGGAGGACCCTTCGCCCCACCCCTCCCCTGCCTCACTGTCCCTGAGGAAATACCTGGAGCTGGCTCAGAAGAACCAACTGCTTCACCGTGCACCTGAAATGATGGTTGAAGCCTTTGCAAGGGAGGAAGGAAATGCCAAAACCTATGAGACATATTGCTGGTCCTAGATAAGATGGAGCCTCACCATGGCTAGTAATAAAAGCCTGTACATGAAGACATCAAGAGGCTGAAGACAGCCGGGAAAGGGAGTGGATTTTTTGACAACCTCATATGTGAGGCCTTTTCTGTGCTATTTCAAGAGCCCTGCAATATGATTGTACTTCTATCTACAACTGATGAAACTGAAATTGCCCCAAGTTTGTAAGAGTTGGGAACAGGAGTCACACAGACATCCACACACAATGCATTCCTTAATTTATTCCACAAATAAAGACCAAGCAAACAGTGTACCATGTGCTCAGCAGAATGGCAAATATTAGAGAAGGAAGTGCCCTCAAAAAGGTCAGTCTAGTGTGGGAAGATGGACACACCACAGGTAAGTGCATCCAAGTTATCGATGTTCTCCTGACTCAAAATAGAGAGGGCACTGGGTGAGTGGTGAATTCTGCCAGGAGCGGGTGGTTAGGGCAGGGAGGGAGGGTGAGTGGAGGATTCCTTTCTCCATCTGGGTGAGACCTGTTCTGACCAGGAGATGCTGTTTTGAAGACTTGGACCTTAGAAAATGTCCTGACTGGGGCCCGCATTAGCAAGGGCACCAGAGAACAAAATAACCAGCCCCTAGCTGTGCCACGTGGACAGAATCCTAGAGGAAGACGGCAGGCAGGAGAAGACAGGAGGCAGCTGTCAAGAGCACGGGGAAGGAACTGTGTTATACCACACAAGGACATCTCTGCTCTCCATCCCCCGGGTCTACAGATGGAGATTGCATTTTCTTTAATATCCCACTCAATGGACAACCAGTCTCAAGTGTTCTCAAGACCTCAGCGTTCATTGAGGACTGAAAAAGACCGAGAGCACCTGAGGTCATTATGCAAAGTGAAGTGCGCTACACAAATGTCCATTTGGGCAGTTGTTTTTCAGGACTGATGAGGTCACCCCTTTGGAAAGAGTCCACTCGCTACACTTTCCAACAGACACACCTGCATGGGTCTCCTGTAACCACCAGGTGGTAAACACATGCCACTTCCTTGGACAGGTAAGGGAGGGAGAGCCAGGAGAGGACCCGAGTGTAGGGAGGGCGGGGAACACGGGAGAGGTCACAGTCACTTTCGAGGAGCTGGTGCAGGCTCCAAGGAAGCAGAGATTTCCAGAGCTTTCATTGCGCATACTGCTGAATGGTGACAGATGCAATCTGATTTTTATGCTGAAGTCTCAGCACAGAAAAGAGACAGGACTGCAGGCACTCATTAGAAAGTTTATATCCTTAGTGGGGTGTATGTGTATGTTTGTGTGTGTGTAAACATATTTTAGCTGTTAGAAATACAAACATCTTGCATATTTCATTTGTTTTTCTTCCAACTAAGAAAAGGCTTTCCTTCAGGTTTGTAATCTGTAATCCCCTTGGAAGCCCAGGACAGAATCCGATAGAAGAAACTCGAACAGATTTTACGGGATACCAAATTGGCTTTTCTCGGGAAATGGTTTCTTCCAAGATTGCTTTCACTGTGAGAAGGCCTTTTACAAGGTCATTTCTGAACACTGGGTATGACACTTGATTGGGCCCTCCTTTAAAAAGGTCAGGTTTGCTTTAACAATGGCTCACGTCATTACTATGCGTGATAGGAAAATACTGGCCAGTTGACAGACCTAAAGCAGAATGTATTTTTTCAACCATTTGATTAAGACCTTCTAGGGATGGTAACCCAGCAGTGTACATAAATATGGGAATATGGTAGTGATTATAATGTGTGAACAGGGCAGGGAGGTTAATTCTGTTTCATTTTGACACCCGAAGGTATCCAGTGAAATGTCAGCTAAAAATGTCCATATAAAACCACGCTCCTTTCTGCTTCTAGTCGCCAAGATACACGTTTGGTATTAGCCAAAAGGCCAATAAGTGATGGGAAAAAACAGATAACTCAAATCATATTCCATTGTCCATCGTCTACAGACAGATATCCTAACAGAAACACCACGGAAAAATTTGGCTGATTCATGGAGTCCTAAATAAAGCTGTTTTGTTACTGGAATACTGAAACAGACCCAAAGACAACCAAATCCCTTGTTATTAAGCAAAGGAACAGACAACTCACCCTTGTCATCTGAGTTCATGAGCCTGGGCCACAGACACACTTATCCAGGTGATTGTGTCTTCCTGGCACGAGAGTCTCTGCCTGAATGTACCCTGGGCTTGAAGCATCATCTTAATACTCTACCACGGACCACTCGAAGGCCTTACGGCATCAGCCCAGGGCTCTGAGAACCCCAAGGATGGGATGTCTGGGGTCCTGTTGCCTGCACACCCACTCTGTCCTTGCATGCTGCTGCCTCTCCTGTACTCACTCCTGGCTCTGAGGCGTGCCCCTCACTGCAGTACAACCAAGTCACCACAGCTTTCCAGCCTCCTCTGTGACTCCCACTCAAACCCCAAGTCCCCATGAGTTACGTTCCAGTAACCAGAGCACCTGCTGGCCTGAAAAGTACATCTGGCCCCAGCCCTGCTGCTTGAGCAGAAGTCCTTCTCTCAGGACTGCTGTGTAAATTCTATGCGCCTGGCCTCCTTGCTGGGCAGTGCCTGCCTTGTAATAGGCCACGAGACGCCATGACAAAACAACTGACAGTCCCATCACAGGCACAAAATCCTGATTTGACTCTCACAGCCACATCTTCTTCTACTACCCCTGACCAAATCACACACTGCCCTCCCTCCATGAGTTACCCCAAGGACTGATACTCAAGTTCACCCTAGATCAATGGCTCCCCTCACCTTGTCTTTGACACTCCTGTAGTGTTCCCAAGCCCAGCACTGGGCCATCCCCGAGTAGCCAGTTTGCCATCATGACCCCTGGGTTCTGTTCTCCTGTGAAGAGTAACTGTTGAGGTCCTGAGCTGACGGGAACCGCCATTACCAGACAGATGAGGAGTGGCACAGTCCATCCAAAAAGTCAACCTCTGTGCATGAACCACCCTGAAACTGAAAGGAGTGGCAGGAGGCCTCATTGCTCGATGACTGGGGAAAGCCACAGCCATATTGCAGTACTGTGCAAAACCCAGGGACTTTAGAATAAGACACTCCTAAATATAACTCTTGGCTCTATCATTTATCAGTCATGTGACCTTAGGCAAGATGTCTATCTCAATGCCTCAGTTTCCTCATCTGCAAAATGGGAAAATTCTAGCCCTTGAAGGACTGTTGTGGAAATTAAAGGAGATGTCAAACCCATTTATGTTCACAGTAGGTGCTCACCAAATGTTACTCTACTTGCCTTTAATCCCCATTCCAAAACCCAGTCCTCAACCATCTCTCCCTGACCTGCCCAGACACAACTTCCACTCCAGTCCTACACGAGGCTGCATATTCGTCTAGAAGGGCATGTCTGTTATAGGAGGTCTTGCAAGCTGCTGGCTTTGGATTCAGCCTGGGTTTACATTGTGGTGTTAGGCCAGGCACAGTGGCTCACACCTGTAAGCCCAGCACTTTGGGAGGCCAAGGCGGGTGGATCATTTGGGGCCAGGAGCTCAAAACCAGCCTGGCCAACATGGCAAAACCTTGTCTCTACTAAAAATACAAAAAAATTAGCCAGGTGTGGTGACACACGCCTGTAATCCCAGCTATTTGGTAAGCTAAGGCAGGAGAATTGCTTGAACCTGGGAGGTGGAGGTTTCAGAGAGCTGAGATCATGCCACTGCACTCTAGCCAGGCAACAAAGTGAGACTCTGTCTCAAAAACAAAACAAAACAAAATAAAACAAAACAAAAACTGTGGCTTTATTACTTGCAAACTGTCTAGCCTTGGTCAAATTGATTCATCTCCCTGCCTGTCCCCTCAATCATAAAATGAAAACAGGACAAGTCACACTTACCACAGATGATTACTTTGAGAAATAAACAAGCTTCTATTGGGAAAGCACTCATGACAATACCCGGCAAATGCCAGCCCCAGCTCATGCCTTCCTTGCCTTCTCTTGTGGCAGCAAGACTCGGGAGGGGATGAGCTTCACAATTGCTTTTGCCCTGCCCTCTGTGACATGCCCAAGGTCTGCAGAAGGAGATGCCAGAGCCCTTGGTTAAGGGCAGGGCCCTGCTCTGCCCTTAACCAGGGGCTGTGTGGGAACCTGCTTCTCTCCACTCCAAGTTGAAGAGGTTAACAGAGTCCCCCAAGGTCACTTCCAACGCTCTATTTACATCCTTCCATCTTCTCACCATCTCTCCAGAAGGAGACACGGCAGCGGGAGGATGAAGCCATCCCTCGGGCTGGTACCTGTTCCTTTCCTCTCTGTTCCCCATGACACTTGTCCTAGGTCTTTCTGCCCTGACCTGCTCCTAACAGCCTCTGCCACTCAAAGCTCTCTTCCTCGTTTTATAAATAAAATTAAAATAATAGCAATAACAACAACAATAGTATTAATAATAACAAGGCTTAGAGGACTGAGGATGGAGACGTGAGTACCCTCCTAGACCTTGAAACTGCAGTGACCCACCCATTTCTCCCTTCTTGAGATTTCACACACACTAAACTTGGGCCAGAGCAGAAGCAGCCCATTAAATATTCCCCCACCCCCCATACACACACACCACACCACAACACAAAGAATATGTTTGCAACAGATATCCCTGGAGATTTTCTTCAAATCATGCCATGCAGAACCCAGATCCACCTGTTACATGCTTTCCATGTGTTTAGTTGGGTGTATACAGAGCAACTCAAAGCCAGTTGAAGGGAATTGATTGGCCACTTCTACCTTCCCAGGCAGGTAGCTGGAACCCATAAGTCTCTCAGGCACTTGGAAAGAGAATTTTACCTGCATATGTAGCCTTAGAAAATGTAATTCAACTGTGCAAATATTTGCTCGGGCTCTCCGTGCTTAGAGAAGCATCCCTAAGGATGCTCATTAGAGAGGCCAGCTCAGCAGCTGAGGTGGTCTCGCTCTGGGTTTCTTTCCTGAGCAAGCACTTCACAGTTGCCTGACACTTTGAATTGTGTAAACCATAAAGTTAACAACAGCCCCAAAGATCAGAGGCTAAATTAGACGTTGCAAAGCAAGTAAGCAAGTAATAGTACACAGGCCTCATTTTGGGCATGGTAAAGGAATTCCTCAAACTGCACACAGCAATGAAGAGCTGGTTGGATATCTCTCCCCCAACTCCCTGGCAGGAGGCACAAGCTGCCCCCCAAAATTTTGGACAAGAATAAAAGTATTGCAGATACTGACCATTCAAAACTCAAATCTTTAAATGATCTAAAAATAGAATTAGGTGTATTTCTGAGGATTTGGAAAATCTTTTAAATAGAAAATTATGCTCATTTTTAATAATAAAATACTCCAGTGGAAATACAAAAGTTATAATAATAAAGCACATAAAACAATAAATATTTTGACATTCAAAATGGCCAGATTTGAAGAGAAAGCATATGGCGTGTTTACATCTGCCAATTTTCAGTATCCTTCTAGGAGATTTTATGACTGGGAAACACAGTACATTAATAAGCAAATACATTATTAAATTAAGCATGGCTTTGGGTGCTTACACTAAGGAAAAAACACCAGGCAATAAAGTGAGAAATTATTTCATACTAAATAAAACCTTCGGCATACTTTGTAAATCTTTCTCCTGCCCCAGAACCTCCATTCATGCTCCCAGCAACCCATTCCTGATGGCAGAACATGCCAAGCCTTGCGTAATACATGCTGCGGGTGGGAAGATGGATGGGCTGGGGTCTGCTTGGAGCCGAGCTGTTGCTGGGCTCTCCTCATGGCAGGAACGTCACTTACATGCCAGGAGAATCCGATTTGCAGAAAGGAGCCAACCTAAGGGGGTCTGAGCCACGGATTCATTCATCCACCAGCATAAACTATGCCATTCAATGAGTGTGGTAGGGCAATGAGACACAGCCCCCTTGGGATCTTAACGCACTATCAAGCAAATAATGCATATATAAAATTTAAAAAGTAGAAATAAGAAAGTCAAGATAATAATAAAGAATAGCGAGCACTTAAAAATGGAGCCCATTCTCTGTGCCTGCCCAGGGTGGAGTGCTTTGCAAGCGTTAGTCCCTGCTAACCCCTCCCCACAAACCCCGGGAGGTGGGAGATTCTCCTCCAGGATCTGTCTGCTATTGAGAAGCTATGAGAGAGTCCAAGGCCCACTTCTAGCAACTTTACAAGCTTCAACTTGCTTCTCAATAGCCCCAGTTCCCTAACTTCCTTTATTTTCATAGCATATTTTTTGTAAGGTAACTTAAACCACTTTGGAACATATGATAACCTTATAAGAACTTGTTTACTAAACTTAATGTGTCTGAACTTAAACTATTTACCATTTCCCCTAAACCTGCCGCCTTTCTGGAGTAGGCTATTTTGGTCCCCAGAGCTCAAACACTGTTGTCTTCTTTGCTAAGTCCCTCATACCTTCCAAGACTTGTCTCCCTACCCTGCCTGATAAAGTACTGGTCACTGTCCATTCCTCTGGCAGCATCTTCCTGGCTCATTCTCTCACTTCCATTCCCACTACTGTCATCCTGGGTGGTACACAGGATGTTACTAACCTGGGATATGGAAATACTCTTCCCATTGGTCCTCTCCTCTTCAGTTTGCTCTCTCTCAACCATTTTATATACTTAGAATTAGTGTGTGCCATAATTAGCTTCCAAAGGCAGAGTCCTCATCACATCACACTTTTCAAACCTTGTGTGGCAGTTGGTGCATGTCCCATTCATTGATTCATTCATCCATCCACTTACCCACCCACCCATCCACCCACACACTCATCCACCCCTCCACCCATTTACCCATTCATTATTCGTCCACCCACCCACACACACACTCATCCACCCATCCACCCATTCAACTATCCATCATCCATCCAGTCCCCCACCCGCACATCCATCCTCTCACCCATCAGTATATCCACCCATCTGGCCATGCAGAAGCATTATGGAGCCCTTTATCGGTGCCTGCCCAGTGCCAAATGATTAATACACATTAACTCATTATATCACCACTTCCCAACCCTGTGAGGACAATTCTCCCCTCTTGAAGAAAGGGACAGTGATAAATACTTTATCAAGGAAATTGGAGAAATAAAACCCAGAAAGCACAAGTGATTCAGCAAAGGGTTTGAGTCTGGGGAACTAGAGCTGCCGTTAACCAAATTAGGATAATCCAGAAGAGATGCAGATTTGGGAAAAATGGTAATGGGTTTGAGTGGAGGCTTGTTGAACTTAGTCAATAAGGCCTTGTAAAGGTATGCCTAGACTTTGGGGAAAGGCTGGAGTTTAGATATGGGAGCAACTGACATGGTAAAAAGAAGTTGATGTCACAATATCAATGAGACTACCGAGAGAGGGTATGGAAAAAAAGGCATAAAAGATAAGAAGGCAACTTTGGGAGTACCTAAATTTTATGGGTTAAGACCAGGAGCCAGGAAACTTTTTCTATCAGGGGTCATCTAGTAAATATTTTAGGCTTTGAGGATCACACAGTCTTTGTTGCCACAAATCAACTCTGTCTTTGGAGCAGGAAAGCAGCCATCAACAATATGTACATGAATGGGTGTAGCTGTGTTCCACTAAAACTTTATTTATAAAAACAAGTTGTGGCTAGATTTGGGCCAAGGGCCATAGTTTGAGGAGCCCTCATTTAGAGGATGGGAAAAGACATCAAGGCCATCTGAAGAGGAACAAAGGAGCCACAGGGGAGGGGAATGAGAAGAAGACAGGACCACTGTGCACTGAGCACCTCTTCAGGCCAGGGCCCTGTGAGATGTTTTTGCATCTTCATCTCATATGTTTCTCATTGGCTGTGCCATTTATATAGATGAGCGATAACAGAGAATTATCCAACTACAAAGGTACGTGGGGTCCAGGTTCAAGTCTGGCTGTGTCTTCTGCCTAAGGGACAATAGGACAGTGCACAGAAGTCAGGGTGGAGAGAGACTTAAAAAGGAAAGCTTACATCGAGTGCTGCAGAAGAGCAGAGAGGAGCAGGAGGATGAGATTCTTCTCATTGGAGGAGACAGAACAAAACAAGTTTTCTCCTTCCACCTAATCCCACCTCCCCAGGTCTTTCCATGGACCTCTGCAGTTCTGGATCATCTGCAACCTGGGCACTTGCAGGACCCCTGGGCAGTGGAACTGGATTTCTTGAGTCCCTTCCATCAGCACTTCTCCTTTGGGACTATTTTCATTTTTAGGAACTCCCCTTTCCTCTTTCCTTGCCTCAATTGAGAATCTCATGTTAGGATTACCAAAGCCTACATTCCTTTGCCCTTTTAGAAATCTGCCGTTTTTCAACTCCTAAGAATCTCGCCAGAAAAGACCCCTGTGGATGGCTCAGAGGTAAGGCACTATTAGCCAGGAACATCCATGCTGGGCTAATCCCTGGGGGAGCCTGAGCCACTGGCTCAGATGACGATGTCCTCAGACTTCGGGGACATCAAGCATCCAGGGCAAATATGGGGAGGGGAGCCACCAGCCTGCAGGCAGACACAAGGGCACTGAACACCACCCAAGTCAGCACTTCTTGTGTCACAGGCCCACCCAATGCCACTGCCACCCTCGGAGCCCCTACTGATGGGTTGGTCCATGTGAGGGGGCTGCATCCACCTCTTCCCTCAGCCCTGCCTTCCTGCCAGCTCTGTTCCCTCTTCTGACCTCTTTCCCGCCTGCCATTTTGCAACCTTCTGGAGATTTTTATCCAATGTCTGCAGTGCTGCAGATCCCCTCCCCAGCTAGAAGCATCCCAATGGTGGAATTGCAGGCACCCAGAGGGGACATCCCTGTGTGTGAGGGACAGAGGCCCCTCCTGCAACGTCCGAGTCACACCGGTCACTCCAGTCAAAACTCTCTTGTGCCACCGGCCAGAGTAGGTCATGTTGGCCCACGGCTGATTCAGGCAAGGCTGCTGCAGCCATCTCAGAAGCCAAGTCCATTGACCTTGACCTAGGAGCAAATCTCAGAGTAAAGCTCTCTTTTCTACAAAGTCAGGATGAGAAAAGGGAGGAAGATCCCCTTTGGCCTGGCAGGCTCCTCATAGTGGAGATCGGCTGGGTCAATGTCCCCACAGAGGGCTGAGGGGCCCAGCCCCCACCCAGGAAGCTGCAGTAGCCCCTGGGAAAGGGCTGGGCAGTGGCCTTAGGTGTGGAGACCACACACTTCAGGGGCTGGGGACATTTATGAACTGGAATCAATGAGATTAACTTCAGGGAATGAGGGAGACAGAGGGCGGCTCCTGACCCAGGTGAGTGAGGCAGGTGAGTTGGTGGCAGCTTTGTCCTTAGTAAAGCCAGGGACAGTTATGGGAGGGGAGCCTGCTGAATGCTCAGCACCGGGCCAGGTGCCCCCGCATCTGAAGGGAAGCTAACACATTCTGTTTCCACATCCTAGGCAGGAACTCCCTACTGGGCAGCCAAGGAGCTCTGCACAGCAGCTATACCTATACAGGGAGATGGGGGCTTGGAGGTCATTCTGTCTTGCGCTGAGAGCTGACTCATCAGAGAGGATAACCATTCCCCACAGGGGAGACTGTCGAGGAAGAGAGAACAAGCAGACGTGGGTCATGACTCCAGAAAACCTCCACACTGAGGGCTGCAGACAAGGAGAGCTGTCGTCTGTCTGTCTCCTCAAGAACGGATTTCCAGGCTTCTTTGTTCTCCATGCCAACTGCCCCCAAGCAGGAGCTCAGTGACGGTGTGATGAATGAATGAATGAATTTGAGGGGCCTACAAGTAGCTAGCTACCCTTCAACTTTGGGCAGGCAGCTCCAACTCCCTGACTTTTTGTTTGCTTGTCTATAAAATGCAAAGAATCCCACAGGATATAAGAAAGTGATATGTCGCAGATGAGAAGCTGACTCAGTGAGGGTGTCCTGCCTGCTGGTCACCTTTCCTTCCCGGGCCACACTTTCCTCTGCTGTAAACAGAGGCTATGGGACTCTTTGTTGAGGTCTCTTCCCGATGGGATTTCAGGACTCTAAATGCACAAAGGAATCCACAGAGTGGGTGGGATGCCTGGGCAGTGGGAGGGGACAGAGACCAGGAGGGCAGGAGCTGTACCTCTTTTCCATGAATGCAGTCAGGGTGGTGGGATTCCTGTGTCTCAGCTCAAATCCAAGATAAGAGAAAGCATTCCTCCTTTCCAATCACTGTCATGACTGACAGGTCCTGTAAATCTCCCTCTGCCCAGGTGGAATGCAGACTGTAGACGCAAGGCATTCCCCAACACCCACCGCCCTTCAAAACTGACAAGGCTTTCCCCTGCTAATTGAGTCCCATTGGGCAACGCTTCAGCCCTGAAACCCCTTTTCTTCTGAGAGACGCTGGAGAAAGCAATGTCAATGAGGCAAACATGCAGTGTGGTTAACTGAAATCCGCAAGTTTATTTTATGCAATCTAAAGCTAAAAATGTAGAATTGAGATTCCCCGCATCCTGTAGGTAGATCTTATAACCATTTACAGATGAGTGGATTCAAAATTTCAAGGAAAATGTAAGGTCTGTTGTTTCCAGCCATACAGCCAATAAAGGAGGCAGAACACTCCCTTAAAACGTGAACTATAAAAGACAAACAAATAATTCCCTAAGAGTTAGACTATAATATTTACACATGAGGGGCAGGCCTGAGGTGTGTGCAAACTTCACTTTCCAGAAAGTCAGGGCTCCCTCGCCCACACAGCTCTGCCGTCCTTCTCTCTAAGGACAGGATGCACAGGGGAGATGCAGGTGACTTCCCTGAGGAGCCCAGGACACAGGGTCCCAGGGAAAGTGAGTGGCAGGATCTGGGGAGACGGTGTACCATGCACAGGCATGATGGGGCCAATATCAGTTGCAAGTTCACCACGGACATGGATGCGTTGGGCTGCCCTGGCCTAGTGACATGAAATACAGCAGAAATGTCACAGACAAGGGCCTGAGGCTCATGTTGACCATCGGCCCGACTGCAGTGTCCCAGCCTAGCACTTGTAAGTTCATGGCTTTAGGCTTTGTCTTTTTTTTTTTTTTTTAATGGAGTCTTGCTTTGTTGCCCAGGCTAAAGTGCAACGGCACGATCTTGGCTCACTGCAACCTCAGCCTCCCAGGTTCAAGCAACTCTCCTGCCTCAGTCTCCTGAGTAGCTGGAATTACAGGCACCTGCCACCTCGCCCAGCTAATTCTTTGTAATTTTTTTTAGTAGAGACGGGGTTTCACTATGTTGGCCAGGCTGGTCTCCAACTCCTGACCTCAAGTGATCCGCCCGCCTCGGCCTCCCAAAGTGCCGGGATTACAGGCGTGAGCCACTGAGCCCAGCCAGACTTGGTGTTTATCTAGGTATCATCTTCCTAATATACGTTCAGTTGGAACAGCCTTCCATCAATATTAGTTTAAAAAAAAAAAAACCCTGCATAATTAACCCTTTCATAAGCATCTTCTAAATTCCAATTGGCCTCACCTCTGGGAAGTGAATGTGTGGCCAGGCTGTCCGCAAGCCCTCACTGTGGCCCTGGCAAGCACCTCCTCTTTATTTGGTGCCATTTCTGAGAGACTGAGGGTATTTTGCTGCCAGTGATACCCAGAGCTCCACTATACCAGGTCATCTTCCTTTTTTTTTTTTTTTTTTTTTACCAGCTTTGCTTGTTACAGCACAGGTCATACATTCTAGGAACAGTCTGCAGCTGAAAGCCATCTCTGAAATTCTCTCCCTGAGCCTGACCTGGTACACAGGAGGACACCACAGCCAGGACAGGACCTGCTCAGGCTCTCCAGTGGTAGACACGAAACAGCTGCATCCCAGGGTCAAGGGCCCGAGGGCCCATGCTTGCCCCGGGTGGGAGAAAACATGACGAGCCTGTGGCAGTGAGAAGGAGGCCACACACAGGTCGGGGCATGTTCTGCTCTGGGGTTGAGTCAGAAGTGCAGAACCCCAGGGCCCAGACGTGGAATCTGTGGTAGAAATGGATCCCCCTGGGGGCCTTTCAAGCAGCCTGCCCCATGGGGGTGAACCCTCTGGCAGGAGCTGAGCAGGATCAGGAGATGGCCAAGGGGAGGCAGTGCCCACAGCCAAGGAGCCACAGGGGAGAAAGATAAGGGAGACTGTATTCATTTCCTGTCACTCCTGCAACAATGACCTCAGACAAAGTGGCTTAAAACAATGCTCATGTATTACCCGGTGGTTCTGGGGTTCAGAAGCCTGGAATGGGCCTCAATGGGATAAAGCAAATGTGCTGGCTGGGCTGGTTCCCTCTGGAGGCTCTGGGGGAGAATCTATTTCTTTGCCTTGTCCAGCTTCCAGAAGCCACTTGTGTTCCCTGGTCCGTGGCGCCTTCCTCCATCTTCAAAGCCGGCTACAGTGGCCAAGACCTTCTCACCTGCCTCTCCTTGGTCGCTGTTCCATTATAAGAACACTGGGGATTACATCAGGCCCACCCAGATAGTCTGGGGTAGTCTTCCTATTAAAAAGTCAGCTGTCTCAGCACTTTGGGAGGCTGAGGCGGATGGGTCATGAGGTCAGGAGATCGAGACCATCCTGGCCAACACGGTGAAACCCCTCTCTACTAAAATTTAAAAAATTAGCCGGGCGTGGTGGCGGGCGCTTGTAGTCCCAGCTACTCGAGAGGCTGAGGCAGGGGAATCGTTTGAACCCGAGAGGTGGAGATCACAATGAGCCGAGATTGCGCCACTGCACTCCAGCCTGGGCAACAGAGAAAGACTCCCTCTCAAAAAAAAAAAAAAAAAAAAAAAAAAGTCAGCTGATTGACACCCTTAGTTCCACTGCCTGCTTGGTTCCCTCTGCCATGTAACCTCCCATACACAGGTTCCCAGGATTAGATGCAAACCTCTCTCACACCACAGGGAGCCCCTGAGGACATAAAAAATCAGCCTTAGGGGAGAACTTCAGCTGAGACATCTGCCGGGACCAAAGAGCACAAACCATCTACAACTGAACCATCAAGCAAGAACCTCCACCCCACCTAGGAGAGGAGAGCCAGCCCAGAGGCAGCCATGCCAGGGCCAGCAGGGGACAGGAAGAGACTGGAGGTGAAGGTCAATTTAGAGTTGTGACTTTTAGGTGGACAGTTTTGTTTTTGTTTTTCCTTTACAGAATGGAGACCATGAATTCAAAGTGAACGTAGGATGTTAAATCATTTCAATGAGAGCAGAGAAGTCAGGAGGAAGGCCCGGGCCAAGAGAAAAACCTAGCCCACTGGTTGAGGACGCAGTAGAGGAGATGAAGTGTCTTCTGTGGTTATGTCGTGGCTACATCTCCGTGCAGATCGTCCTCTCTGCTCCATCTCCCTTTCCTCCAACTGTTCAGGACACCATTTCCAGGCCTGCACCACCCCAGCTCTCTTCTTATTTGAGATACTGATATATGCCTGTGGCCCTTCTGAAAGGTAAGGTCAAAAGGCAGCGGTGAACTGCAGATGCGGGTGGGGGAGCCACAGCCCCAAATCACACTGCCTGGATTCCAAAGCAGCCACAGCACATGGCTGCTTTCCATGAAAAACGTTCCATGCCATTCTCCTTCTTCTTAATTCCAAATGGAAATAATTTGCCTTATCCATGAAAGTCTTCAAAAAGACAAGCAAATCTGATATTTAAATAAATCCCTGCAAAGATGTTTTTCTCAGTGTTTTTTATATGAGTAAAAAACAGCCTCATCCATCACGTCCTGTGATACATTCAAACCATTAAAATAAGCTTATGTGGAGAGATTATGACACATAAAAGTTCAAGTGACTAAACAATGGGTGTAAAAGTAGTCTAAAAACCATGCACCAACATGCTTTGAATGCCTCAATAAGTCAAAACAAACATCTATTCAGTGGCCACCTTTGGGTGGCGGAATTATATATTATTTTCTCTTTTTCCCTTTTCTATATTTCCGAGTTATTATCAATAAATGGGTATTGCTCTTTAATCAGCAAGATAAATATATTTTCTATTTTAAACACTTACACATTCCAGCAACTGTATTTTGGGGATCTGAAAGAAGGAGTAAGGAAGAGAAGGGGGAGAGGAAGGGAGGGAGGGAGGAAGGGAGAGAAGAAAGCCACTTCTGCAATCTCAGTGCTTTGGGAGGTCAAAGCAGGAAGATTGATTGAGCCCAGGAGTTCAAGACCGGCTTGGGCAACATAGTAAGACCCTGGCTCTACAAAAAGTTTAAAAATTAGCCTGGCATGGTGGTGCCTGCCTGTGGTCCCAGCTATTCAGGAGGCTGAGGAGAGAGGATCACTTGAGCCTGGGTGGTTGAGGCTGCAGTAAGCCATGATGGTGCCACTGCACACCAACCTGTAGAACAGAGCAAGAGCAACACCTTGTCTTGTCTAAAAAAAAAAGAAGAAGAAGAAGAAGAGGGAGAGAGGGATGGAGGGAGGGAGGGAGGAGAGGCCCAGTCCTTGCCCTCAGGGAATCTGCAAGTGGCAACAGGAGTGGACAGGTACATAGCTAGTTGCATTGCACCTGACACGAGTGAGCTCTAAAGGGCTACACAATTGCTTTCTGAGTGTGAAGAATACTTTTACCCAGGTAGAATATCCCATAACTCCCCGGCTCATGGAAATGCACCATGGCATGGGACCTGAGTGGACCGCCTCTTGCCAGTTGCGCTTGCCCCCCAGCAGCGTCTGGGCTGCTTGATTTCCCCTGTGTGCATTTCTGTCAGGAGAACACAGGTCATATTTTGGAGTATGCAATCATTTGGATTCACGCCAATTCAAAATGCTCCACCTCAAATCCCCGTTCTGGGGCCCTCTCCACTTGAGAACAAGACATTCTTTTATCCTGGACTCACGACCAGGAGTCCCCCAGCGGAGCATCCTCATCACAGCAATTCCGTGGGCAGGGACAGGGTCCTTTCTGCAGGCACAGCGTCCACCACTGCCCTGTCTCCTGAGTCCCTGCGGGGCCCAGTGAAGAAGGAGTGTGTGCGATGTCTGCAGAGCCACGACAGACCCCGCCTGCGGCGGCAGGAGAAACCCTTTATTGGTAAAAGCAATACAACCCTTATCAAGTTTCGGCTGCTTCCTCCCATGGGAGGGAGGGCAGGGAGAAGCACCAGCTCCTGAGAAATTGGGTGCCTCCTCCACATCCTTCCCACCCCTCCCCACCCCCAACCACCATTTCAGGGCCCTCCCAGCACACACATCGCCCTGGAAACCAGAATAATTCCCCTAACAGCACACTATTCCCACGGCATTCAGGAACTCTCGGTGGAGATGTGTCGGGGACAATTGTGATTGTTTTTACAGATGAGGAAACTAGAAGAGAAAGAGCAAGTGTGTTTGCTGCAGTAAAGAGTCTCCATAATAAGCTGAGTTGCCACCGTGCCTCCTTTTAAACGAGCCTGGAAAAGTAAGAAATCAAATTCTCAGGACAGAGAAGTCAGGGGCTTATGGATCATTTCACCAAAGGAGTCAGCAGTGGCTCCATCTCAGTGGAGCTCTACCCTGATGCTCCTGAAAGGACCAAGCTCAGCCTCCAAGGGAGGGTGGGAGGGGACACACTCCCAGCCCCTGGCCCTCCCATCCTGCAGAACAGGCCAGATAGGGAAGCGGGAGGACGCAGCACACAGCTCCCGAAATTCAGGTCCCACACAAGCCAGCAGGCCGAGGCCAGGGACAGAGGCAGGGCCCGGGAGTCCCAGATCAACACACAACAGCCCTGATTCCAGAAGACTGGCAATGAGAGAGAAACAAAATGCCACCAGATACGTTTGCATTTATTCTAAGTGCAATTTGCAGACTTAGCTTTACCACCATAAAACCCCAAAAACAGGGTGGCATATTCTGGGCAAGCTCTGTAATTTTTTCTCCTGCAACCTCCCTGGTGACCCACAGGAAGCCATCCTTGCCCAGCAGGGTGTGGCCTGTCTCCTCTGTACCCACCCCCGTCCCCAGGGAGGCCCCCTCCCTGCTATCGTCACCAGTTACACTGAGACCCCCAGACCATTGACTCTGTGAATCCTATTCCAGAATCTTCCATCTGAGTTCTCCCTGCTTTCTGCCTTCATCCCAGACACCCACACCTGAAATCTGTCTTTGCCACACACTTCTGGGCAGAGCCTGCAGTGAGCTGGCACCGCACTGGCCTGCCCTGGCTCTGACCCAGCCCCCGCACTGTCCCGCCCTCTGCCCTGACTTCCAGCTCTGCCTGCCACCCTGTGACTGCCAGTTCCTGGTGAGAACGCCCCAGCCGCCTGGGACCCCATCCAAGCACTGACAAGCCCCACATACCCAGAAAAGGCTGATGGGATGGCTGACTTTCCCCTTCTCCACTTCCTGTCTGGAAATGGCTTCCCATTTAAGCCTGGAGGGAATGGAGGAGCTTCCATGCAGGCTGAGGAAGGCAGGTGGGCTGGGGGCTGCTGTGGGGCTGGGGTCTCAGGACGGTCATCAGATAGGCCCCAGGCTCACATCTCAGGACTCCTGTCCACCCAGGATGCACAAGTCCCACCTCCTCTTAATCCCCACTGGCATTTGGGACCGGGTCCTGCTTTCGCAAGCAGCTTGGCTTTGCCATCAGTTATTTAAAAGTGGACATTCCAGGTCAAACTTAAAGAGCCAAAAATGCTGTCCTCACATGCACACACAGATACACACATGCACACACATGGACACATGCTCACACATACACACACACACACACATACACAGATGAGGTGTGACAGTGGAGTGCTACATCCACCGAGTCAGGTGTGTTTCAGCCCCTTCCCAATCACCACTATCCTGTCATTCTGGGGGCACAGTGATAAGAAGCGTGTTGTGGTGAGAAGGACAGAGGCAAAGCGGGGTAGATGTGCCCTGGCCACACCTCCAGGGACAGAGGGTGCTGTGTCTTTATCAACAGATCACGACCAGCTCTGCTGGGAGCCAGTTTCTGTGCAGGCTGGGGTCCACTTATGAGCAGGAGGGGTCTGCCCTGTCCTCGTGGCCCCTCCAGGCTCACTGGAGAGGCAGTGACCAAACCCACTACCTGCTATGAAAAAAAGATGGGAGCCAAGTGGTGGAAAACCCAGGGGCATGGAAGCCCCATCTGGAGGGACTGCTCAGCCTCCACTAAGGAATGAAGCGGAGAAGAGGGCTCCTGCTCATTGGAGGGAGAGCTGAGGCAGACAGACCACCAGTCTCGTGAGCACAGATCCCAGGGCAGGAAACAGCTGGATGTGGTCAATAATAAAGAGAAAGTCAGCAGGTTCAAAACAGAAAGAGTGAGAAGAGGGGCCTGTGGGATGTTCAGATAAGGGGGCAGGGGCCCAAAGTTACAGGATTTAGCAAGGAGTTGGGATTTTATTCTTAATGCAATGCTGATATTTTGGAGGGCTTTGGGGAGTGGGGGTAGATAATGGGTTTTGTTGCAAAACGTCACCTGGCTGTCATGAGGGGACAGGATATAGTAGAACGGGGATCCCGGGCACATGGAGAAAGATGGAAAGGCATAAGGTCCATCTGGGCGTGGATGCAGTGTGTGAGGAACAGAGGGGACCATGGTTTGTTCTAAGGCCTCTGGCTGGAGCCACTGAGTGGATGGTAGGCTGAGGAAGACTGCAGGGCAACGTGGGCAGGGAGGCCAAAGCAAATGCCCCACTGCCCTGGGACTCGCCCAGAACATAGGAAGAGGAGGATAACACCAAGGCCATTTGCACACAGGAAATTCCAGCACCAGGGGCTCAGTCCGTGATAACTCAGCATGAGCAAGGGAGGCGGGGGTGCGGTTGGTAGGAGGCTGGCCACCCTCGTCCCCATGGATGTCTGGGTGGAGACTCCAGCGGGAGGCTAGGGCTGGCAGAGGATCTCTCATTCAGAGGGCAGGAGGCCAGGGCTGGCCAGATGCATCTCCTTGGCAGAGACTGCTGCAGGTGAGGACACCCACGGACTTTCTCCTGTCCTGAGGGCTCAAGGTTGGGATCATAATTGACTTAGATTTTGGAGGAGACAGCTCATATCAAGCATTTCAAATACTAAAAGCAAGTATGCAATTTGTTTCCAGAGAATCTTTTACTAGGGGCAGGAACATAGGGCGCAAAGGTATAACTTCCAGAATACCAGAAAAGAGGATCTACCATGTCAAAAATTAACCACTAATAAAAACACACATGCAAGCACAAAACCAGCATTTAATATCTTACCAGAAAGGTTAGACAAAGAGGATTCATTCAAGGAAGAGAAGGGCACTTGGTTCAAAAACTCTTTTCTGGAACTAGGTTTCCTGCAGCCAAGGTAGGCAGGCTTCTGGTGTCTTCATCTTACAAGGCACAGAGAGGCAGCTGAAGGAGGGGAGACACCCTGGACTGTCCACCACTCTGACACTCTGACATTCCAGCGGGAATGTACCAGAACAGTTCATCAGCCAGCATTTGCTACAACAGGGTAGTGCCAGGGCAGTGACTGGGCTACACCAGCCATTTGACTATTGCCATGGGACCAGCCTCATTCAAAGGGTGATAGTGGGGTCCTTCCAGTCACACATGCTTGCTGCTACATGAGGGTCAGATACAGAAGGTCTTTTAATCCTGGTAGAGGAGAAAGGCTTAAAATACAAAAGTCAAGTTGAGGCAAAATAATGGCAAAATACATGAATATTATTAATCTATTATAATAGCTATTAAATAGTGGATTCCTTCTATGTGCCAGGTTTCATGCTACTAAGTTTACGGAATTTTCTCACTTAATCCTTACAGCAATCCAAAAAAAAAGTAGATACTATGGTCTCCACTTTACAGAGAGCTTAGAGAGTTTGGCCATCACCCTATGTAGAGAAAGAACTGGGGTTGAAACACTTGCTCTTACAGACTCCCTAAACCCCATGCTCTTCACCACCTGGAGGCCACAGCAGCGAGTTACCAGGCCCCGTCCACTGCACAGGAAATGACAGCGGATTCTCACGGGGAGGAAGGTCAGAGAGAGCTTGCCTGTTGGGTCTCAAACTGGGAAGGATTCACAGTTAGGAAGAAAGATTTGGAAAGTGAAGAGGGGCACACAGTGTTTATGTGACACTGGTTTGCCTCTTTCTCCCTAATTTAGACAAGAAGAATGTTTTGGAGATAGACACTCTGAGAGTTAAATCCCAGCTCTGCCAGTTACTGGCAAGCATGGCCTCAGGGAGGTAGGGTCCCCTCTGCACCTAGGCTCAGCTGCAAGACTGAGGCAGGTGATTGGCCCCGCCCACCTCTCAGGTTACATTAAGCCCCCAGCACATTGTCCCAGAGCCTTGCACATCTTAGAGGGGGCAGCATGGTTCCTCCTATGACAAGCACCAGCCCAAGCCCCAGGATTTATGAAGTTGCTTTGTTTCGTTTTTGAAGCAGGGCCAACGCAGTGTTATAGGTTCTTGCTTCCCAGGATTGGGCAGATGCGAGTGTCTCTGTAGTGACTTTCTTTTTCTCAAGTCCACGGAGACAAAAGTAAAATTCACTTTCAGAAAAGATCTGTGCCCTCTTTTATTTTCAGTCAATACCAGTAAATCAAAACCATATCATAATATCACCAAAACTCACAGAGTCTTTCACCCACTTATTTCTCTGGCACTGATATTTTCTCGCCATGTGTTCACAAAACTTTCCCGAGACTGCACCATCTGCAGGTTTCTGGGGTCTCTGTGTGGAGCTGGTTCTGTACGCGTGAAGAGCCACGGGTTCTGGATTAGAATCTTCTCCCAAATGAGGCAGGAAAATAGGGTCTGGAGGCAGGGAACGCAAAGCCGATTCACGCTGACTTCCTAGAACTAAATCAAACGGAAACTCATCAGCTATGACAGGAAATATCTTCTCCATTTGCATACAGCGTACACCAAGTCAATGATTTTGTAACTTTATTTCATCCTCTTCATTTACATAGGGTGTACACCAAGTAACCAATGGAAACCTCTAGAGGGTATTTAAACCCCCAAAAATTCTGTAACAGGGCTCTTGAGCCCCTGCGTTCGGGCCTGCTCCCACCCTGTGGAGCGTACTTTCATTTTCAACAAATCTCTGCCTTTGCTTCTTCATTCTGTCCTTGCTTTGTTTGTGCATTTTGTCCAAATCTTTGTTCAAAACGCCAAGAACCTGGACACCCTCCATCAGTAATCCAACAGTGGGAGCCCTGCTTAGCCCACCTCATCCCAGTCCTCGCCCTGCAGAGTAGGCTTGGGGGGACTGGGCAAGCATCAGGAGCAGGGTGTGCTGCGGTGCCCCCACCTTAGGACTGCTCCCAGAGGTTGGACAACAGGAGTTGCAGCTCAAAGGACTCTGCTTTCTGAGCTATGAACACAACATAACTGAATTTCTAACTCGCTGGTATCCCACAATGACCCAGGTGGTTTAAAAATTCCTGACTCCCAAATCCCAGGCACTCATGGGGCTCAAAAGTGGAGTTCTGGGAACAAATCTGGAAGCCCCCAAGCCTGTGATTCCTCTGAGCAGTGTCATCCTGCGGGAGTTACAAAGCTTTCTTAGCACCAGAGGAAAGGGGAAGAGAGAGGCAAGATGGCGGAGAGAGAAAGGGAGAGAGAGAGCTGGTGTGGATCTCTCCTTCTGACTCCTCCCTCTGAGCCCGTTTCCCAGTGACACTGGCCCAGGAACCAGGAGACGGGTTTTAATCTCGACCCTGATGCCGGTTGGCTGTGCTCCCTGCCGTCTGGCTGTGGGCCCAGCATCTGTAGCCAGGTGCAGGACAGGCAAGGTCCCAGGGGAGGGAACATCCAGCATGAACCTCCAGGAAGTGGACAGCACAGACTGGCCAGCCTCTCTCCCACCCTGGCTCCCTTGCAGCAGCCTGAGCAGCAGTGATCCGAGTCCAGCATGAGGAGAGACTGGAACTTGCATTTTATTTCTATGACTAAGCAGTTTTTGGTTTTACAAAAGAGTGACCTCAGATGGCAAGCAGAAGGACGTGGAGGTGCATCAGCTACTGGCTGTGGGATAGGGCGAGGTTGACAGGTGTGTTGGCAGCAGCCAACTGGGCATCTTACACCTGAGGCCGGGGACAGTTAATCATCTCTCCCTGGGTCACACAGTTCCATAGGAGTGGAGGCACAGAAGGGATGCAACGAGCAGGTCCCGACCTCCAAGCTGAGCCCCCACCTCCACTTCACTCTGCCTCCAGAAGCATGCTTCACGGTGGCCTTTTGTCCACACAGCAGAGCACAAGTTCCCATACAGGCAGCATCTCTCAGACCCAGAGTCCTGGCTGGCACTTCTTAGTCCCCTCAGCTCAGGGCACAGTGGAGAAAGGAGCTGAAGGTGAAACAAGGTCTTTGCATAAAATAACTCTAGAACCTTTTAGAAATGTTAACGCCACTAAGTTTTCTCACTATATAGATGTCCCCAGGGGTCAAAGTTCCCATAGGAACATACACATGAGATCTTCACAAGTCCCAGAAAGCTCAGGAAGGAGCCAGTTACTAAGGCCTCCACTACATGGGATCAAACACCAACAAATGCATTGGAAATGGCTTTTGTTTTCAATACATATATTAAATAATCTTCCCAATGATTGTTTTTAGATTTTTTTTTTTTTTTTGGTTTTGGGATGAGAGATTAGTTACCAGGTTTCCACTTTGCCTATCCAGCCCTCAAGATGTCCTGGTATCCTGCTTCCTAAGGAAATATACCAGCAGTAACAAACATTTCTCAACACCTTTTAGAAGCTGGATTGAAAATATTGTGTGTGCAACATACCAGCACCATTTGCAATACCAGGCACACTACATGAACAGAATTGCAACTCTCTTGACACAAAGCACATTGCTAAGGATATCTTTTTAATGGAAAGGGATTAGATGAAATAGAGTTGTGAAGGTCAAGAATTTCCTAAGTGAGAGAGAGCTGAATGCAATTTCATGAATATTATTGGCTGGTGCAAAAGTAATTGCGATTTCTACCATTAAAAGCAATGACAGAAACCGTAATAACTTTTGTACCAACCTATACTTTTTAAAATTCATTAAGCCATTCTTGAGATGCAGGTAGGGGTGCTGGATAAAATATAGGACATCCAGTTAAATTTGAATTCTAGATCAGCAGTAACAAAAAAAAATTAGTATATTTCATGCAATATTTGGGATATGCTTACCCTAAAAAATGTTGGTCAATGGTTATCTGAAATTCAAATTTACCCAGATGTCTTGTGTATTTATTTGCTAAATCTGGGAACACTAGATGGCGGTTCTGGCAATCGCATCTGAAGTAATCTTGTTTACCTTCATGCAGTCATTTTTCACTTCTTTTTAGGAATGGCCAATCATTCTGCAGTTCACACTGCTGCCTCGTACGTATTATGGCTCTTAATTAAATGCTTTTGGTGTTTAGCATTTCTAGTTCATGACAACACTTTCCCTGCAACTGCTTCATTATCTCTATATTCATTGAGATCAAGTTCTGCAAATAATTTTTAAACTGTTATTTATCCTGTTATTACTTGTTTTTTGGTTTGTAGAAGCTTTTTGTCCAATTTGTCTATAAGGTTTGCAGGCTGTTACATTTTGAAGAAGAAAATGTGAATATGATTAAAGTCTCACTTATGTTTTAAAGCTGTTTCACATTGCTTTGTTATCCATATGTGGAAGCTGAGTTTCTTAAATATCAAGCACAAGGTAACTGGCCTGACTGTTAATTGCTTGGTTGCCTGTAACAGAATCCCAGAGAGACTAAAGGGGGGATTGTTGGGCTGGCAGAGGAGCTCAATGGCAGGAAGTGCAGAGGGGGCCTCTGGAGGGACTTCCCAGATTCCCCTCTCCTGTGCTGGCTCCCTCTTCCCTCCCACCATCACCTCTCATCACTCACCCTCTACGACCCTGTGGAATGACCTCACTGGCAGTCCAGTGATCTCCCCTCAATGAACTCACAGCTTCCCCTGGTCCACATTTACGTCACTTCTCCATCTAAACACCCAATAAAGACCAATGAGATTCATCGGGTCTTGGGTACAAATTGTGGGATAGAGATTCCGATGGGCCCCATCACTCCTGGCTCAGCCCTTTAGGTCCAGGCAGAGTGGGCTGTCTGGGCAGCAGGTGCCATGTGATGGATAATTCACTTGTGTGTTGACAGCAGAAGTCTTGGATACGTTCTACCCAATCCAAGGATCATTATAATAAAGTTGGGAGGAAGGCATCCAGCTTCATGTATCTGAATCACCTAATCATCCAGTGGAATCCCTGGCAAATAGATTCTGGACCAAGGTGTGCTTTGGGGTATCAGGGGTGATTGTACCCTGCAGCCATCGCTCAGAATCTTGGCTCAGAGGAATTCGTCTTGTTTATACATGCCACCCACTTCTGGAAATAAAAGTAAACATTACCAACTCAGTTCAGGATCCCTAAACCATTACTAATTAGTAAGTGGGTTGCAGTTACCGTGCAAATAGTGGAGATCGTCAACTGGGGCCTATTAATAGGAAATTCATAACGTTGCTAATGAAACTATATTTAAGTGTGTGTCTATGAAGGACATGTTTTCTGAAGATTATATACAGACAGGCAGAGCCTGCTGCAGTGAATTCCACACCCTCAGGGACCCATCTACAGTAATTGGGTGTTTCCCTTGGCCATTACATATATCATCTCCCCACCCTGGCCTTCTCCCCTTTTTCCGTGTTTGTTGATTTTGATCTGTAGTTAATACCCATCAAGACAAAGTAGAAAATAGCCACAAGCAAAAAGAAAAAATGTATATTTCCCTACCACCCACAGATAAAACATAACCACAGTTGAAAAAGTGGGATGACTCTGTATCTACAGTTCCTTTATGTGAGACATATCCCAAGCATCTTGCCGTGCCCATAAAAATGTTTTAATGGCCACAGAGTGTTCCATGGCAAGGGTGCGTCCTGATGTTTTCACTAGCTCCTTGTGTTTGGTATTTTGGATGTTCCATTTTTTTCACTGCCGCAGTCAATGCTGTAATATGCATTGCTGAAGCTAAACTTTTGCATAAATACATTTAAATAGTTTACAGTTGTGGTTTTGATTTCATCTTTGACCCAGCAGTTATTTAGAAACGTTTTGTTTTGCTTTGTTTTAATTTTCCAATGCCTGCAGTTTCCTGTTTATATCTTCATTATTTAACTCTAGTTTTATTGCACTGTGGTCAAAGAATGTGGATGGTACTATTTCTGCTCTTAGAAATTTATTGAATTTTTAAAAATAGTTAAATATACAGTCAATTTTTGTAACTATCCCATGGGAACGTAAGAAGATGCTGGAGTCTTCCTTTGTAGACCATACCAGTCGACTCTTAGCTCTCAATTCAAGCTTATTAATCATATTCTTAAAATCCTTGCTCTCCTAACTTATTTTTCCATTTTAAGTAATTTCTTAAAAGCCAAGAAATTATCTGCCACGACTACTTATTTCTGGCAAATCTCTTTTTATCAATGTCAATTCAGAGTGCTTTGCTGTTGTTTTTATTTGGTTTTAGCTTTAAAGTCCAAGGCAGATCACTTCTATGGTCTGATTGAATAGCTTTCTTCCTTTGTTAGATATTTTTCTTTAGGAACAGAAATTATAAGTACCTTGAAACCATTATGTCTCATCAATAGCTATTATATTTTTCCTAATATTCTTCATTTCTTTACCATTTCACTTTAACTTAGAAGAGCTTTTACAGATTGACTGATTCAACTTTTTGAAGTTTGATTGACTTTGACTTTTTCTAATCCCGTTTTAAATTCTGTTTGTTACAGACTTATTTTTCTCTTCCCAATTTTCCATAAGTCTCCCACTTCCTTTTTCATCCCTGTCTTATAGTTCATCTCTTACTGCACAGAATCTATAAAAGGGGAAGAAGATGATGTCAAAGTTTTCCTCCTGTTTCCAGTAGTAAATGTGTTTAAATCTGTTTTCTCCTGTTGGCTGTGATATAAGTTAATCTCCTTCTTTAATGTTGCAGAATCTTGTCATGGATAAGCGTGTTGGCTTGGGTCAGTCACAGGATACAGTCTAACCAAAAACAGCGTGAGACACTCTGAGGGTCCTCTTCTTTCCGGGTACATTTGCTGTTTCCTGCCCCTTACCCCTGCTCCAGACTTCCAGCTGGAGGCCGGTCGGGTCTCAGCAGCCCAATGGCGAGCAGAACTTTGTCAGCCCCTTGGTCAGAAGCTCTCTGCCGATGCCTTCTCCGGCAAGTGAAACCCTCACACCAACCCCTCCTTGTCCACGTCTGGCTGTCCGTCTAGCCAGGCCACCACTCTAGTGCCTGGGAGACTTTAGCTAGCCCTCTTTCTGGCACCACGCTCTCCAAATTGAGGGAGTGCCTCTTCCCACCCAGAAGGAAACTGTGGGTCACAAAAGTGCTCAGGGAAGTCGCCTGCTGCTGCTGGGGCCAGGAGAAGCTCCCTAGAGATAAACTCCACATCAAGAAGTCTTTGGGCTGCCCCCCTGCCCAACTTGGCCTTCTCTGGGGGTCACTGCTCTGCCAGGGCAAAGGGATGCCAAGAGGCGTCTTCACTTTGGCCCACTCTCAACTGGAGCTCTGCGTCCCCAGGCTAGAGTCTCAGGAAGTTCCCTGAAACACCCACTTCCAACAGCCACAGCCCTCACGGATCCCTGGGGAAAAATGTGCTGCCTTCTGCGGCCTCAGCTGTGTTGTCCCGTGTGCATTTCATCCAGCAAAAGTTCCTTATCAGGGCCAACTGCGGTGGCTCATGCCTGTAAACCCAAGGCAGGTGGATCACCTGAGGTCAGGAGTTTGAGACCAGCCTGGTCAACGTGGTGAAACTCTATCTCTACTAAAAATCCAAAAATTAGCTGGGCATGGTGGTGGGCGCCTGTAGTCCCAGATACTCAGGAGGCTGAGGCAGCAGAATCATTTGAACTAGGGAGATGGAGGTTGCAGTGAGCCGAGATCGTGCCACTGCACTCCAGCCTGGGCAAAAGAGCAAGACTCCATCTCAAAAAAAAAAAAAAAGTTTCTCTGCAGGCTCGGCCATGGAGGTTGTCCCTGTCAACTCTCAGTGCTAATGACCCCCCTATGCATAGGCCCCCACCTATGTTTGTTTTATTGTCAATCTTTCCATCTGTTTCCAGGAGAGAAAGAGAATCTGGACAGTTCATGGGAATAATAATATAGCTACTAAACCAATAAGGCACTAATTATATGCCAAGCACAGTATTAAGAGTTTAATATTATCAGTCCATTTCATCTTCATGAAGCAGATACTATTAGTAGTATTATTGCCATTTTACAGATGAGGAAACTGAGGTGCAAAGAAGTAAGTGGCTCATGCCCCGTCACACAGCTGCTGAGTGTCTCCAATGATTAAACTCAGTCCAGCTCCAGGGTCTGCATTGAGTGCACCCTAGATGCCTCTCCATGTGCTGCAGAGAACAACCCCAGCTGCAGCGTGATCCCGCATTTAGGTGCCCAGATGTTAGAGAAGGAAGAACATGGGAAATGGTAGGGCAAGCTTCAATTCTGGCTCCGACAAACAATCTCAGAGAAGACCTCGGACCATATGGCGGTTGTAAAATAAACAGGTTGTACAGACAAGAGCCTTTTCTTTTATGTGATCCCCCAAGACCCAGGCCAGGACTGTTGGAGCAGACGCCACCTCTGCAATTATCGGGAGAAGCCCTTGAAATGGCCTTTCCACACGTGCTTCAGAGAAGCAATTGGCAAAATCATCACTACTTCCTTGCATGAGAGACATAGGAAAACGTCTTGACCAGGACTCAGGTTGCCATCAAGCACTCGGGCTTCAAACTCTACCTCTTTCTTTTAGTCATCTGCAGCAAGCTCAATGTGGTGTCTTTTCCATCTCAGGCACAATATAAAACTTAACCTGGCAAATACAAAGCATGTCCCCAGAGTGCTAAGTCACTATCTTATAGCCAGTGCCCCAGAATCACAGAGAGACGAATGGTGATGTCTTTTGGGTGGTGGAAGACACCACAGAGATACTTGAACACTTTTCTTTGATGCCACCTCCCCACTCTGCAGCTGTGTGATCCCACCAAACCTCCCCAGCTCCCCCTGCCCTGCCTGCTCCCCTCCGCACACACACACCCTAAGCTATTGAGAATCTTCTCTGGAAGCCATGGAAAAATCACTACCATTGTTTCATCTAAATGGGACACACTCCCAACTGTTTGTTCTCTAACTACCAAAATGTTAACTTCATTGCCAAGGAATCAAAGTTTTTAAGAGATATTGCCCAATTAATTCTATGACACATAAACAGAGGTGTTTGTGGGGTTTCTACTTTCCTTAATTAAAGATCTCCATGGAGAAATAAACAAATACTCTCCATTCAACAACATTTAGATAAGAGGTTGGGAATGCTTCACCATCTAAGGCACAGAAACTTCTAAGTGTCAGGAGGTATGTGATTAATTTAGGGGATCCCATGGTCTTCCTGGGTGATCTCAAGCAAGTCTCCATGCCTCAATTGACTTTTCCAATCTGTAAAATCTTGCAGGGATATTAAGATCAGTCAAGGAATGTCTGTAAAGTGCTTTGAACTCCTAGAGTTAGACATTAAATAAATACCCAGTGTTATTAGAACTCCACTGGGGCACTAGAATGTTCGAAATGGGACTTTATTATAAATACTCTCTGAAGTTTGCCAAGAATAAATTGAATGGGCAAAGGCAACATACTTGGCTGTAACTTAATCCAAACTTGGCTTATTTGCCAAAACTTGGCATCATGATACATGAATAGGGAGTTCTGGAGAGAACATGAAAGGGTTCTATTATTCTGAGCCAACAGTTTAACCACATTTCCATATCTTCCATTTATTTGTTCCGTTCTTTAAATTGCTGCATTATAGAGGAAAGCAGAAGTACAAAATAAAACTAAAGGACCATAAGCCTGTTTGCATTTTCCTACAGTTAATACGACTGAATGTAAGCTGGTATAAAGACCAGAGAATCAACCCCCACGTCAGTTGACTAAGATAGATAGAAAAAAAGATTCCCTTTTTTAAGTTCACACAGCAAAAACCACAGCAGTACTACACGGCCTTTGCATGACAATAATATTTCTCTGAGTCGATCAGAGAAAGCTATGCCTACAATCAAATTAAGTGTATTTTGAAGTCTAACATCTTATAAAGAAAGCATGATTTTCCTTGCATTGGAAGAAAGTTTAAAATTGCAAATTCAAAACTTTTACATTGCTTTAACATGTGCATTATCATTGGGAATTTTCATAAGGACATGACTTGAGTGAATTATCATGACTAAGAAGCAGGACATTCATTCTGTGTCAGGAAATCAATCAGGAGACATCTCAGGGTGCAGAGAAATTCCCAAGACTTGGACATTAGATTTCTGGAGTCTGATCTCACTTCTGCCATGAACTAACTGTGTGCAAAAGTCAAATCCCCTTCTTGAGCCTCAGTTTCCTGATCTGTAAAATGAGGGCAGAGATACAAATTACTCTCTTCTTCAAACAGCCATGTTTCTCAAAAGCATTACAAGTGAGAATGCAAGCAAAGTAATACATTCCTGGAAGGAAATAGCCCCAAACCAAGGCTTACACCCTCACTCATACCCAAGAATAAACTTGAAATGACATTCTCTAATCAGCCTTGATGTCTAAGTTTTTCCCCATCACCTGCTGACAGAAAAAAGAAAATGACTTCATCTTGACAAAACGCTGGGTATTTTCAGCAGCAAACCTCAGTCCCTGTGTGTCAGAGTTTAAATTCAGCACATATTCTGAATTCTTGCATCCGAATAAATACTTAGAGGTACATGTCCAGATATGTTTCCTAGGAGATTAAATTCTCCTGTGTTGGGAGGCAGGGTTTGCCCAAGAGAGACTTTCACATTCACTGAGTTGCATATTTTCTGTATCTGTAAACGGGGAAAAATTATAACGTTCCAAATGACTACTAAAGTAGTGCACTTGGGTGTTTTTTTTTTAATCTTGAATGCATGCTTTTGGCAAATCAGAAAACCATCTGGATTCTCTAACTAATCTTACGATGGAAAATAAATGCCCACCAACTCAGCCTTGAGGAAAATGTGGGTGTTGGAAGCCATGCATGCAACCAGACCAACTTTGCACAAGTTCACTTTCTTCCAAGCTCCCAGCCCTCGAGCCACAGGAAAGCCGCCGCCACCACAGCCAGACACAGCTTTAATTGGGGTCTGAGCTTCGCTCGTGCTGCGTGGCTCCAAGAAAATCTATTCTTTAAAGTCTGGGGGAGAAACTGCAAACTTGCCCAGTCCTTCAAGAGAAAATAAATGCCAGATATCTGGACCCTTAGGAAGCTACTGACTCCCAGACAGTGAATTGTGGTCATTGGATTCTGGGGGTCTGAGGATGACTACACTCTCCCCAGGAGTCATCCTCCCTCCCTCTAGACAGGAGACGACAAGGCAGAGTCTCACTCACAGTGCATAACAGGTAGAAGAGACCTGGGAGGCCCGGTCTCTTCCCCACTGTGGCAGGATTGGAGAAGCACCCAGTCTCCTGATCTTCCCAAGGGCTCTTTCCAAGCACAACATCACCTAGATCAGAGGACCCCAACCTCTGGACCGAGGACGGGTCCATGGCCTGTTAGGAACTGGACCACACAGCAGGAGGTGAGCTTTACTGCCTGAGCTCAGCCTCCTGTTAGATCCATGGTGGCATTAGATTCTCATAGGAGCACCGACCCTACCGTGACCTTCATACCAGAGGGATGTAGGTTGCATGCTCCTTATGAGAATCTAATGCCTGATGATCTGAGGTGGAACGGTTTCATCCCCAAACCATCCCCCCACCTCCCACACCCTCTGTGGAAAAATGGTCTTCCATGGCACTGATCCCTGGAGCCAAAAAGGCTGGGGACTGCTGACCTAGAGGGCTCTTTAAACACAGAGTCTGTCTGAGAGTTAAATGAGATAATGCACCTAGAACTCTTAGCTCCAGGCCCCAAAGCATGGAGGAATGTTGGCTATTGTTCTTACTAAAGATGTGGATTCCTCTGCCCCTGTGGTGCTGCCCTCCCAAATGCTTCACACCATGGCATCTGCGGGGCCTCCCAGGTACCCTGGTGCAGGTGTGCATGACATGCCCCAGAGCCGGCGATTTGGGAGCCCCACTGGTCAGTGCACTGGCCAGCCTGTGAACAAGAGCTCCTCATCCCCAGCACGGCTGGACAGTAAGTAATCAGAATTCCTTCACCGTGCACTGCGATAACACAATAACCAGTACTAACTATAAAACATGAAGGGAAAACCGATCCTATTTCATACCCCTGTGTGAACTAAGTGTTCCTGAGAGCATCCTGTCTTGCAAATTCCCTCAGCCACCAGAGGAAGTGTCCGGCGTCCACCTCATTGTTCTAGCCATCCTGACATCAGGCTAATCTCAGCGCAGTCGCCTCTCATCCCCTTTTCCACATCCTTGCCCAGAAAGGTCAGTCACCTGCTTGCTTCAGAGTCAAGGTGGGTGCTTTCTAGCCCTGCTCTGAATGTTTTCCATCTTGCAGAAGGTGGTGGGAGGAAGTGGAAGTTATAGCTGACAACCACACACACTCACATGTGCACACCCACTCACACACACACACATGCACAATGCATACCCACTCGCACACACATGCACACCCACACACGTCAACACACATGCACACATGCACACCCACTCACACACACGTGCACACCCACGCACCCCCCCACACATGTACACACTCACACATGTGCACACTCACACACGCACACCCACACACGCAGACGTGCACACCCACTCACACATACACACCCACACACATGCATACCCACATACTCACAAGTGCACACACTCACATGCACACACATGCATGCCCACTCACACACACATGCACACCTCCCCCACCCTCACACTTCCATATTCACATGTACATACCCCCACACACCAACAGTTGTGTACCTGATCAAATGTGTACATATACTGGTATGTATTCACATGTGTACCCACATGTTCACACTTTCATACCCACAAATACACATGCATACACAAACTCACACCTACACACCAAAATACAGAGGCAACCTATAAAAATGCATGCTGACAATATGGGGTTGCTGACCAAATCCCTACACTTGGGCAATCACTATCGGGCCCCTCCCGTCCTCAGGTCACAGGGGAGCTTGTTCAATGGATGCCATCACAATGACAATATTCAGGTTTACTAGACAAGAATCCTCCAGCCTCTTCCTACATTTGCTCAACTTACCCCACAGCTATATGTGGTTGTGCAAGGACCAGCCTTCCACAGCCCTGCCTGGCCTGGCAGAGCAGGCCGGAGAGGAGCCTCCCCTCACTCGCAGGCAGAGCTTGGGTTTTTAGAGTTCCAGCTATACTTGGGGATCTTCCTCGAGCTTCACCCCACTTGGAAGGGTCCACATTCCCTGCTGCTCTCTCTCTGAGCCTTCTTTTTTATTTTGTTAAGATGAAGCTTGGCAGCTCAATGAGCTGAGCACCCTGACTCGTATTACTTCTAGAACACTGACACTTCCATTTCAAAAATGCACATGACAACATTTCCAGCAGCAGGCTTTAGCGTTTCACATGCTTACGAATTCCACTCAGCTGACACCAATAGATTATCAATTTATTCTATGTCAGAAAAGCAAGACTGGTCCTGAAATGGCGCTGTCAGGCTTGGGGCAGATCCTCAGGCCACGCTTGGTGTTTGTGGCCGTGTCTTCTTCCCTGATCTCTTCCCTGATGGCCAGGGCATCCCTCAGCCCCTCCACTTCAGCCAGAGTTGATGCCAGGCACAACCTGCCTCCTATACACACATGTGAGGGCTCCTGTGCCCGTGGGAAAGACCAGCTGGAGCCAAGACCTGTCCTCAGCCCCAAGTGTGACCACCGCCCCAGGCTTCCCCACATCCCCCGCACACTCAGCATGGGCTCATTCAGCAGCTGTCAGAGGTCAGGTTTGGTGCAAAGACAATCAAACCGGAGGAGGGGTCGCTGCAGCAGCTGGCCCCTGGGAGAGTGCTCTGGTGAGATGGGCTCAGGTGCCAGGGGCTCTGAGGGGCTCCCAAGTCCAACAGGGGGTTAGGAAGGGCTTAAAGGATGATATGGGGTTACTGCCCAAATCCCTGTACTTTGGGAAATCACTAATGGGACCTCCTTCCATCCTCAGGTCACCCAGGAGCTATGCGCATGGGAGACGAATCAATGACAGGGGAGCAAAAGCATGAACCCATTTATGCTTTCGTTCTTGTGGAATTAATTATAAAAGCAAACAATAGATGAAAACAGCTGCAGTCATCTACCAGGACTGCAGTAACAAGTACCGCAAACTGGGAGGCTTAAGCATTCATTCTCTCAAAGTTCTGGAGACAAAGATGTTCAAGATCAAGGGAGGGCAGCACTGGTTCCTTGCAGGGCTGGGAGGGATTTTTGTCCCATGCCTCCCCTTGGCTTGCATGTGACTCCTGCCTGCGTCTCTTCATGTCATCCTCTCTCTGTGCCTGTCTCTGCCCCCAAGGTTCCCATTCTCATAAGGACCCCAGCCATTAGATTCTGGGCCTATCCTAGTGACCTCATTTTCCCTTGATTACCTCTGCAAAGACCCCCTCTCCAAATAAGGTCATATCTCAGGGGTTAGGACTCCAGCATAAGAATTGAGAGACACAATTTAAGCCATAACAAAGTCCAATGGCAACGATTACTCAAATCGTGGTTGATTATAAACCATTTCAAAGATGGATAAGAATACCACATAGGAACATGGGGAATGCTTGGGCTGGGATGTGAAATAATAGAAAAAAAGATGCAAGAGAACACAGACAAGTGAAAACCATGACTATTTTTGGGTCAAAACTTCATACATGATCTTTGTCCTTTTTTTTCCAAATGTGATTTGATGTGGCTCGATGACATTTATAATGTGTGTTGCAGCCATTGTCCTGGCAGCCACTAGCCCATGTCCTCTCACCTGTTCTGGGAAGCCAGGATCAGACCCATACAAATGATCCTTTCAGTCATTGAGAGACTGGCCAGGCAAGGAAGTCCAAGCAAAACTCAACCAAGTGTCCGGGGGACACTGCAAATCTCCTCACTGTAGTACAGCAGCTCCATTATCGACAGATTGGCCACAAAGACCACAACCAGGAACTCTACCTCCTACCCACAGACAGGCTGGGACAGCAAAAGTTTCAAGCCTTTCTACACCCTGAGATCTAGGAGTTCTGTCCAGATAATTCCACTGGGTCCGGAAGAGCAAGGACAGATGCTTGCCCTCAGGCCTGGGCACAAGACTGCACTGAAGGGAACAGGAAAGAAGCGAGACCCCCTGGCATCATGGCATCCTGTGCCATGAAGACCCCAGCCCTCCCAGTGGGCCCATTAGCCTGACATGAGGGAGAGTGACTGCTATGTGTCCAGTAGCTCCCTGAGTTGGGCCACTCCTGGCTCCTTAGGAACTCCAGCTGCCTCTCCAGGATGAGGGAGCCCTACATGACTGAGGGACAGTGAGCCTCTCCTGGACTTGATGGCCACATAGCCTGGGGATGAGGACACTGGTGTGACAGATCCACCGGACGTCTTGGGCTCAGAACATGTGGCCAGGCCATGGTGACAGCCAGCACACAGAGAAGTCAGTGACACTGCTCCAAGCCAGGCTCCTTGTGGGTGCAGGGCACCATGCTGGCCGGGAAGGTGGTAAATGCCAACTGGAAGTGGCAGCAGCTGCCTCCGCCTCTCTGGCGGGAAGTTTGGGCTCATCTTTGAAGGCGGATTGCTACTCAACTTTGGTAAAACCAAAATCCTCTCCCAAGATGGGGATGTTAGAGATATTCAAGAACTAAACTATTTGTGTTCAGTAAAGAAAGTCAAAGGCTGCCTTTGTTGCAGGCAGATTCGTAACTCGGAAAAGAATCATGACAGGGAGAGCAGCCAGCCTTGGGGACAAGGAGAACCCTGTTCTCCTTCCAAGCACTTGGGGGTCATGGACTCTGGCAAGGAGGCTGTGGCCAATGGCAGCCCCAGCAGGGAGGGAGGGGGAAGGTCCCTAAAACACAGCTGCAGGGGTGAGCTGAGTACCAGGGGAGCCAGAAGGTTCCACCCTAAGCAAGGCACATCTGGGAGTAGGAGTCCTCAGATCTGGGAGACCTCGCTAAGCTGACTTGCCCACATCATAAGCTCCCCACTGCCCTGGCCTTTAGTCAGGTTGTGTTAGATGTGAAAGCTCTGTCTTTGCTTGGCTTTGAGTCATTAATGGAAATGGTTGTGTCTCTGATGGGGAGAAGCTGGGTTCAGAGGTAGCAGAAATTAGCCTGGAGATGTTCAGAGGGGGTCTGCAAGGGCCCTGAGCCAAGGTTCAGGGGGACTGCTGGCTGCTGTGACCATGACCGCCAGGATGGTCTTGGAACAGGCATCCCTGGGATGACCAGAAGTGTGGTGGGGAATTTGGCCGAAGAACGAACTTCCTGCAGCCACACGGGATGGGGGTGTGGACTGGGATGTGCTTATTAAGAGGCCCCCTGGGGGCTGGGTGAGGTGGCTCACACCTGTAATCCCAGCACTTTGGGAGGCCGAGGCATGCAGATCACGAGGTCAAGAGATCGAGACCATCCTGGCCAACATGGTGAAACCCCGTCTCTACTAAAAATACAAAATTAGCCAGGCATGGTGGCACACTCCTGTAGTCCCAGCTACTTGGGAGGCTGAGGCAGGAGAATCGGTTGAACCCAGGAGGTGGAGGTCTCAGTGAGCCAACATCATGCCACTGCACTCCAGCCTGGCAACAGAGTGGGACTCCGACTCAAAAAATAAAAAAGAGGCCCCTTGGGGCACAGAAGTCAGGAGCTCCAGAGCATGATAAGGTCTTGGTCCTTATCACCTGGACCACCGACCCATGAGAGTTAGTAGCAGCTAGCGATGGAGTGGCTCCAGGTGTCAGGAAATGCCAGGTGATACCGTATAATAACCTAGCCCCACATCTCAGCCTAAACAAGAGGGTGTTTCTCACTTAGACACATGTCCCCAGAGGGACAGCTGGGGCTCTCAGCCACTCCAAGAACCAGGTCGATGGAGCAGCCTCCATCTCAAACTGGGCTCAGGGAAAAGAGGGTCCTGGAGGGCCTTACCTCGGCAAATAAATGCCCCACTCCCAGATGATGCACATCTGCTCACAACTCTGGACTCATCGCGTGGCCCCACCGACCAGATGGACATTAGAGGTACAATCCCAGCAGGCCCCAGAAGGCAGCAGGGGACACCACTAGCTGCCCCTCCAGAGGCCTTCTGCACTCCAGCGAGAAGCTGCCCTGTGGCCTGGTATTTGCAGTCGCAGCTGCTCCCTGCCTGGCCTTCTCCTCGTAGATGGAATATCGGAGAAGTTATCACCAAATCTCCAACCTCCCCTCCAGCTGCCAGCTCCAGCAGAATGACAGGGGCAGTTTCCCCAGGTGGGCAGAGTTTGGGTTCTGCCAAGAACACAGTGAATTTAAACACCACCAACTTGTGTGGCTGGCTGAACCACAATAGAAAAGCCCAGTGCCTGCATCCCGGGGTGTGCAAATTTACTCAAGTGTGTGCCGTGACCTACAGGTCACTCCAAACTTCCACTGTAACTTCAACCTACAAGAAAATGATTCATCCTTGATATCCTAAGGAGAAGACTTAAATGGAGCATGAGACAGAGATGTCCTTCATCTTGAACTGTTATTTCTTTCTTTCTACTAAGTATAGCAACACAATTCCATCAGTAAATGTAGAAATTCCTCATTGAGTAAGAACTCTCAGCCACAAAGCACTGTCTGTCTGTAATTACATTTAACCCTCACATTGTAGTTGCAGACAGCAGTCTGCAAGCCCCATCAAGGTTGAGTGATAAGTGGCCTCAAATCATTCCAGTGACCTTCCCTTCGTCTCTCCCAGGTTACTTTTGCCATTTGATCCAGATTCAACAAGACCAGTTCCCACTAGCCCAGAGGCACCCAACCAGTGGCTGGAAGGTTGAATCCAGCTCCCAAAAATGTTCTGTCTTCACTATTTTTAAAAATTCAATTAGTTGCCAATATTTTTATGATTAATTTTAATTGGAAATTTTTTTTAAATTTTCACATTTTAAGATATACAGATATCTGGCTTCCCCTGACAACCAAAGTGATCCAAAGGCCCTGGGTTTGTATCTCTGCTTGGAGAACATCAGATGGAGCCAAGGGGCTGGGCCTGGGTCATCTTCCTCCACTCCCCAGCCCTCCCATGCCACCCACTCCTCCCTGTGACCTGCCTGGCCTGCGACAGCTAAGGCTGTGGCCCCTGGAGGGTGGTGCCATGAAGATGTGCTCTTGATACCCCAGCCCCCAGCCCCCAGCGTGATGCCTGGCTTGTGGCGGGGGCCAATGGTGCTCGTTGAATGAATGATTGAACTAGTGGGTATTCACTTAGAGAAACATGCTGGACCTTTCCATCAGGAACTTGTGCTGACACCTCAGCTCAGTCTCTTACAGGGTTTTTGGCCATTTGTGTATAAAAACATACATAAAGTCTGTTGGAAGGTAGGGAAGATACACAGGGGACTGTGCCCAGCTTGGCAAACCTCTTGGTACCTCGAGTTGTCTGGCTGCTCAGGTGAACGGAGAGGTCCTCCCTGCATCTCAGCCCATCCTTGGGGTAAGCCGAGGCAGTGACCAGAACTACTCTCGTCCTAACACCTGTTCTCTCAGAGAAGTCACCTGTGGGCAGGTGGGTATCACAGGCAAAATTCACCCCATTAAAGGCAGGAGAAGCTATAATCCCAGCACTTTGGGAGGCCAAGATGGGTCAATCACTTGAGCCCAGGAGTTCGAGAATAGTCTGGGCAATATAGCAAAACCCCATCTCTACCAAAAAATACAAAAATTAGTCAGGTGTGGTGGCACTCACCTGTAGTCCCAGCTACTTGGGAGGCTGAGGCTGGAGAATCCCTTGAACTCAGGAGGCAGAGGTTGCAGTGAGCCAAGATCGCGCCGCTGCACTCCAGCCTGTGCTACGGAGCGAGACCTTATCTCAAAAAAAGACAGTAGAAGCCACCCTGGCCTTGGCTCTCCCGAGAATGCAGAGAATTCTTAGCAGCCGAGTTACCCACGGTACCAAGGACCTCGATCAGTTTCCCGTTGCTGCTGTAACAAATCACCACAACGTAGCCTAAAACAACCCACATTTACCATCTTTCAGTTCTGGAGGCCGCATGTCTGACATGGGTCTGCAGGGCTGAAGTCAACGTGTGAGCAGGACTCTGCTCTCTCTGGAGGCTCTGGGGAGAATCCAGTCCCTGCCTTTTCCAGATTCTCAAGGCTGCCTGCATTCCTGTGCTTGTGGCCTCTTCCATCTCCATAACCCACAGTTAGATCACGCTGTTTTCTGCTTCCATCCCCAAATCTGCTCTCCTGACCGACTCTTCGTCCTCCCTCTTCTATATTCAAAGACCCTTATAATGACATTAGGCCCACCTGGAAAATCCAGAATGACCTCCCTGTGTTAAGATCATCTGCTTAACAACCTCAAGTTCATCTGCAATGTTGCTTCCCCTCTGCCCTGTAACTAACATATCCACAGTTCCCAGGGATTAGTATGGGAACATCTTTGGAGGCTATTATTCTGCCCACCACAGTCATATTCCCAGGAGTAATGAGACAATGGAGAAGTCCTGCCTGCAGGAATTTTCATTCTAGCAAATACATCCCTGAGCAAACACAAACACAGATTACGGTAACGCAGTGCAACTGTGATTCCAACCAGCTGAGGCCAGTCTTGAAGGGAAAATAGGATGCAATCCATTAAACTCAAAGGACTCTTCATCAAGTGCTCACCATGTGCCAAGTACTACATCAGATGCTTGGAATAAGAGGATAAATAGGAGAGAGCTGCCATAACAGAGCTCACGGGTTAGTAGGGAACAGTCCCAGTGGCTGAGGCCTGGTGCCATCCACATTCTCAGGGCAGGTGGGGCGGGCAGGTGGAGAGACCCCAGGTTTCAAGCCATGTCTTTGGGTAAATTATTCACTTCTTTAAAACTCCACCAATTTAGCTGCAAAGTGGAGATGAGAATGGCTACTTCCGAGGGCGTGGTGGGAAGGGGGAGATACCGCAGGTGGTGCCTGATGCATCACTGCACAAGGCTATGTTGAGTCTTGTGGTCATGGTGGCCACGTGGTCATTGGGGTGGTGGCTGAATTTCCACGCAAGCCACATCAGAGCAGTTCCAGTCTGTGCTCCTGTCATTCCATCCTTGGTTTTCTCTCCCTCCTTTGATCTTACAGAAGCACCAACTTCTCCCTACCCCGTCATTCATATCGCTCATGACTCATCTGCCATCTTTTTTTTTTTTTTTTTTTTTTTTTTTTTGAGGCAGAGTATCACACTGTCGCCCAGGCTGGAATGCAATGGCGCAATCTCGGTTCACTGCAACCTCCACCTCCCAGGCTCATGAGATTCTCCTGCCTCAGCCTTCCGGGTAGCTGGGATTACAGGTGCACACCACCATGCCCAGCTAATTTTTTGTATTTTTTTTTTTTTAGTAGAGACGGGTTTTCACTATGTTGGCCAGACTGGTCTCGAACTCCTGACCTCGTGATCTGCCCACCTCGGCCTCCCAAAGTGCTGGAATTTCAGGTGTGAGTCACTGCGCCCTGACTCATCTGCCATCTTTTAACCTAAAGGAAGAGGAGAAAGGCAGCTCTTTGGACAGCTGTCTGGGAAGACCAGTCCTGCAGCCCCTTAAGGAGTTCTCCTTCCTGCTGAAATTGGCACTGTCTTTGGTGGCACCTCAGGCTGGCTGTACAAAGAGCGTGGTCCCACTTCAATTTGGCCAATTATTAGCTATGTGACCCCAGACTACCTGCATAACCTCTCTGGTCATCGCATATAATATCAGGAACTGGACCAGTCAGGTTTGCACATTTTATTTTTCTTTTCTTTAGCAGTGGTACCCTTTCTTCAGCAGAAATCTTGAGTAAAATGCAGTATGTGAAACCAGTCAGAAGGAGATGTCGGGGACCAAGAGCCCTGCCTCCTGGTGACCCATCACCTCCCTCCTGCTGTAGAACCCCTGAGCTGCCCTCAGAGGAGGCACAGGTTGAAAGGCTCCCACCTGAGTGGTCCTGGAAGCCCCTTTTGCACTAGGACTCCTTGAGCCTCTGCCTTCCAGACCCATGGGCTGTCCTGTGCTTTTTTTCCTGTTGGTTTTTTTGTTTGGTTGGTTGTTTTGTTTGTATGTTTTGTTTTGTTTCGTTTTGTTTTGTTTTTGTCGCCCAGGCCAGAGTGCAGTGGTGCCATCTCCACTCACTACAACCTCCACCTCCCAGGTTCAAGCGATTCTCCTGCCTCGGCCTCCCAAGTAGCTGGGATTACAGGTGCCCACCATCACGCCCGGCTCATTTTTGTATTTTAGTAGAGATGGGAGTTCACCACGTTGGCCAGGATGGTCTCAAACTCCTGACCTCAGGTGATCTGCCCACCTTGGCCTTCCAAAGTGCTGGGATTACAGGTGTGAGCCACCATGCCCGGCCTTTTCCTGTATTTAAATTGAGATTCCATATGGTTTTGTAGACCATTTAGAAATAATAATAATAATAATAATAACCCAGGGATGTGTGAAATGCTTCTGTATCCTCTTCTCCATTGTCAAGTTTGCCGTGATCTTCACTCGCATGATTGCACCGATCTTCACTCACACGATTGCACCGGGAGGCTGTTGCCTTAGTGCCTTTTCCAATTCAGACCAAGGACAGGCTTCTTCCAAGCCCAGTTGACAGCCCTAGGTCTACTCTGTCCCCTATCAATATCCTGTTTCTGTGTGTGGCCAAACAAAACAAAAAAAATCCCATGATTCACCCAGAAACTGTGCCTAATGATAGACAAATTAAATGTCTATAACTTGTTGTAATTACTTAATAAAGTTTGTCGAGCGCTTAAGAATCCATCTGGATGAAAGAAACATTGTTAATGTAAAACATGATTACAGCAACAACTACAATCATGCCAAAATTCCAGAGTCCCACCCCCTCAGTAAAGAGCATGAGCTGTGCCATTGGTATTCCGCCGCGGGATGCTGCCATGCAAACCAGCATCCCCGCCGGCTCCTGTGACATCTGCCCACCCAGGGTATTTGCTAACAAGAAGGATGGAGTGGGAGGTGTAAAGGAAAGAAGTGCAGTCCTCCAAAGTGAAATTATTCCCTTGTCTCCATTCTGTGAAAGCTCCGAGTCCAAGTGAGCTTGCTAAAATGTCAGCCACGTGCCTCAGTGATTAGGGCTGCGGTTTGGGCAGCCTGTCAAAGATTTTCCCAGGCGACGCTCAAGCCCCTTCTCAGCCCAGCGCAGGAGGTTTGGTGTTTTTACTGCAGGGCAGTCCAGAGTTTCTGGGAGAGCAAGTGATATCCTATAAGCCATCCACACACCTTCATTCCCCACATGCATCCTAAACTTTAAGTTAATGTTCTGCCTTTTCTTTTTCCCATTCAGGGAGATTCACATGTTTGGCCAAGATAGCCTGTCCCACTGACAGGACCGTAAAGCCAATCCAACTGGGAGGAGAGCCAGGGAGGCTGCGTTCGTGGACTTGAAGAGTCTAACAGGCCTGCTCCTGGAATTTCATCCCTCACTCTCCCCACTTCTCCCTCCAGCCCAGCGTGAACTTCACTCGTGCCAAAAAATCAACTGCATAAGAACAGGATTAAGCAGGAGGCTGGAGACGGAATTAAATAAAGTGCATGAATGAAACCTCAAGATTTTCTTAACTGTGAACTCACCAAGAGCCAACACAGCGGAGCTTATGAAATTTCACTAGGTGAGACTGTATGAGTGCTTCCGCACCAAGCCAAATTCAACCTCCCCATAGCTTCCCCCCAACATTTCTAAACCTGCCCTCTGGAATCATACCGATCAAACCTAATGTCTGAATGAATATGTTTATGCCCAGTGAAGCATAGAAGATGACTGCTGGGCATCCAAGTCTTCCCTTTCCCCAAATGAATTTTCGTGGGTCTCCTGTC
Organism: Homo sapiens; assembly: GCF_000001405.40. NCBI lineage: Eukaryota > Metazoa > Chordata > Mammalia > Primates > Hominidae > Homo > Homo sapiens. Next base: position 236,663,024 of record NC_000002.12, on the reverse strand, counting down.
CCTTGCCGCCCTGACAGTTCGCCACCCACTCATCACGTTGTGGGTCGACCCCAGTTTAGGGCTGCTGCTCCCATGAGTAGTTTCTTGAGCTGCTCTTTCCCTGGAGCTGTCCACTCTGATGCTGGAAGGGCTTCAATTTTGGGGTAGATCAGAGTTTCTCAAACTTAGCTCTATGGATCTTTTCACCCAGAGAATTATTTGTTCTGCGAGGTGGTCCTGTGCACTGTAGGATGTTTAGCAGCCACCCTGGCCTCTACCCACCAGATACCAGTAGCAACCCCCTCCCCGCAGTGACAAAAATGTTTCCAGACATTGCCAAGTGTCCCTTGGGGAACAGAGTCCCTCCTGACTGAGAACCACTGGGGTAGAATGTTTGATTAGGGTCCCCTTCAACTGAAAGGTTCTAACCATTCATGATTCCATGAACTGCCCACATTTTCTCAAATCATCAGCTCAGTTCAGATTGTGAAACCACTAAGAACACAAAACTACTTTTAAAAAAGGAGCTGGTGTTTTGAAAGTTCCCCATGAGTAATAAAAAGATGATGATGGTCAAGACAAAATTGCAAAAATGCCCAGTCCCCTTAAAATGAAAGCAGCAGGAAGAGCGGCAGCCCGGGGTGGAGGGAAGGGTTGGTGAAACTGAATTCCTGGAGGATTTCCCTCTTTGGCCAAGTGGGTTCATAGCAGAAGCTTAGCAAATGAACTTCACAAAATGTTCTTTCCACCCGAAAATGGTGGTCTCCTGTAATTTTAGCTGGTGAGAAGAGGGAGGAAATAAAGGAGCCAATGTTTAAATGAAATGAAATAGAATCGCTTAGAACCCTTCAGATCAATGGCTGGCTGGCTGAAGCAAAATCTTTTTTAAAAAAAATTGAGAGCCAGCCTTCTGACTCCTCATTGCTGGCTGAAATATGGCCAGAACTGTGAATTGGTTTAAAAGTTTAGGAGAAAGTCTGACCTGAGATTTCAAAGCATCCCATTTTAAATTGAAACTAATTCTTAAATCCACAGGAAGAAAGACCATGCCATCCACGTCCAATGCATTGTGAAATTTCATTCCCGGAGCCCAACATTGGATGTCAACTCAAGGAGATAATTCCTTCCCTTACTGGCTGCCTCTGAGGAAAACATCTGTTTGGCTTGATTTTCTTTTATATGTTCAGACCAGTGGCTAGGACTAACAGGATTGCTTCTAAACAAGCTCTTGCCCTGTTCTCTTTCCTCAAGCTTTTCTACCTGGACCTTCACTGTGAGGCCCACATGGGTGTGCGTGGGGACTGGGTGTGAACCAGCTTCCCCACTCACACCTCCTGAGGACTTTCTGTTGTCCCAGGAGCTCTTGTCTCTGTCTCAGTTCCAAATGCTGAGTAATTCTGAGCACACAAAAAGGACCCAGAGCAGAGAAACGTCCCTGGTCCCAGAACTCAACAAAACCAGAGTGTGAGTGAGAGAATCCCAGAGGCAAAGGCTAATGAGAAAGCAACCAAGCCCCCTGCAGTCCCTGGCCTACATTCCAAAGCCTTATTGTTTTCCAAAGCATTTCCTCCGAAGTGACCCATTTTACCCTCTGAGTCCCTAGTGATGGAGAAGGGCTGAGTAACTGCCTCCTCACTGTATTCCATTCTAGCCTAGGCAGCCATGTGCTGGACACTTAACCTCATGGGTGAGTGGGGTGGAAGAGCCCTGACTTATAGCACTTGCCGATTTTCATGGTGTCAGTACTCCCACTGTGGCCAATGTCAAACTACCAGTGTGAAGTCAACTAGCTCCCCCAATACCTGCAGATTTAACCACAGTTCTTGCAAGCAAGTGTGAGTCATCTCCAGCATTCCAGAGTCTAGGGCACCCTCCCCTGTGTAGCACCCACCCCCCTCTCAGAGCTCTGACATACCTTATTTACTCTTGTCTCATAAATGCCAAAGGGTTAAAAACATTTTTGGCTGGAGAACCAGACACTTTGGCTCTGTAAAAGGCAAAAGGGGAGTTTGAGTATATTTTAGTTTGCTTTTTTTTTCTTTAAATAAGAGAAAAGGTGACTGCAAAATAGTGCAGCAAACTCTAATGCACTCAACTGAGAGTTCTAAAAAATACACACTGTACCCTACATCAAACACTGCTAGATTCTGATCTCCCAGAAGAGGGAAAGGTGGTTTATTTTTCTTCAATTCTTCTCAACCAGAGAATGGCCTGCCTCATAAAATGAAGTTAATCTTTATTATACATCAGAATTGCTTTTACCCATTAATTTTTTATTGCAGCTGAATATTGATAATGTCTCCCAAAATAACTGATTCTACTTTACCTACTGTCATGAAATTATTTTATAATTTTAGATGTATCTTTAGTGACAGTAAGAACAAAAATAAGGTAGCTTTGTAGCTTGACTTGAAACATTAGGGTCACTGCTTCCTCAACATTTAAAAAATTACCACTTTTGATGAAATTACGGTCATAGGATTACAATGTGTGCTCTACTAGAATTCTCCAGAGCAAAAAGAAAAATTGAGCAAATGGGAAATTCAGGACTAACCATCAGGAAGAGAAATGGCTTAATATACATAAAAGAAACTCAATAATAACCTAGTCAGGCTAGGAAATGATCTTTAACATAACACATCAAATAACATAAACATCCAAATCAACCTGAAGCCCGTTCCTTCTCACTCGTGTTTCACCCTCATGCTTATGCCAGATCAAAAACAGCTGGAAAGAGTGGAGAAAAAAGGAAAAAAATGCCCATTCACCCCCCAAGAATTTCAAGGAGACAATGGGCATGGCTTTATCCTGATGGCTGATCAAACTGGGTCAATTTTTAATCCCTTCACTTAACCTAGGGCTCGGGGGTGGGGGGCAGAGAGGGGTGGGCAATGGGAGATAAGAATGACTTCAGAGCTGACTGCTGGACTCCCTCTCAAGCAAACTCACCAAGCGCTCTTAACTTGGAAGCAGCTCAGGTCATTCTGTAATTTGCTAGGCAGGTCTGCTATCATGCGTCATTTAATATAAAAGGCAACTCAAGAGCCAACACAGCAAGGTGGTGCCAAGACTCAGTCACCATTAATGTGCATATTAAAGGCCAGCAGACTGCATAGTTCAGTTACAGCACACAGTCATCAGTCATGTCTGCTGTAACCCAGAGACTCCCTGAGACAGCCCATAAAGCCATCTAACTCCGACGGTTTACAGAGGTTAACCTAAGAACAGTGATTACAGCCACAGAGTTGACACACGTAATTAGGTTAGAAAAGCTCTGTAAGTGAAACTGAAGACAGACTCTTATGGAAACAGATGTTTATCCCACTAATGCTGCTGGGTGTGTGCCGTGCAGTGTGTCTGTGCAAAGCTGGGGTGTGAGCATCCTTTAACTCTCTTGCCTGATTCCAACTCAGAGACCTCTGTGTCCTGGAACACGATTGCACTAGCCCGGGACCAGCCAACTGTGGCCCGAGAGGTCATGCCTACCTGGTGCCAGACTCCTCACCTTTCTTGCAACCTTAGACTTACACCAGGCAGGGAACAGATGGGAATCTCCTACAGAAAGACACCAGCACAGCCAGCATTGCCAAAGAAAATGTGGATAGTCAGAGCAGCATGGCATTCACTCCTTAACGCCCTCCAAAATGCCACTTTCTACTGCACAGGTGGAGAAGGAGCCAGTCACAGAGGAGGCTCCAAAAGCGGGGAAATGGGATAAGCTAGAGGAGGCAGCATGCAAGAGGCTGTCAGTGGGCCCTCCTCCCTTCTCATGTAGAGAAGGAAAAGAAATGGCAACATGGAAGAAAGTGGTGAATGAGAACAGGGGGAGATGCCAACACCTGACTCCGCCTCCACCACCTCCAAGCGGCTTTCGTTCTGGGTCACAAGTGGGAGAAAGAAATCCTGCCCCGCAAAAAGGGATCCTCACTGCTTCCCGGAGCAACCTAGCATGGAGCACTAGTTCTGCACACGCCCCTGGTTTCCTTAAGAAATGTAAGCTCCGGGAGGCTAGGGGAGGGATAGGATTAGGAGAAATACCTAACGTAAACGACGGATTGATGGGTTCAACAAACCCATATACATGTGCATTAGTGGGATATACCATGGCACATGTATACCTATGTAACAAACCTACACATTCTGCACATGTATCCCAGAACTTAAAGTATAATTTAAAAAAAAGTGGGAAACCAACAATCTAAGAATGAGGAGAAAACAAGGAGAATGACCCCCTTTTCTGTACTCTGTAGGTTTTATGGCACCTCTACTTGCCAGAGTAAAATGGAAGTAATATGGTCTTTGTGCACATTTACACTGAAAAAAGAGCCCTAAGGTTGATCTGTAAACTATAGAGTTCCTAGGTCCCCTTTTACTGTTTTATTTTCTGCCTGCTTTAAATCTGCTGTTACCTTTCTACTGAGATAAAAACCACTGTTTGTCTCTAATAGGTTTTTGTTTGTTTGTTTTGTAAGCTGGCAAATTTGTATTTATCTCACGGCTAAAGTACTGAAGTAAAAACTATAGAATCTTAAAAAGAAAGAAAGAAAGAGAGACAGAGAGAAAGAAGGAAGGAAGGAAAGAAGGAAGGAAGGAACGAAGGAAGGAAGGGAGGGAGGGAGAGAAGGAGAGAAGGAGGGAGAGAAGGAGGGAGGGAGGGAAGAAATGCAAGCTTCCCTCCAACTGGGTCCATTTTATTCCTCTCCCTTAGAGTTCAGAGATAATCCAAGTCTAGTATATTGGTATAAGAAGTACATTCAGGATATTTCCCCCCTTCATCTCCCCAGACTTCCTCTTCATCCTGCATCCTATTCCCTCCTTACTAACCGGCCAACCTCAACCAGCCTTTCTGGACTCGATCTCCACTGTCACACCACCACTAAGACCCATCAGTTCTACTTCCAAAATTATCTTGACCCTGGCCACCTCTCTTCATGTCCTCTGCTACCTCCCTGTCCAGGCCTCCGCAGCAAACTCATGCTGGGTCTCTCTCCTCCCATTCCTATCCATGCAGCTCTGATGTCCACAGGACAGCCAGAATGGTCTGTTTAGACTCTTATCCAATCAGATTATCTTCCTGCCACAACCCTGGGGTGGCTTCTTACTGCCCTTTGGATAAAACCCAACATTTCTGACATGCCTAAAAGACCTTGCATGATTAGAGCTCAATGAGCGAAGGGGAGAGGGAGGAAACTTGTCCTACAGCAGAAAGAACATTGGAAACCCCTAAAGAAAGGGAACACGAGCCCCTGAGTGGACACCTATGGAAGAGGAGAGACAGAGGGGACACCACAGAGAGTGGAAGAAGCTTGGGATTAGATTGGGAACAGAGACCACATGGAAGATAAAAGGGGTTCCAAAGAGACAATGGATGCAGCATAGTTAAATGCCGATTTTAAAATTCTTGAAGAAGAAATAAGTAATTGCACAAGATAAAATTGATGCCCTTAAAGATCCTGAGAAATTCCCACAATTTTGACTGCTTTGCCGAAGTCAGAAAATCAGGGTCAGAAGGGGGAGGCTCAGCTCTCCGGAAATATTACATCCCCCCAGCCCCCAGTTTCCCTGACCTGCATCAAGGAGTGTTCAGCAGATACTGATGGAGAGCCTTTGCCCCGTGAGGGCAGAGGGGACTCTCTCCAGGGCACATGGCAAGATCACCACACAGGCAAAACCTGGACGCGTAACATGCAAGCCAAATTCCCCAGAAACACTGGAGAGAATCCCTGGCCATCATGGAAGACAGCTTATTTTCCCTGCAAGAAAAGCTCATGTGAATGAGTTGAGAGCACTTTGGGCTGAGAGACATCTGCACAGCCTAAGAAAGAGAATGTGCTCTGAGATAAATTATGGAGGAAGGATCGAGGGGCTCCCAAGGCATCCTCATGTCCCTGATGCTGCTGTGTGCTGTCAGCAGAGGCCCATGGGGATGATGGAACCCAGAAGAGCAGGAGCACCAGGCCACAGTGGGTGGGGGGTCAGGGCCCAGGGCCCAAGGTGCAGCCCCTCCCAGGATCAGGCCCAAAAACAAGAGCCTCCACCAGACCCCCAAGCCCTACTCAGAGCCTGCACCAGATGGCAAGCCTCAGCTCCCGTGCCCCTCAGCTAGGCTGCCCTGACCCAACCCTCCCACAGGATCAGGGTGTCCTTGGGCTGCTTTGATCCAACTCTTTCATGAGAACAGGGTATCCCTGGGCCACTGTAATCCAACTCTCCCATGGGAACAGAGTAGGACCCTTGGACTTCCCTAATCCAATCTTCCCATGGGATTCGGGTGTCACTGGGCTGCCTTGATCCAACTTTCCCATGAGAATGAGGTGCCCCTGGGATGACCTAACCCAACCCTCTCATGGGAACAGGGTGCCCCTAGGCCACCTTGATCCAGCCCTTCCATGGTAAAGTGGTATTCCTGGGGCTACCCTGATCCAACCTTCCCATAAGAACTGGGTATCCTTGGGCTGCACTGACTCAACTTTTCCATGGGATTGGGATGTCACCGGGTTGCCTTGATCCAACCTTCCCATAGTAAAGGGGTGTTCTTGGAGCCACCCTGATCCAACCCTCCCACAGGAATGGGGTGCCCCTGGGCCACCTTGATCAAACCCTCCCATGGAATCAGGGTGCCCCTGGGCTGCCCTAATCCAACTCTCCCTCAGGGAAGGGGTGCTGCTGACCCAGCTCCATCCTCTCCTTGTTCCCTTGTCAGACATCAGAGGGTCTGAGGGGCCCAGGGGTCAGCTCCTGGGAAGAGGATTCTGTCCTTCCCCTGATTCCAGAAAGGGAAGATGACACTGCCTAGGAATCTTCCCCATGAAGGAAGCCCCAGCCCAGAACGTCCTCCACTGAGGAGCAGAGACATGGGTCCATATCAAGGGCTGTCCACACAGCCTTACAGCAGGAGAGTCTCCCCTGAGTGGCCATTGCCTTCCAATGAGCCCACTTCTGAAGTTCAGAACCATGGCAAGATGCTTTTCTCTCTACTAATTTTGATTTTTTTTTTTCTTCTAGTTTATTGCTGCTGATGTTTACTTGCCCACATGGAAACTTGATAGGATTTTATTCTTCTTAGACAATGTTTTCTAACTATAGATTATTTACATTTGATTCATATAAATTAACTGATTCCATTTTATTTTATTTGTAGGTAGTGTAATTATAATATCTTTATTGTTAACAAGTCCACTAAAATAATCTAAAAACACAGCAAGAATTTTATTTTGCCTTCCTTCTAAAATAATTTTGAAATGTTTGTTTTCTGGTTTTACCTACATTATTTAGGTAATTGTATAACATCTTAAGGTGGAGACTTGCTGGGAGTGTAACTTTTAGGATAACGTTTAATAACTGTACATTTTGTAAATGTGAATATTATTAGTAAATTGCTTCCATCTTATTTGATTTCTAGATGCTGTAATAGCATTTTGTTATTGCTATTTAATAACATCTACTGATCCACTAACAGTAAAATTTTGTCTCTCTTATAAAGGAAAATTAAATTTTCTCCTAATTCAGTTTCAGTACAATAGTTTAGTGGTTGTACAAATTCTCAAATGGAAGCTCAGTGGAATGATGACTGTTAGGATAGTGTTTTATAAATGCAGCTTATTTAAAAGCAAATTTCCTAAGTGCGTTATTTCTCCTTCCTCTGTCTCCAGCCGGTAGAAGAATAGTGTTTCAGTTGTTGGCCTTTAACAAAGCCCCATAACATGACCTATAGTGAGAAATTTATGTGCGCTCTCTCACAATTGAAGGTATTTGAAATTCAGGGTTTATTTCTCTTTACCAAGGGCTGAATTTACTCTAGTTATAAGATTAGCTAAATAAATTTTGGTTTCAAAAAAATTACTTTTGAAAACACTGGATATGGCTGAAGATCCCTTGCTTTGATATTTGAGAGGAATGCTAGGGTGATAATGGTTCCCAGGAGACCTGCCCCATGGACCCTACCTCCTTCATCTTCAGCCCCAGGATCCAGCTCTGGACAAGGATTAGCGGCTTGGAATCAGAGTTGTTCTCCAGTGGCAGCCTAGTTTCCCAAACAGCTTTCCCTTTCTCCATGCCGAAGCCCCATAACCCTTAGTAATATCTCTCAAAACCAAGATTGCAGAGCATACTTTGGGGAAGGCAGCTGTGGAGGAGATGCAGTCATGGTTGATGTTTCCTAGGGCGTGTAAACTCTGATCTGGAGCTAGTTACACCTGCCCCATCCATGTAGAGGACATAGCATGGCGTCTGGCACCCAAACAATGTCCAAATCACCATCTGCATGGGTCACTGTGATGGCCCAGCTGGAGCCACCATCGACTGAGAAGGACACTCTGCACTTGGAGGACAGGTCTGCCACTTCCTCCAGGCTTGTGTCCGCTGGCCTGAGTTTCCTGTGGATGCTCCCCTGCCCCTTGGGGAAAGACACCAGGAGGTGCCGCTACTGAAGCCCTGTGGTCTGATGAGAACCACATTTGTTCTGACCTGCAGTGAGTGACTCTTTGACGTGGGGCTTTTACCTTCCTGTGGGCCTTGCAACCAGAAAGTTGAGAAGGAAACTCCAACACAGTTTTGCTGGATACATAAAGAGCTTGGAAGTCACCATTCCCATCTTTACGGTAAGAAAAAGCTGGATGAACTGAAAATCAACAACTTTTATTGGACCCATCAGAGAACTGAGGTCTCAAGGCAAACCACCATCCTGAAATCTGGAGACATGGGGGTCTCCAGGGAGATATAGGCAGTGAGATTTGTTTACGTGAAGCAGAAAGCACTGACTAAGCCAGTAGGAACATTAAAGTAGAAATTTTAACGAACTGTGGAATCTGCATGTGAGATACCAAGGGAGAAGCTTCTGGGAAGCACAGCCTTTTGCAGGCTTTTCTTCTAGGAATCTTGACAGGATCAAGATGGATCCAGAGGGAACACCCTTCTTTCCATGGCCCTGATGAGAGGAAAAACACAGTAACTGTTATGTAATCCAACCAGGAATTTCTTGCTTACAGAACAAAAACCTTCATCTTGGGAAGGACATTGCCAGAAAGCCACTATGACATGCCATCCAACTAGTGAAAGGGAACTCCACCCCACTCCAGCCTCACTACAGTACTCCTGTATCACTTAAGGAACAAAAAGAAAAAGAAAGCCTTAAACTATGGGAGAGACAGCTTCAAAGACACAGAGTAGGAATGGTGCAGTCAGGGATGGGGGGAACAGAGGGGGAAGTTCCACCCTTGAAAGAGGGAGAGAAACAGTTGTAAAGGCCACACCCCTGAGACATAGACCCACTGTGTAGGGCAAAGACTGAAATATAATCTGAAGGGTAGAAAACATTCCCCTCCTCCACGCTCTGCCACCATGTTATCAGGCCTCCAATTACAATAATAGTAGATCACAGCTGGGAGAGTGGTCACAGGCAGATTCTCAATGAGGAGCTGCTCAAAGAGAAGGGCCAAAGCTAGAGAGGAGACAATAATAATTTGGTTCAACAGTGCCAGTCCCCCCAACAACACAGTTCAAATACTGTATATTAACAGTGAGTAATTTCATAATGTGCGAACCTCACTGCTGGTGCTTCAGTCCACAGATCACTACGTAAATAATAGATGTGCATCGTAACCAACCACCAATCTCATGACTTCTTCCAAAGTCTATTGGTGACTGGGTGCTGTGCATCCATTATTCAGTTCCTTCACAGCCAGCAACATATGTTTTGTTGCTTTCCTATCTCCCAGTGATAAAACCATGGGATATTTACCACAAAAAAAAAGGGTTATCAAAAGAGGAAATTGACCAAGAAACATGAAGGTGCATTGAATAAATGGAAAATGATAATGCTCAAGAAAAATTCAAATTGAACATGGATGGAGTTATAGAAGAAGAAACTGACCGTGGGAATGCTGACACTACTGTCATTTAAGAGATGCTATATATCCAGCCAGAGGAACCTGGTGAAGGTCAACTTCCTGACATACATGCAGAAAGTGATTGTGACCAAAAGGACTGAGATTTCTAGAGTTTAGGATCAGGATAAAACTTCACATTATGGAAACTCTGAGAGATAGTTGATGACACAGAATGCGCAAAGGATGAAATGTAGGAAGCTGACTACAGCTTAGAAAGGAGTATGACAGTGTGTCAAGGCATAGAAAAGATGTCCACTATATACTGTGAGTTATAGAATAAAAAGAAGGCAGACATTGTTCACACTACTCTTGATAATTTTTGTAAAGAATAAGACATTTTAATTATCAATATTTCTAATGTTTTAAAATTAATATTTTGGATAAATATTAGTTTTACTATTTTTTTCATTTTCCTATACATTTGTAACCAACAGAAGGAGAATTTTTAATCTTTTGACAAAGAAATTTATAGGTTATGAAGCCGTCATAACTTTCCCATTGATCATTAAGTCACTTTGTATGGTTTCAGCTTCTGTGGTCATTTTTACAGTCCCACACGACTGTGTGAAGTAAAGATGGCCTATATGTCATTCACCTTAAATGCAATGGTCCAAACCCACCAGTTAAAAGACAGAGATTGTCAAACTAAATTAAAAGAAGAAAAAATGACCCAGTTATATGTTGCTTACAGAAAACCCATTTAAATATAAAAACTTAGATAGGTTAAGAGTTAAGAAGTGGAGAAAGATATACCATGCAAATGTTAATCAAAGCAAAGCTAGAGTAGCCATATTAACTTAAAAGCAGAATTCATAACGAGGAAGATTACCATGGGTAAAAAGGAACATTATACAATGATACGTTGTCATTTATCAGAGAAAACATAATAATCCTAAATATGTGTGCAATTAACAATAGTGTGTCAAAATTCATGAGGCAAGGAAATCATAGAGCTGAAAGGAGAAATAAATGCACAGAGTTGAAGACATTAATACTCCTCTCTTAGTAATCAGAAAAGAAAGCAGACAAAAAATCAATAAGGATATAAGTGATCTGAACAGCACTGTCAATGTGGCCTAATTGACATCCAAAAACAGCAGAATAAACCTTATTTTCAAGCACACATGAAAGATTCATCCATATAAACTACATTCTGGGGTTTAAAACATGCTTTAACAAGTTTTTCAAAAAATACAAATCATACAAAGTATATTCTTAAGACCATAACAAAATTGAACTGATGACACAAAGACAGCTTGAAAATTCTCAAATATTTGGAAGTTATACAATACACTTTTAATAACCTATGAATCAAAGAAGTCTCAGAGGATATTTTAAAAATACTCTGAACAAAATAAAAAAAGAAAGAAAAGAAAACATCAAAAATGTGGGGGCCGGGCGTGATGGCTCATGCCTGTAATCCCAGCACTTTGGGAGGCCAAGGCAGGAATCACTTGAGACCAGGAGTTCAAGACCAGCCTGGGCAAAACTGCAAAACCTCATCTCTATTTTTTTCTTTTTAAATGTGAGATGCATCAAAAGCAGTGATTAGAGGGAAATGTACACCATTAAAATGCATATGCTAAATATATATATGCTTATATATATGCTTATATATATATTATATATATTTAAAATCAATAATTAAGCTTCCACCTTAGGAAACTAAAGAAAGAAGAGAAAATTAAACCTAAAGCAATCATACAAAGGAAATAATAACAATTAGAGCAGAAATAATGAAATTTAAGCCAGGAAAACAATTGAGAAAATCAGTGGAACCAAAAGCTGGTCCTCTGGGAAGACAAAAAAAAAAAAAAGGTAAACCTCTAAATCAAGAAAAAAAAGAAAAGACATGCCTATAATCCCAGCACTTTGGGAGGCCAAAGCAACTGGATCATCTGAGCTCAGGAGTTCAAGACCAGCCTGGCCAACATGGCAAAACCACATCTCTACTAAAAATACAAATATTAGCCAGGTGTGGTGGCACATGCCTGTAATCCCAGCTACTCAGGAGGCTGAGGCATGAGAACCACTTGAACCCAGGAAGCGGAGGTTGCAGTGAGCTAAGATCATGCCACTGCACTCCAGCCTGGGCAACAGAGTATGACTCTGTCACAAAAAAAAAAAAAAAAGAATTAAGGGGGTAATTACTACCAATCCCAGGAACACTAAAAGACAGTAAGAGAATACTATGAAAAACTCCATGTTCATAAATTTAATGACAAATGAAATAGACTAATCCTTAAAAAGCACAAACTACCAACACTCACTTAAGGATAATTCAGTAAACTAAGTAGCCATATATCTTTTAGAGAAATTGAATCAACAACTAATAACCTTCCAAAAAAGAAAGTACCAGACCCAGAGAATTTCACTGCTGAATGTTACCAAACATTTAAGGAAGAAATAATACCAATTCTTTACAGACTCTTCCAGTAAATAGAAGAAGAGAACACTCCCAAATTACTCTATGGATCCAGAATTATCATAATCCCCAAAGCACACAAAGATGTTACACCAACAAGAAAACTACATGCCAATACTTCTCATAAGCAAAAATATTTAATAATTTAGAAAATCTAATCTAACAATATATAAAAAGGATAAACACATCAAGACCAAGTGAACTCCATTAAGGAATATAAGGCTGATTCAACATTCATAAATCAATAATATAATTCATCATATTAACAGGCTAGATAAGAAAATCCAAATGATCTCAATAATGAATGCAAAACAGAATGCATTCGACACAATTCAACACTTGAAAACTTCATTAACCTAATAAAGGTATATAAAACCAATTACAGCTAACATCAAGCTTAATAATCAAATACTAAATGCTTTCCCCCTAATATAAAAAACTAGACAAGGATGTACTCTCCCTTCAATCCTATTCAACATCATACTAGAAATCCTAACTAGTGCAATAATGCAAGAAAAAGAATTAAAAGAAATACAAGTTGCACAAGGAGAAAGATCACAGGATACAAGGTCAATAGAAAAAGTCAACTGATATCCTATATACCAATAATGAACAATTAGAACTTGAAATTAAGAAAATACCATTTACAATAGCACTCTTCTCCCTCCCCACTCAATTAAGCACTTAGGTATAAATCTAACAAAATATGTTCAGGATCTGTATGCAGAAGGCTATAAAACACTGATGAAAGAGATCACAAAGGACCTAAATAATTAGAGACACATTCTGTGATCATGGATTGGAAGACTCAATGTTGTTAAAGGATTAATTCTTCCCATTTTGATGTATAGATTCAATGTAATCCCAATTAAAATCCCAGCAAGGCTTTTTTTTTGTAGACATTGACAAGCTGATTTTAAAATTTATATGAAAAGGCAAAGGAACTAGAATAGCCAGGATAATTTTGAAAAAGAACAAAGTTGGAGAACTCAGATTACTTGATGCAAGAATTGTTATAAAACTATGGTAATCAAGTTGGTGCAGTATTGGTGAAATAACAGATACACAGACCAATGAAACAGAACAGAGAGTTCAAAAATAGACCCCCCAGGATACGGTCAATTAATTTTCAACAAACACACCAAGGCAATTCAATGAAGAAAGGATATTCTTTTCAACGAATGGATTTTAAAATTGGACATCCATATGCAAAAACAAAAATCTTGATCTATATCTCATACCTTATATAAAACTTAACTCAAAGTGGATTATAGACCTAAATGTAAAATTATAAAGCCTTAAAGAAAACGTAAGAAACAAATCTGTGACATTGTGATGGGCAAAGATTTCTCAGATAAGACAAAGAAAGCACAATCCGTAAAGGAAAACAAATGATAAATTAGACATCATCAAAATTTAAAAATCTTTGTTCTATAATAAATAATGGGAAGACAAGCCACCTACTGAGAGAAAATATTTGCAAATCACGTAACTGACAATAAACTTGTACCAAGAATATATAAACAACTCTTGAAATTCAACAGAAAACCAAAGCCCAATTTTTAAAAAATGGACCAAATTTTAAAAAATACTTTACCAAAGAAAACATACAGATGGCAAATAAGCCTATGAAAAGATGCTCAAAATCATTACTAATTAAGAATATGCAAATTAAAACCACAAGGGGATACTGTAACATACTTATTAGAGTAATATTAAAAAATAACACTATTGAATGCTGGCATGAATGCAGAACAACTAGAACTCTCACGCGTCGCCTGGAGGTACACAAAGTAGGACAGCTTTGGAAAGTAGTCTGATATGGTTACGCTTTGTGTCCCAACCCAAATCTCATCTTAAATTATAACACTCCTAATCTCCACAATCCCCACATGTCAAGGGAGAGACCAGGTGGAGGTAATTGAAACATGAGGGCAGTTCCCCCCATGCTGTTCTGGTGATAGTGAGTGAGTTCTCATGAGATCTGATGGTTTTATAAGGGGCTTTTCCCCCTTTGCTCAGCACTTCTTCCTGGAGCCTTGTGAAGAAAGTGCCTTTCTTCCTTTCCGCCTTCTACCATGACTGTAAGTTTCCTGAGGCCTCCCCAGCCCTGCGGAACTGAGACAAGTAAACCTCTTTCCTTTATAAATTGTATGTGTTTATAGCAGTGTGAAAATGGACTAATACACAGTCTGACCATTTCTAATAAAGTTAAACATATACTTACTACACAACTCCTAGGTACTTACCCAAGGTAAATGAAAACACATGGCTACAAAAATATCTGCACATGAAGTTGGCTTTATTTGTAATTGCCCCAAACTGGAAACAACCAAAATACCCCTCAACTGAGGAATGGGTAAAAAAACTGTGATATTTACACACAATGAAATTCTACTCAGTTCACTGATACATGAACAACATAGAAGAACCACAAATGCACTAAACTAAATGAAAGAAGCCAGACTCAAAAAACTGAGGGCTCTATTGTTCCATTTATTTGACCTTCTGGCAAAGGCTAAACCACAGGGACAGAGAACAGATCAGTATGGTATGAGACTACCATACAGGTAGCCAGTTCCAGGTGGAGTGGAACTGCTCCACATCCTAATTACAATGGTAGTCACATGACACTACTAATTTGCCAAAATTCATCGAACTGTACACCAAAAACAGTGAATTATACTTTATGTGAATTAAAAGAAACCTTGAATGTCAGTGTCCATCGTAAGTATTCATTGATTTATGCACTTAATCAGTGTTTACCAAGTGACGATTTTATAATACACACTTTGCTGATTTCTGACAGTAGCAAACAAAACAAATACAGTTCCACTCTCTAAACTCACTGTCTGGTGAGGCATTGGCAAATTGTAGGGTGTGGGCCACATTCAGTTCCACCATCTATTTTTGTAAATAAAGTTTTATTGGAACACAGCCACGCCCATCCATCTATGTATCGTCTATGGCCGGGTTGAATAGTTGGCACAGAGACCTATGGCTCACAAAACCTAAAATATTTATTATCTGGCTCTTTAAAGGAAAATGTTTGCCAACCCCTAATGTAGTGGGTCTCAAACTTTATTTTGCCTGAGTATCTTTTCAGAACCTGTTAGGCCCATGCTCTATTCTGAGCATTTGTAATTAAGCAGTTATAGAACAGGTCCTCCCTACAGGTCTGCAGATTTCTAGATGATTCTAAAGCAAGTCATTCTGGACCACATTTAGGAAAAGCCATTTAAAAAATACAGACATTAAGTAAAGAATTCCAGTAGAATGGATTTTGTTTGTAGGGTTGAACTACAATTCATGCATTAAACTCAATTTTGACAGCCTGGCCCTCTTAGAAGTTGCTTCAACTATTTGAAGGTGGCATCCTCTGGGTAAAACAATATTTTGAAAACACATGCTTCAGAAGAATTATGGGCAAAGGGTTATTTTACTCACCTTATCTCCCACTATGAATACATATAAAACCTTTCTAGAATTTGGTAATGAAACTGCGCATTATTTTAGGTTTAAGCTCCAGTCCAGCCCAGCAGGATTCATCAGAGAGGCAGCCCGCCCCTCTGCAGGGAGAATGATGGCTGCCTCCATTTGTCATCCTGATGGGTGGGTGGAGGGACACTGTGGGGGGTGGGGAGGGTATGTGGGAAGAGCTGGGGAGACTTGCGGAGGCTCCCTGCAGAACTCCTTCCCTCTTCTGGACCTTGACCTTTCCCCACCAGCCCAGTCTGCCCCAAGCTCTTCATCCAACCTTGCTCCTCTCCACTCCTCTTCTTCGGAACATAAAGTCTGATTCCTAGCTGGGTCCTGGTGTCCCCACATACTTCCAAAATGTAACAGGGGATTAAGAGTCAAAGCAGAATAGAGACCACCTTATTCATCAGAGGAAGATGATTGATGTGAAATAATTCTTACTCATGAACTCTAAATTTAGCTCTGAGTTTCCTGAAAGCTGGAGAGAAAAATGGAATAAACAAATTACAAAACACTAATATTATCAAAAGGTCCTGGCATGGGTTAGGCATGCCTCAGGCAGGGGCTAGAAGAGAGGCAGTGTGTGTTTTCCTAAGCGTGTACATCAGCCAGTCCCCAACCACCACCTCAGCCACCCAAGGATTCACTGCCGTGACTTGATGCCCATTTGCCTCAAATGCCAACTCTGGCTGTTTATCTCAAGACCCTGCTGTCAGCCCAGAGTAATCCGGTGAGTTCCACCCACTTTAGCCTTCTAATAATAATATTTTTAGAGTATTACAAAATGGTGATATTATTGCTTTAATTAGTAATTCAATGACATCATGACTAGGAAGATTTTATTTTGAGAGTGAACTACCCATGATGCAAAGTTAAATTATTTTGGGTCTCTTGTAGCCTCTCCTTGACGGCTTACAATTCTGAAGTCTAACAGAACATATGAACCATGTCTAACACGTAAACACGCTCTTTTAAAAATATTACTTAGTTTCCACATATTCTTAGCTTGAACTCTACATTTGAAGCCAAGATGGCCCTACACTATAATTGGTAATGAGTTATCTGTCTTCTTTCAATTATTTTCTCTCTGGTTATTACTTGACAAAAGTAGTGTGTCCAACAGGTGTTCCATCTGACCTTCCCCATCAGATCCCATCCCTGCAATGTTCCACCATGATAGATGGGAAGGCAGACGGAAGGAATGTATTTAATGTGCACAGAAAATCAGAAGATAAATTTCCAGCTGGAATGAAAAGAATCCCCATTGCCCTGTAGACAGGAGGGACATAGTGAGGCTAACTGATTTATCCTGCTGGAAACAAGACTTCATAGAATCTTACAAAGAAGCAGAGAAAGTGAAAGCTGAAGCGTCCACCTCTCCACACAAGGTCCTGGTAAGAGTTGATGTGAAGATAAAAAAGAGATAGTCTCATTATCTGGCCCTTGCAAAGTCATGAACTGCTTACCTCTTTATATTTATTTAGGCATATTTGTTTTATGTGGGACTCTCTATCTTATCAACGCTAAATTAAAAGAAAATACCATTCCAGGGAATGTCAAACTCCATATGTTAAGAGATAAAATAGTGACACAAAGCATGATTGGTGCATCTCTAGAAAGTGTATTTCTATTTTAGACATATTCATAGTCACTATGAAAATTTACACAGAATATAGAACTTTTACTCTCAGAGCAATGTTAATGATAGATAATTCGCAGTATTGATGTGCTGAAAACCTTTCTGTGAGAAAGGAAAAGCTGACTTCAGCCTACTCCCCAAAATCAACAGGCTCAAAGTTGACACACACGCATGAAAAAAGGTTGACAGAAAGTCCTCAGTGGCCAGGCATGGTGGCACATGCCTGTAATCCCAGCAGTTTGGGAGGCTGAGGCAGGCGGATAACTTGAGGTCAAGAGTTCAAGACCAGCCTGGCCAACATGGTGAAACCCCATCTCTACTAAAAATACAAAAGTTAGCTGGGTGTGGTGGCAGGTGCCTGTAGTCCCAGGTACTCAGGAGGCTGAGGCAGGAGAATCACTTGAACCCAGGAGGCAGAGTTTGCAGTGAGCTGAGACTGCGCCACTGCACTCCAGCCTGAGTGTGAGACTCTGTCTCAAAAAAAAAAAAAAAAAGTCCTCAGGATTCTCTTTATTTAAATCCAAATGGCTCAAATCATCTTTAAAATCCATATGATAAAGAAAGGATTCCCGGAGCGTATTTCCAGGAGAAAAATAAAATAAAATATCTTTGTCCAAGGCTCCTGTGGCTGGGACGTGCAGTCCATGACAAAATGCAATCACGCACAGGTTTGGAAGGAGCAGAGTTGAATGGCTCATGGGCTGCCTGTGGTCATGGGGGCAAGATGGAACAGCCTAGCAGAGCTGAATGTCAAGGGAGAAGGGCCCTTGAGCAAGCAGGGGGCCAGATGAGGAACACCTGAACCTGGGAGGGCAGAGCTCATCTGCCTGAGGTGGGGATGGCTCTGGGGAGGTCCACTGTCAGCCTCCTGCAGTGTGGGTCTGTTGGGGCACAGAGCTGAGAGCAGTACCTCCTGGGGCAGTGACCTGGAGACCAAGCTGAATGGTGGATGGCTTCTGGGCGAGAAGCAGGGCCTGGATGGAAATGATGAGGGCATCAAGGGAGGATGTGGGTCGTGGTATCAGTGCTGCCGCTGCGGTGTCAGCTTCTCTCAAGATGTCCTCTGCTCTCCTCCAAGAGTCCTCTGTGCTCATGGCTGCCTCATGTGTGTCTGTCTGTGTGTGTGTGTGTGTGTGTGCGTGCTCACACATGTGCTGTATTAGTTTCTTTTGGCTGCCATAATAAATAACCACAAACTAGGTGGTTTAAAACAGCAAAAAGTGTCACATTTTTGGAGGCTGGAAGTCTGAAATCAAAGTGTCTGCAGGGCAGTGCTCTCCACAAAGGCACTAGGGGAGAGTCCTTCCTTACCCCTCCAGCTCTGACAACTCTAGACATTCCTGGACATGTGGTCTCATCACTTCCATCTCTACCCTCCACAGTCACATTGCCTTGTCCTCTGTGTCTCCCCTCTATATGCCTCTTATTAGGACACTTGTATTAGTCAATTTTCATCTGCTATAGCAGAATACCACAGACTGGGTAATTGACAGAGAAAAGAAGTTTATTTCTCAAGTTCTGGAGGCTGAGAAGCCCAAGGTCAAGGAGCCTGCATCTGGTGAGGACCTTCTTGCTGCATCAGCCCATGGCAGAAGGTGTTCCAGCACATGCTTTTTGAGGGACACATTCAAACCATACCACTTGTCATTCGTGATCTTTAGCTTAATTATAGCTGCAAAGACTCTTTCCAAATATGGTAATATTCACAGGTCCCAGGGACTAGGATGTGAAGATATTTTTTCAAACGGGCCACCATACAATCCACTACACATACTTTGTGAGTGTTTGAAGATAACATTTTACTCTGCTTTCTCATAGGCTGCAGTGCGTACTATTCGGGAGGACTGAGTCTGGAAGCGTGACTGACGTGGGGAGATGGTACCTGGAGTGCACAGGTGGGCTGCCTGGTGTCATTCAGGAGATCAAGGGGCCAGAAATACTCCTTTCCAGGGGCCATGGAAGGCAGTGATGGCCAGGGGACCATGGTAACATGAGGAGAACTGTGGCCAGTTTATAGGACGCGCAACCCAGTCAAACATGGAGTCCCTCCCAACTGAGGCATCAGTGCCCTTCACCTGGGCTTCTCAGAAAGAAGGGCCCAGAAGGAAGGTATTCAGAGTTTGTTCGAGATGTTGGACAGAGGACAACTAGAGGCTGCATAAATGTGTTCTGAGGCAATTCATTACTTGGGCTACCATATTTTAAGATGTGAACCCTAGAAGAAACAAGATCCAAAATCCCTAAAATCCTTAGGAAAACCAGCCTCTGACACTCCCAGGATGTTAATTCTCATTTTGGGGAGCAGAATCAGCTTCGTGTTTAACACACAAAAAGCGTGGCTAGGTCAAGCCTTGGCTTCTCCTTGGAAAGGGGGTGTGATTCTAGCAAACCCAGACACCGGTTGTGAAATCTGGCAGCCAGAGGCTGGTGACAGCACTCCAGGGAAACTCGGAGAGTGCAGAAGCCGGCCCCTCCCGGGCTGAAAATAGGCTTCTTTGAAACCCACCTCAACTGTCATCCCAGGGACTCCTTTGCCTCGACTGCAGCACTTGAGTTCAAACGACCCCTTGGAAGGCACAGGGCCGGCCAGCGTGCGTGAAAACACTCCCTCCCTCAGCTGGAGGGAGGCACCCCACATCTGTAAGCTACGGGTGGAGGAGAAAAGAGCACTGCCTGACGCGACCTCATCCAGGAAGAATGTGAATGGCCCCAACACTGAGTCAGCCTCACGGGGCTGTGTTTCTGAACCTCAGCTTGTTTTGGAAGCCACTTAACAGCCCCTCCTCTGGCAGGAGCTGTGTTGGACGTCATTCCACTCCGTGGTTCCCCAACAGACGTGTGCATCAGAATATTACGCGGACTTTTTCCCCTAGACCGGGCCCCACCCCAGGCCTGCTGATTAAGAGCTCCCAGGAGTGGAAGCCAGGCATGTGTTTGGAAGTTTGGGATTTCTGCGTGGTTGTAATATTCCACGAGTGGCTCAGACGTTTACCACTCACTGAGAGGCATTGAGTCCACTGACCTTAGGTAGCCTCCAAGAACACAGAGGCCCCGGGAAATCAAATGCTTTGTCCAAGGTCACAGAATAAGTTCATTCAGACCCCAGCCTCCTAACTTCCCCGGTGTTTACTTTTTTCACATGCCCACAGCCTTTTAGGGAAGAATCAATCCCAAGATATTTGAGGATTCAGAATGCCTCATCCTGGTACACCCAACCCAACTCCCATCAAGAAAGTAAAGAAATGATGCTTAGTTCGGAAACATGGCAAGAAAGACCCACTCCAGTGCCAAGGCCGTTTACGAGCTGGAAACCCATCAGCTCAGAAAGTATTTGTACCATGGCCAGGAGGGCTTAGGGAAACTCTCCACTTCTTATGAAAGAAGTAAAATCTTCTTCCATAGAGCTTAGGAATTTGAGGGGCAAAGTTAAGGGAAGATTGAATAGAGCAAGTTGATTCTCACTGACCACTCACAGGAGCTGGCCAGGGAAATGACCCACTCCTAGTGGGGACCTAGAAAGCCGTAAGACCCCAGGAGCATGGAGCTACAGCATTGACAGTTCCACCCTGAGAGCAAGGATCTTCCCCTAGGTGACCGAAGTGGTGTGATCACCCCTAAGAATGGAAACATGAATTTAACAATCTCATCTTCTCTACCGCCCAACTTAAATTTCCCCAATTATCCCAACTTGCCTTTTATGGTGGTTTTAGTTTTTGTCTATGCATAGGATGCCTTGCATATCACAATGCCAGTTTTGCAAATTCTATCTTTAAAGCATTTGTGTAGGATTATACTTGTACATGGCGCAATGACAGATAAGATGGCAGTCACAAAAGCAGTCCTGTCCTCAAGTCAAGAGTAGCAATTCTCAACACCAGTGTCCATACAACATCTGAAATTCCTTGAAAAATGTATGCGTGGGTTTTGCGGGGAGAGCATGCAAAGCTTTAATCAGGCTTTGAAAGGAGTTTGTGCCTTTAAAAATAAAAAAGATTAAGGAACACTGATGTGGGGGCCAGGACACGCAGAGTACCGAGCCAACGCAATCAACTGATTTTCACGGGCTTCATTTGTCGTAACCATAGATGCTGTTTGCATACATTATTTCATACGTCCTTACACGTGCATGTTATCAGCCTTGTGCAAGAAGAGTTGGTAACAGCTCCACGGCCATGATAGTGGTTAGGGGGAAAGTTGAGATTCAAACCCAGGCCTGCCTTATTCCAGAGCCACACCTTGAGCTGGGCATTACATGAATTCTCATCCGCCTGCCCACTGCTGAAGCCCGGCATCCAGTCCTGTGTCTCACACTTAGACCAAATGGGAGCACAGCCAGGGAAGAGTGGCCACCGGGCATGAGAACTCACACTGCATCACTGCAAAGACCAGCTGGGTGCCCTTCCCAGATTTGACTCTCCTCTCCTCACAGCTGCAGCTGTGGGAACTCTCCTGCGGCCCCATTCTTCTGCCCTCTGCATTACAGAGAAGGCCTCCGTCATTCCTCAGACCACTCGGCCCCAGGGCAGCACTGCTCCCAGTGCCTCTCCTGCCAGTGCAGGCTCCAACTCCTCCTGTGGCCAATTCACCCCTTTATTCACTTCTGGAAACCACGTGCCCTGCATGGTCCTGACTTCTGAGTCCCGTTGTACCAGCCTGTTTTCTGTCTTCTGCCCTGTGTTCAAGGTTCCCACCTGGACCTTGCTCCTACCTGCCAAGTCATTTCCAGAAAGCTGCCTCCAGCCTCCCCACCCGCAGCCCTGATTCCAGCTGGGGCCACAGCCCTGCTGTTGCACACACTCCTTTCCAGCACTGCCTCTGCCAGATCACCCTGACCTCTGGACACGGCATGTTTGCTTCCAGATGGAATTCCTCCCAGAGCCTCCAGCTGGGTCTCTGGGTTCCCATAGCACCTGCGGATTTGTCCCCCATTGCACAGTGTCCTTAAGCATGGCTTCAGAGCCAGGTCTTCTTGCATCCTGCTAGCCATGGCCAGACGCGGTGGCTCATGCCTGTAATCCCAGCACTTTGGGAGGCCGAGGTGGGTGGATCACCTTGAGGTCAGGAGTTCAAGGCCAGCCTGGCCAACATGGCAAAACCCCGTCTCTACTAAAAATACAAAAATTAGCCGGGCGTGGTAGTGCACGACTGTAATCCCACCTAGTCGGGGAGGCTGAGACAGGAGAATCACTTGAACCCGGGAGGCGGAGGCTGCAGTGAGCCGAGATCACTCTACTGCACTCCATCCAGCCTGGGCGACAAAAAAAAAAAAAAAAAAAAAAAAAAGTTAATTCCAAAAGCCAAGTTAGAGTTTTAAGAGTTATATTTTAAAACATTGTATGAGAAACCCATGTTGTTATAACTCCTCCATCTTGCAGAAGAGGGGACAAGAGACCCTCATGAATATTGATGCTAATAAGAATAGAAACACCATCGACTCTGAAGGGTCCAGTGGGAATACAATTAATAACGAATGGAAAGAATCCACTTGTTGGAATTATTGTTGCAAAATCTTGTAATTCTACTTTCATTTGACTGCATTTTTCTTGAAATCGGTCCTATTCCCTGGCTTCTCCCTGGAGGGAGGCTAGGAATACTTTCCAACATTTAATAAGGAATCATCCCCCTCTTAAGGACAACCTTGTGTTTCAAATATGGTGCTTGGCCACACTTGAACAGATAGGATTTTCCATTTGATCCTTTTAGAGAAAACTTGGATTCTTGTGTCTGTCATCAGTCCAGAAATCCTACCTCTCCTGATAATGCTGCCATTTGGTTAGCTCATTAGCAGACAGTCTGGCACTTACTAGGTACCAGGCACAGTTCTAAACACTTTGCAAACATCAACTTATGGGACGTACATTTCCACCTGAAACCACTGTGCACAAAAGCATGTGCACGTTGCAGTCAGGTCTGTGATACTAGGGTTATTTATATAATTTAACACTTATTAGAAGTAAAATATTTTTTAACTTTTATGTTATCCCCAGCGCCCCCCTCCCCCGAAAAAGATGTCTATAATGCTGTAATTAGGAGCTAATAAGATGGGAGAAGAGCAAGTGAGGAGTGACTGCCAATGGGTTTCTTCCTGCAATTAGAGTGGTGATATTTGCACAACTTTGTAAATATAGAAAATGATTGACTTGTACACTTTGAAAGGGTGAAATTTATGGCATGAGAATTGTATCTTGATTTTAACCCATGTATGCCTGAGGTTGCAATTTTTTGAATTTTGGCAATCAGACTTTGGCAATGACCTTGAGCAGTAGGATATAAATAACTCCTGCATGCATAGTGTTCCAATAATGGAACACTAGGCATACATAGCTAAGTTAACAGAAAAAGAAGACAAAAAAAGCAACAATTCTCTCATTCCTTCTCGTGTTCTGATGACCCACGCATCCCCCTCCAAACCCTGTCCACAACATTTTTCCCTTTTGCCTAGAACTCAGAGAAGGAGAGAGAGGAAACAATAAAATTGAAGAAGAGAAGAGAAAGTATAATGGTGTTGCAAGAGTAACTGGAGCAGGTGTCCCCACTGCAGGGTGGAAAGCAGCACTGGACCCTGTGAGGAGCCTGCAGGTGTCCTCCTGCCCCACCCCCACCCCTGCAACCCCCACTGCCCGAAGCCCGGCTGTGGATGGGCTCACAGGTGTCTCCAGCCCGGGCTGCACAGGACTGCCTGGGGGCTGGAGTGAGAGGGTGGGAAAGGCCAGGGACAGGCAGAGGCATAAGGAGTGGTCCTTGCACTGGGCACTCCTACAGCCTTCAGGAGGAGGGGCAAGCGGAGCAGAGAGATGACCCCGGCACAGTAGGACCTGCTTTGCCGAAGCAGCATGAGTTGAGAGTGCAGGGGCCATGCTTTAGGCTACCCCAAAGCAGGTAGCCTTTGAACAGCGTCTGTTTTCTTTTTCTAGAGTCAGAGTCTCGAGACCTGTTTTCACATCTAAAACATGCCTGGCCTGTTTCTCTCTGACCACTTCCGTCCCTTGAAACTCTCCCTGCCTGATTTCCTCACCTCTTCTCCTTCCCCTTCTACATGTCATCTCTTTTTCTCAGTTTCTTATGAGCTCTCCTCTTCTTCCCACCGTGGCAGGAGGGTCTCACTCTGTTGCCCAGGCTGGAGTGCAGTGGTGCAATCATAGCTTACTGCAGCCTCAAACTCCTGGGCTTAAGTGATCCCCTGACACAGCTTCCAGAGTAGGTAGGACTACAGGTATGCACATCACAACTGGCTATTTATTCAAATTGTTTTTTGTAGAGACAGGGCCTCACTACATTGCTCAGGTTGGTCTTGAACTCCTGGCCTCAAAGAATTCTCCCTCTGTAGCCTCCCAAGTCTCTGGGGTTACAGGTGCAAGCCACCATGCCAGGCCTGAATAGGGTCTTTAAGGGTGATTACAAGTCCACCAAGAAACCAGACGGACCCAGGCAGAAGGATACACTGGAGAACTGGGGTCAGGGACAACTGAATGTTCAGAGCTAGTGGAGTGGAAGCTCAGGATGCAGGAAGAGGCCAGAAAGTGTGAGCCAAGAAGACCTCGGATGCCGTAATGAGAGGGGATCCAGCCAAAAGCTTTGAGGAGGGAAAAAAGAGAAAATGTTGGTCTGTGTCTGAAAGCAGCTACTCTCAGACTGGAGCTGACTCAGATGCCAGATCTGGGGAGGAGGGAAGGAGGTGGAGAGGAAGAGGATTCAGTCCAAGTCGCTCTCAGGGCTCTGGCAGTATGATAGGAATTGTATTTGGGATAAGGTTGGTTTGACGTGACTCAGGGTCTTGCCACTGGAGACATCCTGCTCATGGTACATCATGGACCTGGAGCCCATGGGATGGGGCCAGCACAGATGGAAACAGTGTCCAGCTTGTTCCAGACACTGATGCTGGGGCAGAGCTGAGATGCCTGGGATGGGGGGTGTGGGGGCAGGGGGAAGATGGGAAGGGAAGAGAACTAAGGATAGAAGCTGCCAGGGGTGGGAAGAAGATAACTCATAAGAGTCTGAGAAAAAGAGATGGCAGGTAGCAGGGGAAGAAGAGGTGAGAAAACCAGGCAGGGAGAGTTCCAATGAAAGGACGTGGTCAGAGGGAAACATGCTGAGAAGGAGTTTTAGATGCCTTAAGGACGAGGGCTCCTCTGAGATGAATTCTGTCCCAGGTTAAGACCAGCTCACCCCCTGCATTCCCAAAATACACCACGAATTCTCCTAGGGGAAGAGCAGCCTTCGCGCTTTCTAAGCAAGAGGGATGAGAACCACACAGGCTCCGTGATCTGTCAGGCATTTGGCCCCAGTCCGGGGATGAAACCCAGCTCTCCTGACACAGTCCCCCGCATTCTGCTCACTCCATGGAGAAGACGTATTTCTGGGCCAAGTGTGTGCTTCTGATTCAGGGCACAGAGGAGGCCACAGAGTAGGCAGTGGTTGTGCCAAGTGGCTCATGGCACCCAAGAAGCCTCTTGGAGCAGCGTTCTGCATGGCCCGTGTCTTCTCCAAACCTCTTACGGAAAGTACTTTCTGGAGGCCTTTTGAAAGTGCAGGATTTTCTGGGGTTGACAACAGGATTTGTTGAGAAAGACTGAGCCACCACATGAGGATGAGAATGGGAACTGTTATGTGGCTGCGTGATATCTCTCGCACACATGTGCACGTGCACACACACAGATGCTCACACACACACAGAGAGCAACACGCACATATACACACGCACACCACATGGCCTATAGCCTTCCGGCTGCTCCTCACTAAGCTGCCTTTGGTAGGCATGGACTGCTCTATTCTGGTCTAGATTCAGATTCTTCTGGACTCTGTTGACCCCACGCCACATCCATCTGAGCTGAAATCAACCATTCTGTGTTTAAGACTTATTACAATTTGAAAACCTTGGTGAGATTTCGATCTGAAACTGCTCAGACACCCACTTAACTTCATTCTTTATTCATAGGTTTCTACAAGCTTCAAATCAACTGAAAATTGTTTCAAAAAGGAGGCTTCCGGCCTGCCTGGTGGACTTGGGAATGAACGTGGACTCACAAGGAATGACTGAGCATCCCACAACAGCTCTTCCTCTGTTTTCATGTCCCATCAGCATTGCTGCTGCCCTGCAAAGTGGGAAGCCACCTAGCTCCCTGACTGCGGTCCCCGCTGAACAGGGATCTTGTGGAGAAGAGTGGTAGATGACCCTCTCTGTGTGGGGCAGTGACCTCCCTTGCCCACGGCTCCCAGCGCTAGAGGGCTCTCTCCTGAGACCTGATCTCATAGCCAACTTCTCCTCAGCTACCCCCGGGAGCTCTTGAAGACCCCCAGAATGCATTTGCAAGGCACTTCCCAGAAGACTGAGTTGTTCTGGTGGCACTCAGGAGTCCAGTTTTAAAACTCCACATTTGTCCAGCCTAGGATGGGAACCCCTAAGCCCTACTGTGGTAAGGACCCCAGGAAAGGCCTTTCTGGCCCCAACAAATGACCCTCTGGCCTTTCTTGGGGCCCCTCCAGTTCACCCCATCACAGAACCACAACAAAAGCTGATGCCAACACGCCCACGAGGTGGGGTGCTATTTTAACCACCTGCTAGCCTCATAGGGAATTAATGACCCTATGAGTTTACACACACCCCAGTTCACCCCACAAAACAGTTGGCATGGCTTACCACACCTTCAAAGTTTATTACAATAAAATGATCAAATAATCAGGAATTAGAAATAATGTTTTTCCTCCTGGCTCCAGGCCTGCTGCCTGTGTCGCCTTGTCACGGAGAGTGCAAGGCCCACGGGCAAAGGCCAGAAAGGCCCCCAGCCCTGCTTCTTGAGGACTGTCCATGTAGCCCCAGGCAGAGGGCAGAGCCCTTCTTCGGGAGTGGGGAGGGCGGGTGGATAAGGCAGGATAACAGCCGGTGGGGCCCAGCAGGTGCGGCGGGTTGGCTCTGCGCCAGCCTGTGTCAGACATGTGCTCTCACCCACTTCACACCGTCCCGATGTGTGAGAGGAGTGTGCACCGGCCTCCCGTGGCTACCCTACCAATGTGCCGCAAACCAGGCAGGTTTAAAAAGCAGGGACGGCCGGGCGCGGTGGCTCACGCCTGTAATCCCAGCACTTTGGGAGGCCGAGGCGGGCGAATCATGAGGTCAGGAGATAGAAACCATCCTGGCTAACACGGTGAAACCCCGTCTCTACTAAAAAATAGAAAGAAAAAAATTAGCCGGGCGTGGTGGCGGGCACCTGTAGTCCTAGCTACTCGGGAGGCTGAGGCAGGAGAATGGCGTGAACCGGGGAGGCGGAGCTTGCAGTGAGCCGAGATCTCCCCAGTGCACTCCAGCCTGGGCGAAAGAACGAGACTCTGTCTCAAAAGATAAATAAATAATAAAATAAAAAGCAGGGATTTGCTCTGTCATCGTTCAGAAGTGCAAAAGTAAGAAATGAAGGATGGCAGGGTCTCTGCTCCCTCCAGGGGCTCTAGGGCAAGACCCTTCCTGCATCTTCCCAGCGCCGGTGACTCCTGCAACCTTTGCATCCCTTGGCCTGGGGCTGCATCTCTCCAAACTCTGCATACGGCCCCCTTCTCTGTGTCTCTCTTTGTCCTCTCCTCTGCTTGTAATGACATCCATCATTGGGTTTAGGCCTCCCCTAATCCAGGACAATACCATGTTAAGAGCCTTCATTACATCTGCAAAGACCCTATTTCCAAATAAGGCCACAGTCACAGTTACGAGGGGTTAGGATATAGACATATATTGGGCAGGGGATGCTATTCAACCCACTCCAGAGGAGGCATTATCCCCACTTTACAAGAGGAAAAGTTCAATAACTGTGACAGGTACACACCTGGCAAGGCACAGAGCACAGAGTACCTAGAGATGGCATTGGGTTTTGACCCTGAAAGAGGCAGTTCCCTTGAGTAGACTCTGTCTATTCAGGGAACACAGGCCCCCACCCATAGGGTGACCCACGGCAAGCAGCGGCCACCCAGAGGGTCTGTGGCATCAACACCAGCTACAACCACCATGAAATCGAAACAGGCACTTGTAACAAACACTCATTGCTTTCCTGGACTAAGTGAGGATGCTTCCCCATGCTAATTAACAAAGGCTCACTAGCATGGGCCTCACCTTGGGCTTCTGAGGCAGCCTTAATTTATGAGGATTGATCATAAATCCTCATTTAATGCAGATCATTCCACAGCTCGTGTGGAACATATCAGCTGTCACCAACGCTTGGGGCTTCGCTCCGCTGCCTCTGGTGAGTTGAGCCTGATGCTCAGAGGGAAGGCGCAGGAAGCAGCCTCTGCAAAAATTACAGAAATCCGGGAAGAAATAGTGAGGTCTCCAGATCACTGGTCCAAGACTGAGGGAATTACAATAGAAAATGTGACAACAGCAGGACAGATAAATCACATATACCTGTCACCTGCTTAGAGGAACAGGGAAGTGGGAGAGAAAAGAAAATATGGAAAGTTAATTAACCTGCCACGTTATTAATCCTTCACCTGTGTTTTAGAGCTAGGAAGAGAATGATGGGAAAACAAAGAAGTAGAGCGATTTGTGGAGCACAAAGAGTGCTCGGCTGCCGCCCCGCTAGCCCCGACCTCAGAGCTGAAGACATCGACCCGGCCGCCGCCCCGCCAGCCCCGACCTCAGAGCTGAGGACATCGACCAGAGAAATTGGGAGGCCAGCCCGAAGTCGCCCTGCATGTTAGTTGGGAGCTGCTATTATAAGGCGGTGCTCCTGCCTCCGGCTCACCCCTTACACCAGAATAAAGGGGTTCTCTGTTAAGAGAGTTGCCACGTTTCCTCCCAACTCTAGTCAACGTCAGCCAAAGACTTCGCTTTCTTCCCAAACCAGGAGTAGGTCATTGAATGTATTGATTCAGATCTTAACGTGGGTGTTGAGTTAGAGTGGGTAGCCTCTAAACCCATTCAATGAATGTTCCAGAATGTTAAAGGCATAGTAATGAAATTTATCCAGCATACTCAAATACTGTTGATGTGGTTGCATATGTGTAGACCTGGTGAATTGTTCCTTTGTTCATGTTTCCTGGGCTTCTACTCCTGGCTTTCTGCAATGCTCACACTGTAGGACCCTCTTTCCACATCTCTCACCTTCTCCCCCTGCTCCCCACCCAGTACAGACCAATGACCTCTGGCCCTGTTCTCCATCCCAGCTCCAGACACACACATCCAATTCCCTCAACTGTCCACATCATGCTGGTCACCACTGCCCCCTCTCTCCCAGAAGGGCCAGTCCCCGCTGCCTCCTCTCTCCTGGAAACCTGCTCTCCTGGCTATAGTTCCTGGCCAGGATATCGCCCCCACCGTCCATGCACCCCAAAGCAGTGAGGGTGTCACCTCCCCTGGGTCTCAGGCTTGCCCCGAGTCTCCACTCAGACTCCGAGTCCCCTCTGTCCTCCCCACTGAATTTCTCAGCTTGTCCACTCCTTTGCCCCCAGTAGACACCTCCTTCTGCAGACCCTCCTCCACCTCTCTTGGGAAGACTTTGATAAAAGCTTCTAGCTGGCTCCCTGTCTGCTCTCTCACCACCCACATCCCCATCAAGCCCACCCTCCATGTTGCATCAAGCAGCTCCATGACCACCGGAACACTGGGCAGCCTCTAAGCCTACAGAAGGAAGACCAGGACCCTAGGCATGAACCGCAAGTCCTCCCTCTGTGTAGCAGCTCCCCCTGGCCTTATCCACACTGTATCCCAGGAATGCAAAGCCACCACTGTTCCCAGCCCATCTTCACTCCTCTTCATCTCTTCATCCTTCTGCCTGCACTACCCCCTGACTACCTGCCTGACCAGCTCCTATTCATCCTTTGAAACCCCACTCGGGCATCCTCTCTGAATGGTCCTAGCCCCCACAAGGTCAGCTAATGTATGCCCCTCTGAACTCCTGCCCTGCTCAGCTCACATGACTTATGCGTAGCTGCCCTGTGGATGCTCCTATCCTTTCCACACCATGGCTGTGAGCTCCATGAGGCCTGTCTCATCCTCTTCCAAATCCTCAGAGCTTCCACTCTGCTCAGCACACAAGAGACGCTTAGCACAGGTGTGTGGAGCCCAGACTCCATCTCCCTCCTCAGGAACACATCACACTAACCGCCTATACCCTTGGCAGGATGTGACAAGAGGGGCACGTCCCCTCTGCGGGCTCTTTCCAAAAACCCACAACCCCGATCTAACCATGACAACAACCACAGACGAACCCAAATGGAGGGACCATCTAGAAAATGTGTGATGGTGCTACCCCAAGTCTCTCCAAGCAAACAAGCAAAGGATGGGAAGGACCTTGCTGTGAGTCTGAACCTGTGGTTTGTAGCAGGGGTAGGTCTCTGCGTTGCTCCGGCAGTTTACAGTCAGGAGATCACTCTTACCAGCCACATGATGGAAATCAAGAAGGCGGCTGCCCCTCTTCGCCTGGTCCCCCTGCCAGTCCCCGCCTAGCAGGCACAATGGCCTATTTTAACAGCACATGTCTCCCCAGTGATTACCCCTGGCCTTGGCTTGGAATGAAATGCCCTGATTGGAAGGGCCCTGCTTGAACTGGCTCTGCCTCTGTCTCAGCCTTCACGTCACCCCCGCTCTCTTCTCCCTGCAGGCCAGCCAGGCCGGAGGGACCCCTTTCCCCGCTCACACACACTGCCTGTGCTTGGTCTGCCCTCCCCTGCGTGCTCCTCATACGCCCAGCTCCTTCCGATCCTTCTGGTCCCCTCTTCAATATCTCCTCCTGCAAGTGGGCTGCCCTGCCCACCTGAGTGAATTGCACCCTTCCAATTCTCTATCACCACTTGGGAGTTATGTCCCAAGGTGCAGCCATCCTCCTCATTTGTAAGTCCTCGAGTCCTGTCCACCTCCCAGCTGCACTGCAAACTCCTGCAAGCAGGGCTGGTGCACAGGGTCTGCAGCCCGTGCGCCCAGGGCCCCACTGCCCCAGGCAGGCCCTGCCCTTGCACCCTTCATCCTCACCGAGGGGCAGAGAAAGTAGGGGGTGGCGGTGGCTGGAGTTAAGCGTCATGGAAAGACTGAGTAAGCCCTGGAGCCCGATAGCCAGAGCCACGAATGTGACTTTCGGGAGGTGGATCTGCTGCAGAGCCTGCTCTGGAACACGCAGACACAAGCATCCACTTCACGAGGCTGCAAGGATTAAATAAGATAATGTATTTCAAGAGCCAAGTGCAGTGTCTGGCACAGAGTGCATGCTCATTATCCTCTAATTTTTTAAAGATATGATTAGGCTGACAGTGCATGTTGTTTAAATCCTTGCCAAAAGCAACCCCGTTGCTATCGTTCTTCCGTATGCTTGTGCATGTTTTATCTCGACTGTAAGTCAAGAGAAAACAGTCCATTAAAAAAGAGACGTTAACCTTCTACCTTTCCCACATATCCCAAATTCCAAAATGATTGTAACAATACGTGTTGAAGCAAACATTTCTTTTTCTGTGGGTAGGAAATAAAAAGTGAATTTTAAAACTGTTCAGAGTTGGAGGACAGCAAGTTCAATGCATTTGCACATGTGCCCTGCAGTCAGAGAAAATCAAAAAAGAAGACAAATCTGAACAGAAAAATTAAAGCAAGAAAATGAGACCTTGAAGCTCAGCCCTCAAGCCTGTCTATGCCTTCAAACCTCCTGGTCAAATCTAAAGAAAACCAAAGTCTTTTCCTGAGTATTACCTACCACACTTACCAAAAAAAAAAAAAAAAAAAAAAAAAAAAAAAAAAAAGATGTAAAATGGTGGTTAAGGCATAATTTATAGTAATAAAGACAAATGTATCTCAAGGAAAACAGAAAGCATAAAAGAAAAGAAAGACAGAAACCCCCAAAACAATGGGCCACTGTGGCGAGGGCTTGAGTAGTGACCCTGGGCCAGGCACAACCATGCTCCGGGAACAAAAATAGAATCACAGCATTTGCTCGGAGAGAGGATGCATGGAGTGGCGAGGACGCGGCCCAGCCTGAGAGACCTGTTGTAGGCTCTGTCCTGGGTGCATCCAGGGTCTTGCTGGATCACTGAGACATGAGAGGGATGAGAGGGACGTCGTGCACAGCAATAAAGAGACCTCTGGTGAACTCCCTCCCCATGAGAGTCAGATAGTCTCTGCTTCTGGCTCTGCACAGACTGGCTTATTTCCACTAAGGCCACTAAGGGCCACTAAGGGTTGCTTGTCACCCTGACAGGCCCAAGCAATAGCCAAAGCTGTACCCTGGACAGAGTCAAGACACACAGACTGTAGCAGCTGGGAGGAATGTTAAAGCCCTTGCCTCCTAACCCTGCAGGCTGCAGGTCAGAACGGGGAGCTCAGGGTCAAAGCGTCAGGTTCAACCCATGGTCCAGGGCCCCGTGAAGACAGCAGGCTGCCTGTCTTCTGAGCTCAGGAGATCAGGCCCAGACTCTCAAATGAACAATTACTCTCCTGCCCAGGACTCTGGCATAGGAAAGTGCCTAAGAGCTTTGATAGCAGTATTGCCAGGCAGCCTGCTCCAGGTCTCAGCACAGCAACTTTCCCTTATTATGTCCTGCGCCACCAGAAAACGCACAACTGCACAGAGTGGGGGCGAGTCCCAGGATCCCAGCAGGCCGGACTCCAGAGAGAGCAGGAGGGGCTGCCTTTCAGCTGAGCAGGCCACGGCTGCTGGTGAAAACTCCTGGAACCTCTGGTTTAGGTTGAGTATGATGGGTTGAATGGTGGTGGCCCCCAAAGATATGTTCACATCCTCCAACCCCTGACTGTGACCTTATTGGGAAGAAGAGTCTTTGCAGATATTCTCAAGTTAAGGATCTTCAGATTAGATCATCCTGGATTAACTGGGTGAGAACCAAACCCAATGGCAAGTGTCCCTATAAGAGACAGAAAAGGAGGTGACAGAGAAGAGAAGACCACGTGATGAGGGAGAGGCTGGAGCGATGTGGCCACAAAACAAGGAATGCCTGCAACCCCGCAAGCTGGAAGGGGCAAGGAGGGTTTTTTCCCTGGAGCCTCCAGAGGGGCTGTGGCCCTTGGTTTTGGACTCTGGGCTTCAGAACTATAAGCGAATAAGTTTGTGCTGGTTTAAGCCACCCAGTTGGTGGTCATGATTCATGGCAGTCTTAGGAAACTAATATAATATCCTCAGTTTCAAGTCCAAGCCAGGCTTACAAAGGTGTGAACCACTGGAAGCTGGCACCAGGGACACTCCCACACTCCAGTCCCACCCTCAACACTGTCCCACCCAGCAGCCCCCTGGTCTCCAGAGAGGGAGCCCCAAGAGAGCCCAGGAGCCTCCGTGGAAGACACCCTGGCCTCTAATGAGGTCTGAGCGGGAGGAAGCAGAAGTTGGATGAAGCCTTCAAATGTCCGCCTCGCTCCAGGGTCAGAAACAGAGGGAGAGGGGGAGGGATGAGAGACACAGGAAAAGGGAGCAGGCAAGGAGGGCAGAGAACAATGATCACCGCCATATTGATCCTGCCACCACCCTGATGACCACACGGCTCTGCTGAGCGCGTCTCATGAAGCCTCCTGGGAGGCCTGTACAACACCTGCCCCTGGGCGACACCGTCCCCACACACAGGAGGGAAGAGGGTCCTCTGCCTGTCATTGGGGTCACTGTCCCCACACACAGGAGGGAAGATAGTCCTCTGCCTGTCACTGGGGCCACTGTCCCCACACACAGGACGGAAGAGGGTCCTCCACCTGTCATTGGGGTCACTGTCCCCACACACAGGAGGGAAGAGGGTCCTCTGCCTGTCACTGGGGCCACTGTCCCCACACACAGGAGGGAAGAGGGTCCTCCACCTGTCATTGGGGTCACTGTCCCCACACACAGGACGGAAGAGAGTCCTCTGCCTGTCACTGGGGCCACTGTCCCCACACACAGGAGAAAAGCAGGTCCTCCACCCGTCACTGGGGTCGGCTCTGTCATGTCACCGTATGCCCACCTCCCTTCTTTGCTGACAGAACCCCAGTGTGCACTGGCCTTGTCCCTGCCCATGGGCCAGACCTGGCATCATCATTGATTGTGGGACCAGGGCCTGGTAGGGGCCACAGAAAAGGCTCCTTTCCCATGGAAGGGACAGTCCTTCTGTATTGTCCACTGGACTCCTGCATATGACATCAGGAACAGCAACAGCCATCCTGCTGACGTTCAGGGAGGCGGATGGGACAGGCTGCACAGCAAGGGTCGCAAGGGCCAAGCAGAGAGAACCCCAGGCTCCCGGGGCTGTCTGCTCGGGCCTCCTCACGGTGGCAGCATCCATTCCCCTCCTTTTCAGGCGTTTTGAGATGCACGGTCTATTCTAGAAGCCGAGACTATCCCGGCCACTACTGTCCCACAGCGGGTGAGTCCTCAAATGGCACAGACATGATTTTTCTCCCTAAAACTCCCTCTGATGGCATGGAAGAGGAATCGTTTGGCTAATTCATTAGCACAAGAGAAACCTCATGAGTGACACCAGTAAGTAAATTTCTCTTGTCCTTGTGTTTCCCGCTTTCCCAGGGACATCCCTGAAATGGCCTGGTCCCTCCCCTGCAGGTCACTGCCTGGAGGAAGGTGAGGGCCAGGAGCTGCGTGAGGTCAGGATCAGGCACCTGCCAAGCCAGGCCCTCGGCCACACCAGCTCCCACTGCCCCAGGTGGGCTGGGGCTTCAGTTCAACGGCAGATTCCTTCTTGGCATCGCTTAGCTGAAACTTCCACTCTGGAATCCTCAAATGCCCTGGGTTCTGGGATATTGTTTGAGAGTGGAATGTCCCCAGGCTCCCTGAGGGCTCTGAGGTGGAGGGTCTGAGCCCGTGCACCCTAAATAATGAGAAGGGGGCAGACAATGGGGGCTGACGGGGCGTCCAGCATGCACTGTTCCCTGCACTGCACCAAAGGCCTTGCAAGCTGTGACCTCTGTTACCCCTCGTCCGTCACCTGTGATGTGAGCATCTTAATTTTATTTTATGGATGTGGAAACCGAGGCCCAGAGAGGTGACTCTCCCACAACCACAGGGCCAAGAGGTGATGAAGACCCTGGAATCCAGGTCATGGGGTCCCTACATCAGCAGGGACCCAAAGGCTGTGTCAGGGAGCTTGAGCATTGTGGGCCGCTCTGAGTGAAGGGCCCTGTGTGGACAGCGTGAAGAATGCTGCCCGCCGTGTGGGGAAAGCTGTCCCAGTGTAGGTTTTTGGTAGATGACCTGTGGGGCCTCCCTCCGCTGGCCAGCCTCACCTCCACCCTGGGCTGCTGAGGAGGAACCGACCTCGGATATTCACTTAGGAGACAGGAGAGCCATCCTCAGCCTTGTGCGGATGGAATCTGGAATCCAGGACTCACCCACTGTGGACAGTAGCGGCCGGGATGGTCTCAGCTTCAGGAATAGAGATGTTGAATCCTTTCATCAAAGTCAGGCGGTGGGGCTGGGTTTACACCTGGGTCTCCTGAATCCCACCCCTGCACTTCACTTGCTCAATTAACAAATATTTCTTAGGGGTTGACATGAACCAGGCACAGTTTTAGGCGTGGGGAACCCAACAAGGAACAAAATGCACAGAACTTGAGCCCATGGCAGCTCCTGTGCTGGGGGGACGGAAGGCAACGAAGAAACAAGTGAGGCACTTATGTGGCAGCAGCAGGTGGGGCTGAGACGAAGAAGCCACCACATGGGAGAGCGCCTCGCATGCCTCGTCTGCTGCGCGAATGGTCTCGAACATCTCAGCAAGAGCAAACCTCTCCCTGCATCCCCCAAAACCTCCGTGGGATTGCAATGTGTCAAACTGATCCAGTGGCATCTCTCTGGTTGAGATGGGAACAGGGGGGTCCTGCCAGGGCCCACCGCACCCCAGCACCCTCTCACCCTGAGACTCATGGGCAGAACATCAGGTCCGTGGGTCCCACAGGGAAATTTGTCTGCCAGCTGGAACTCTTGCCTTGGATCGGCTGTTTTGTTCTGGCCAGTCTGCCCGAGCCAGACATCAGCTCTGCTTCTCAGAGCCTCAAATGCTGCCCCCGCTGAGAGCCTGGCCAGGCTGTTCCCTGAGGGTGGTAGTATGCAGGTCCTTCCTCTGGGTGGCCCCTGCCTATGGGAGCCTGCCAGATTCCCTAAGTGACTCCACGGGGGCTGGCCAGCCCAAGGATGCTTCCACACTGAGAGGGAGACCCTGACAACTTGGACCCACAGGCAAGGAGGGAGCTGCTTCTAGGGCGCTTTCCGGAGAACCGTTGATGGTAATGAATGGCCCTTTGTCTAAAAGGCTCGGAAGTCCATAATGGTGAACACCCAGGCTACATTGCAGTCCTGGTTCCAGAGAGAAAGGAGCCACCCGGGACGCCTCTCTGGGCCTTTCTCACACCTCTACACTCCTTCCGCAGTGGACATGGATCCAGTCACAAGGGCAACAAGGTGGGTGAGATGGGATTCTGAACAGTGGAGAGTTGGTGCTCTTGGGACTTGAGAGGAGTCTTTTGACTGTGGAAAGGTTTCCAGACAGAAAGTGAGCCGTGGGGTGGAGTACTGAGACGAGGGGTAGAGTACTGAGATGAGGGATGCTGCTTCGGAAGCGAGGCTGAGCCAGGAGCTCCAAGAGCTCACCCTTTCCTCCCCACACTGGCCTGTGGCCAGCACAAGGCAGCTGCCCCATCCTGAGCAGCTCCACCTCGCCGATGGCCTCCCCACTCCTGCTCTTCATTCCTGGGCTTGCTTAAACTTATCTTAATCTTTGGGATGGCCTCAGTTTCCTTCCCCTCTCTCCTTTCTTCAGTTTTTATTATTATTGCCAGCTCCTTACTTGGACTTCGTGAAGCACTCACTCTAGAATGGCTGATGAATTGGATTAAAAACCTGGAAATTGTTAGAGGGAAATCATTGTCAGAGAGCCTGGTCACATGTGTAATCAGTTTCTCTATTACTAACAAATGTCCGGGAAGCCAACAAGGCCCAGAGTTAGTGGGCTACAAAACAGGGGGAGTGACGCCTGGTCTTGCTGCCCACAGAGTGGACGCCTGCGCCAGCTGCATGGATGCCCTCACTTCCTGCCTGACGGATGAGGGTGTCACCTCTTCACTGTGACCCGCCCCCCCCCACACACACACACAAGTCACTGCCCCTTGCTGTGCCCCTCTAGCTCTTGTGTCAAAATCCCCAATTCACTGACCACTGGGACTTCTGCATAGCCCAACGCCGGGGGACCCTCCACATCATGGGTGAATGGGCCTTGTGGGGTGTCCGTCTGCTGGCCACACTGTGCCTTACAGTTCCTAGGCATACAGTGGCCTCCCCCAATGTCCCAAGCCCTCCACACTCAGCTCCTTACAGGAATCGAGCCTTGGACACTTCTGCAGCCCTGTGCCCACTGCACTTGGCACAGGGTGGGGACTCAGCAGGGCTTGTTCTTGACCTCCCATCCTGCACCCTATGTTTGCCTCCTGGAGCTCCTGGCCCCATTCCATGAGGATCCGCTGCTCCTGACGCTGCCTCTGAGCACTCAGGAGTTCCCTGTGGCTTCCCTGGCTTTGCTCCTGGGAGCTCAATCCATGTATGTGGAGTGGAGTTGTTGAATGTCACGGTGACATTCTGGGATGCGCCTCACCTTTGTATTCCCGGCCCTGAGGTCCACATCCACAGACCCATCACACCCCTCCTCACTGCCTAAATACAGCAGCCAATGAGGCAAAGTCACCCAAAGTGCCCAAAGCCTTATGTCAACAGGAACTTTTCTGAAACCAAAACCCCCAGGAGAACTTTAGGATAGAGAAGTGAAGGGAAGCTGGAGACAGGCCTGGGATGGTGTTTCCTGCAGACCTGACTGCTCCAGCCTGAAAGCCTCAGCTTCAGAAACAAGGAACCAACAGGCCCCTCCTCCCCTCCACACCTCACCCCCAGCCCAGGAACATCCCACAGGAAGGTTTCCAAGTCCTCAGTCCCCCATTCTTCTCCCAGAACCTGCTACCCAACCTACACCAAGCAGATGAACAGCAGGCTGAGGGACACAGTGTCAGGTCCTGAAAAAGTGGAGACAAGGAGGCCAGCTCAGATGCGGGGACGCTCCTCATGGCCCCTGGTAGAATCTGTGTGTTTGCATGGATCTGCTGAGGTTTCCCATGTCAGCCTGTCAATAGGAGGTGGATAATTGACTCTCAGGTTCAGAAACTCAACCCTACCTCATGCACAAAGCCCCTCTACTCCATCCTAGGAAAATGGTCAAGTGCCTCCTCCTGAATGCCTTCCTTGACGGGGACCTCATCACCATTACTTCCCACTAGATGCAGAAGGCCTGGGGAGGCTTTGCACTCAGCCAGCTTCTCCTCACTGGGCCAGGAGCGCACAGAATTAGTCTAATCCACAGCCACATCCTCCAAACATTACCACCGCGGTTCAGTCCCTCTCATTCTCTGACCAACACGGCCCATCAGCTTGAACACTGAACACCCAGAGCCTGCCCCCACCCCTCTTGAAGCCCAGCCTAGGACTCGAGGCCATGCTCTAGAGGGGATGTGGCCTGAGCATCTTCCACAGCCTTGACGTGGTTGGCTATTTCCGTCTCAGGTCTCCGTACAGTCACGCCCTTGTCCAGTCTCACTCTATTTACAGCGGCCTGACTCCTCCAAGGCATTTTCAGCCTACCCGTTGCTAAAGCAACTCTTTGCTGCCTGACCATTCTTTACCAGTGGCTTTTCTGTATCTAAGAGTCAGACTTTAAAATAACCCCTACTGGCCGGGTGTGGTGGCTCACCCTTTTAATCCCAGCACTTTAGGAGGCCGAGGTGGGCAGATTGCTTGAGTCCTGGAGTTTGAGACCAGCCTGGGGAACATTGCAAGACCTTCATCTCTACAAAAAATACAAAAATTACCCGGGTATGGTGGTGCGCATCTGTAGTCCTAGCTACTCAGGAGGCTGAGGTGGGAGGGTCCCCTGAGCCCAGGAGGTCAAGGCTGCAGTGAGCCAAGATCACGTCACTGCACTCCAGCATGGGTGACAGATTAAGACCTTGTCTCAAAATATCAATAAGTAAATAAATAAAATGAAATAACACTCATTGCTTAACTACACAGGCATTTGAATATCTTATAAAAAACATGCATGTAAACAGCACACAACAAGGCAAAATGGAGAAGCTACAAGTATATGAAAGAACAGACCTGGCAGAGAAAAGTCCTCCAGTTTCTTGAAATAAGCTGGTTATTACATCCAAGCAAGCTTTTGCGCAGGCTTCCTGGAAAATAGAGCACAGAGGGAAGCATGACAGGTTTCCCATGGCTGGTAAAAGGATGCCTACTAGGCAGGTAGTCCAGACCAACTTTTCCTGGCAGGAATTCATAAAGGAATATGCATCGTGTATCTTTTCATGTTCCATGAAACTTGGAACTTTCCATGTGTTCCATGAGGTAGCATCATAGACAAATTACCCCCAGTGGGGCTGGCGTTCCTCATGCGGCAAGAGAGGAGAGGCCTCTGAAGCTCACACTGGGGTGCAGAAGCAGCTCCATCACAGTCACATTTCAGCATGTGGTGTTCGCAGCAGAATCCAGCCCAGGGAGGTCTCTTTGCCTCTGGAATTGTTTCCAGCAAATTCAACATCTTGACAGACTTCTGTCATTTGCAAATTTCAGCCATGGGTCTTCCACATTGGCATCCAGTGACACTGATCACGGGACTGAGCAGGCAGGTCCAAGGGCACTGACTCTGTGTTCCTCCCAGGGGCTTCGACCCAAAGACGCCGACATGGCATCCCAACTGGGGCAGTCTCAGACTGGCCAGCTTCGCTGTGGTCAGGAATACTGCACACCAGATGTGGGGGGGTCCACCAGGGAGAGAGGGGCCACAAGGAGCCGAGGCCAAGGGCTGAGCACACAGTCCCAAGGGTGGCTGTGCACCCTAGCAGCCTGGAGGACCCACGGGAAGCCCAGGAGGCTTCTGGGCCCCAAAACCCCAGCGTTGCTTTCAGATGATCTTTACGTTATTGAAAACTTCATTGTTTTAAATTATTTTTTCCTAGGGTTCACTCTGCCTCACAGTTTTCCTTTCATTGTTTGAAGTATTGTTGTCTGCTTGTTTTTATTGTTTCTGTTCTTAGTTTATAAAATAAGATAAGCAGGAAGCAGGGTTCATGGGGTGGTTGGGGGGAGACTTCACTTCATCCAGGCAGGCAGGCCTCTTCTTCCTTCCAGGAGGCCCCAGGACACCCTTCCATCCCCCACACCTCCACTGCCTCCCAGGCCTCCCACCCCCAGCACGCCAGCATCTTCCATGGGGAGTCCCTACAAGATTCATGCCCTTCTAGACCAACCGTGACTCACCCGACTGGAAGCCTGTCCGTGCTGTCAGGCAGGTCTCTGAGAAAGTACCAGGCTAAAACCCGGTCTCTGCCTCTGAACCCACCGGGCACCAGGCACACCTTGCTAACCCATCAGTCCCCTTCAAAGCCTCTCACCAGAGTGCTGCCAGCAGCTCCTCCAGTCAGGACCTGTTCTGCCACCCAACCGCACAGCTTAGTGCCTTCCAGGTGCCTTCCACACCTACGAGGTACCACATATGGCGATCTCATGAGGCTGTGCGACACGGTGGGGAAAGCGCGTGTCTTGGGTTTGGGTTCCCAGCCAGCTCTTCTGTTTCCGTACCTTGTGCTCCTGCACAACGCCACTAGTCTGCTCCAAGCACCGCTTGCGTATCTGTGGAGGGAGCAGTGGAGCCAGCCACCCGCAGTCTCATAGGGAGTGAGAACCCGCTTGTGAATGTCCTGCCACAAGTCCTGTGGTGTGTTAGTATCTGTCACTGTGATTACGAAGATAACAATAGGCTGCTCCGGAGGGGTAACCTCCCCATCACTGGAGCACATGACCCACACCTGGGGACTGCGAATGCCATGGGGGGCAGGGCACAGGCATCAGCCAGATCCTGGGGGTTGTGTGACCCCTGTGGACTCTTCCCAGCTACAGAGGTGAGTCCCTTCTCTTTGTGCCTCTCTTGTGTCCAGGCCTCTGTGGGATGGTGACGAGAAGACAAGGGACGCACCAGCCCTCCTCCCTAAGAAACAAGATGGTCACACAATCAAAAACTGCAGTGGAAAGGCAGATAGGGCTACACAAAATCAACAGAATCGGGTTAGAGCAGAAGAGAGAGGATTGAAGATGGACATCCACTCCACCTGGCCCCACAGTTGGATGGAACGAAGGTGGGAGGGAGGGAAGAGGTGAGGGTGAGGGAAGAAGAGCTCTAGGGGTGAAGGCAGAGGCGAGAAGGGGCTGCACAGCTTTAGCTCCCTGCAGAGTAAGCAGGGGCACCATTTTCCAAACAGGCCAAGTCGCACGTCTCGGAGCAACTCTTCCCTCAACTGTACCCATCAGAGTTCTGCTCCCCCTCTCTCTTCTTTTGAAAGAGGCATATGCTCCCCCTGTCCCCACTTGGTCATCTCCCATTTGCTGCTGGCCACCACCTGGTCCTCGGGTGTCTCCCGCTTCCCTGACCCGGCTCACGGCTGTGCTGGGCACTGGAGCGCTGGATGCACCTGCAGCCCTGGGCTGCTCTCACAGCTCCCTCTGCTCCATGAATTTCTCTTGCCCTGGACAGATCCCCTGTCTGGTTCTCTCCTACCCTCTTGGATTTTTCCTGCTTGGCCCATTTCTTGGATCTTACATCAACTCCCTGATTCTTCCCCTAAACTCTGCTCCTTTCCCAGTGTCCCCGAGACCATGACAGACCTGTCACCTCTCTGAATGAAATCGCAGAGGTAGCCTATAGCCTCCAGGAAGCCCCCTTTTTCTACCTTTCCCACCTCCCAAATAAGCACCTGCCAAGGCTGCCCCTCTGCTGAGCTGTGATGTGGCTGTGACCCTGGTACTCTCTGGGACATGCTCCCCCTGCCCCCAGCCTCCGGGCTCCCATCCCCCTGCTTCACCTCCACTGTCCACCATCAGCCATGCTGCTCTTTTATTTCCATTTCTTTGCTGTCAGCCTGTTGCTGGCCCTTCACCCTCCGCCCCAGCTGTCTCCTGCCATGTCTCTCTGCCCCCACACTGTGTTCCCTGCATTGACACAGGAACAGATTTTTCAGGAGGGGTTGGGTGCAGCTCTCTCTCACCCACAGGGCCCAACACTCAAACTGTCCCTTATTTTTTTACCCAGAAAACTGCTTTTCCTCTTTCAAGATCCCACCAAATGCCGCTCTTCTGGGAGGCTTTCTGCACTGTCCCAAGTCATGGGCCACCCCAGCTTCTGTGCAGTGGGAGTGTCTCATGAAGACCTCATCTCTCATGCAAAGCCTCAGAGGCTGTTTGCACGCTTGTCACTCCACCAACTCACCAGCCTGAACTTCTTGAGAAGCCATCAGTGGCTGAGCCCTTTTCATCTTTGCATTCATTGTGCCTGGCACATGCTAGGCACTCCTTGGTGTTGGATAAATGAATGAGTGCTTGATTGAGCCAACCTGCAACCTGGGGTCTTCTCTACTAAGAGTAAACATAGAGCCTTACAGAGAATTCATTTTACACTAACTTACAAACTCTGCAAAACAACTTCCTCTGAATTCTAAGAAATCCAGTATCAAAGCCCTTGACAGGAGGCTGACATGTACACAGGACCAATCAGGAAGAGGAATTCAAGAAGCTCTGGGTTTAGCAGCATCCACTGGTCTGTGCAAGGCTTAAGCCTTGGAGCTTTCTGCGGGGAGGCAGTGTTGCCGTTCATCCCTGTCTATGGCAGTATCAGCTTCAGGGAATTCTGTACATTTCATTCCACGTTTATTCTGTAAGCAAACATAATAAAATGTGAAGGGCTCCAGCAGCTCTGGTGAATGAACAGCAAGGGAAAGCCATCCTCTATCTGCTGGATGGAGCAAGCAAGGGAGACAGTTAAGAAAAGAGCTCATCATGTCAGTTTCCACGTCTGCCCTTTAATCAGCTGCAATGATTGGGTTACAGGTGGAAGGCAGAACGTGGCGGTGGTCCCCAAAGCAGGAAAGACTGGAAGAGGGGAAAAGTTTTCTGAATAATAGAGTTATCTTGTTGGAGTCGAATCTATTTCCTTGGCTTATAGAAATCAATGCTCAGTGCTTTCTGAGTCTCAACATCATCTCCTTCGGAAAGTGGGACAAAACCCAAAGGCGTGAAACCTCACAGCGTTCTCGCTTCTTATGCATGGCAAATCCACTTCAGAATTCCAGTTGGCACTCCTTCGCCTTCTCTGTGGGTCCAGTGCAACTCTCCACAAAGCTCATACTCTAAGGGCAGCCCCCAAGCCTCTGAAACAGAGCAGGTGGAGGAGCCAGCCTTGTTCAGGTCCAGTTCTCCTCTGTCTCACGGTCACACCCTCCCCATATCTCAGCTTCCCATGGGGATTTAGAAAGCCCAGCGTTGGGAAGCAGCTGATCGAGCACTACCAACATAGTCTCTCTACAGCAGGTAGCAACATCCTCACCTACTGTTCAATCATTCATTCACTCAACACTTACTGAGCACCTACTGTACGCGCCAGGCACCATCTTCAGCACTGAGTATCCTGCACTGAAAGAGGCAGCCACGCCCCGATCTGTCTGCA
The DNA here is from genome assembly GCF_000001405.40 of Homo sapiens. Classification (NCBI taxonomy): domain Eukaryota; kingdom Metazoa; phylum Chordata; class Mammalia; order Primates; family Hominidae; genus Homo; species Homo sapiens. Next base: position 236,619,145 of record NC_000002.12, on the reverse strand, counting down.
CGCTGGCCACCCCTTCTCCTTCCAACTCTCCTCCCTGGGTAGCTGGTCCCCACGTGGTCCTGGAGCCTCTCGATGCTATGGCTTCTTCCTTTTCTAGTTCCACTTTTTTCCCTAGACATGGAGGTGCCTTCAATAACCCATTTCCAATCTTATTCTCTTCTGCCTAGGGTTAAGCTGAATAATGTCCCATCTGCTCCCCAACAAAAAGATGCTCACGTCCTGATCTCCAGAATGTGAATGTTTCTTTGTAAAGGGGGACTTTGCAGATGTGATTAAGGATGTTAAAATGAAGAGATTATCCTAGATTATTTACGTAGGCACTAAATGTAATCACCAGTGTCCTTCTAAGAATGAGGAGTGAGAGATATGGCCACAGAAAAAGAGAAAGCAATATATTGAAGAGTGCAGAGATTGGAGCGATGTCCTATGGAGACGGAGGAAGGAGCAGAAGCTGATGAACGCGGTGGCCTCTTAAAGCCAAAACAGGCAAGAAAGCGGATTCTCCACTAGAAGCCTCCAGAGGGAACCAGCACTGCCTGCACCTTAACTTTAGCCCAGTGAAACTGATTTCAGACTTCCGGCCTCCAGCACTGTGAGAGAACACGTGTGTGCCTTTAACCCACAGAATGTGCAGTAAGGTGTTAGAGCAGGCACAGGAAACTCACTCAGGCCTCTTCCCTCAAGTGGGGATTTCATGGTGCTGCAGACATCAGGCCTGGAAGGAACATTCCAGGGTGTCTAATATTTCTCCAGATTAATAATATTCATTAATTCATTGATTGGGCAACCATTATGGAGCACCTGTCAGAGTCCTGCCTGGTGCCACTGCTGGGACTGGAGGCGAAAACAACACACAGCTCCTGCCCCGTGGGACTCACCTCCCTGTTTTGAGATTTGCTTGCACACATCCGGCGACAGGGAGCTCACTACACTCCAAGGAAGCCCGTTTCATCCCTAGACTTCTCTGGTTGTCTAGTCTTTCAATAGGACTCTTTGGAAACTTCTCCTTCCAACCACTTCCGAGAAAGCGATCTACCCCTTGAGGACTGCAGGAGTCCAGGGGCTTCCTCTGCAGCTCATCCCACAGCCTTTGCCTTTGTGAACCAGCCTGCAGCTGAGTCCCTCGCCCCACAGCTGAACCCGCCTCATCGTCCTCCAGAATCCCCAGCCTCCTCCACACTCGCCACACGCAGACACACCTTCCTTGTGTCCGTGCAGTTGGTTTTGGAGGGCAAGTACATTTTCCTTACAAAACTCCATCCTTTAGATAGGATCTAGTTCTCCCCGCCAATAATGTCATGCAAGCTGTTCACAGACCTCTCAGCTTTATGTCGTCAGGAAAGTATTTCTTCTGTTTCTTAGTTGAAGTGAAAACCTCAACAGTGATCTCTATGCAGATCACTTCTAGCCCATGTCTCCTGATTCCAAGTCTGCTCTTCTAGGGGCCACTAGACACACATTCCAAGGTCCTACAATCTGGAGCCTGCCACCACCCTCATTGCTTTTCCGTTCAAGACAGCACTGGCTTCTTCCTAAGAAAGCACTGGTTAAGGCGTTCCTCACCCTCACCTATCTAGAGGCCCAGACCCCGGCCCTTGGTGTGAGATTCCACTAGCATTAGGGCACCAGGCAAAACCCTCCCAGAGGGATCCCACGAAGAGGCATGGAGGCAAAGCACATGGTAATCAGGATGCTGGCCTCCGACAAAGATTAGTGAAGTCTTCCTTATTGGTTCTAGGAACTGCAGCTGGATGCCCAAAGCACATGCTAATCTTCCCCACAGAAAACAGATATCAGTAATTAGGAGCATGCCATTTATTGGAGACAAAGGACGGTATAACTAGAAAGATAAGTTTGGGAGGACTGGAAGCAAACCACCAATATATAATTAGGGGATGGTGATCTGGAAGAGGGCCTGGTATTCACAAGCCGCCTGTGAAACATCCCAACCTCCACCTCCATCCTCAGAAGCACACTCTCCCTCTTTTTGGCCGATGTCATAGTTTGCTCACACTTCGGTTACAGCTTAAGGAATAAAGAGATGACTACAGTCTTTATGTGAAACATAAGTACATTTCCCACATTTATCTCTGTTATAATCCTCCTACTACCCAGAAATAACCACTAATAACAATTTGTGGTCTATCTTCCTGGGTCTCTTAGGCATGTACACACGTGAAGCTATTATGGAAAATATCTGCATGGAAATACCTTCAAAATATATATTTGGTTGGGTCTTTTTACATACACATGCTCACATGCCGCATATTGTTCTGTAATTTGGTTATTCCAGTCAACAGATGGTGTGGGCTTTCCTTCCTCATCTGTGTATATCAACTTACTTAGCTCATGTTCCTGGCGGCAGAGCATTTTGTTGTGTGGATGCCCTTCTGTTTGTCTAGTTTTTCTCTTCCTGATGAACATCGTGGTTGTTTCCGAATATCTTCTGTAACTAGTGGTGCTTCCTTGAAGTCTCTGTAATCATTTGCTGAAATTGGTCTCCCCGGTTCCTTTCCGGGATGCGTCTCCCACCATTCATCCACATGCAGACCCATGTGCCACATGCTGAGGTCTGTGTGGTTCCACCACCTTGGCGTGGCCCACACAGTGGTCTCTCTGGAATGTGCTCTGCACAGCCACGTGCCTGTCCACCAGACGTGGCTCCTCCTCCCACGCTCAGCTCCAAGGACACTGCTCCTGGGGCCTTCATGGGTCTTCCTGTCTTCAGAACACTCCTTCCTGTGTCAGACTCATTTCTCATCCCTGTACCTAGCACAGTGCCTGGAACACCGTAGGCATCCAATACATATGTGTGGAATGGAAACAAGAATGAATGAAACCCATGCAAAATTTGGCACATGTGGGTGCCTCCTGCAGTCATGGGTGCCTGCAGGCAGTGTCCAGCTCACTGCTCTAGGCCTCTTTGGAGCTACTCATTTGCATTTCCTGAGTCACTGTCAGCCACCATTCAGCGTCACGGTCCTTTGACCAACATGTGCTTTCTAAATTCCATCCCAGGGAAGCGGTTGGTGGAGGTCACTGAGCACAGCCTGTCCGAGACACTGAGGCAGAGCCCCTCCAACAGCTCTCGTTGGGTCTTCCTCAGGAACCACACAGGGTAATTCCTGCCAAGACCATCTGTACTGTGTTGAACAGTGTTCCCAAAAGTTCCAAGTGCACCCAGAAACTACAAATGTGACCTTATTTGGAAACAGGGTTTCAACAGATGTAATCAAGTTAGATTGAGATCCTATGGGATCAGGGTAGGCCTTGAATCCAATATGATCAGTGGTCTTCAAAGAAGAGAAGAAACAGAGACAAGCAAGCGGAGGACATCAGGTGACAAAAGAGACAGAGACTGACCTGTGCAGTCCAAGTCCTTCAGTCCAAGGGACATGAAGGATTCCTGGCAACCACCAGAAGCCAGGAAGAGTCAAGGAGGGTCTCTTTCTTCCACACTTCCAGTGGGGAGCGGGCTCTTGACTTTGAGCTTCTAGTCTTTCCAGAGCAGCGACAGAACACATTTTGTCATTTTAAGCCATCCGGTTTGTAATACTTGGTTATAGCAGCCATCAAAAATGAGCACTGTACACCACCATTCCTTTCCTCCCTCATTAGAGAATGAAGTCAGGGACCCTGGTTACATGAAACCTTTCCAAGACTGATCCACACACAGGCTCCGGTACCCTCAGAGAGACCAGCAGACCCAAAGTGGGCGGCATAATTTGCAGGACCCAGTGCAAAATGGAGATGCCAGCTGTCTTGTTGAAAATGCTTCCTCCTCTCTTCCACGGCCTTTCTCCCAACCTGCCATGGTAGTGATTTGCTATTGAAGTCACTCTCCCTTGGGCACAGGATGCAAGGCAGCTATAGACCTCCAAAGGCACCTGTGCCCATCTTGGCCCTCCTGGAGTCAGAGGTGGCCTGCAGTGGGTGTCGGGCACAGGTGGGGCACAGGCAGCTGCAGGGAAGCAGCAGGGACCTCAGTTCCCAGCACATGCTTGAATGGCCCATCGACTTCCCTTACTAAACACAAACGCAAAGATAAAACCATGAAGGACTTCCAGACAGTGACCGCAGAGCCCTGAACCCCAAGTGCAGGCCCTTCTGAGTGGAAGCCCGTGACTAGGCTGCTCAGCCACCCAGGAGGGCGACCCTGAGTGGACCACCCCCAAAGCCACTCAGAAGAAGGACACAAACATTACTGAAGTCTATTGCGTGCCAGGGCTTGGCAATTTAAAGCCTTGTCTCCCGTTTCCACCAGGCCCTGGTGTGGTTATTCCTTTTTCCCAGATGAGAAAACAGGCTCACAGAGGTGAAGTCAGGTGAGCCCAGGTCTGCTCTTCCAGGCCTGGCCCGTCTCTCCTTACACACTCAATTCCCCCATGGCAGGTCGGCCTCAGCCATCTGCCAGCCTGCACAGCAGATGGGGAAGAAAGTGGTCTATTTCCAGAGAAAGTCTGGGGCAATTTACACTAAGAAAGTTGCAATAAATCTGAAAACCACGGAAGCAGGAATACAAAGACAAGACTCAGAGAATAAGGTGGGGGTGACAAATATTTTTACCAGAAAACCTAAGGTGAGATAAACAACCTGGATCAAAGTACAGAACTTAGCTCCAAGCTCTCTGGCAGCTGTGGCACCATGAGGACTTCATGACTCCACAGCTCCTGTCCTCCAGTGAAGGGAAGCAGCTGCCAGAGGGACCTTTCTTATAAGGCTGCACTGCAGAAAGCCTGCATGCCCCGTGGCTTGGATGATGCAGACAGCAATGACAGACTTCGAGAGTTTTGGGTTGCAGTATTACAAAAACAGGCAGATGCTCCAAACGTGGTCATTCATATAATGGTGCTTTGGATAAACTCCGAGGACATCACATTTAGGTGACTGTGGAGCCAAGGAAGAGTGGCTAAGTACAATACATGATCAGTTTCACCCAGGCCTGGTGCTCACATCCTGAACCCTGTGGACCGAGCTGACTTTCGGAAGGACTTGGGCAGGAATCAGCAGCGGTCCCCCCCAGCCCCGACAGACTGCTGCACACACGATTTCCATACACAAAAACTCTGTTTTGAGTAAAACCAAAGGTTAAAGTAGTCAACGTAATATTCTCTTTTTTAAAAGGTGGTAATTTTTGTTTTCATTTAAAAAAGAAGCATGTGTTTCCAACAGCCTGACTTTGGCTGCCATGTAAAATGTGCCTCTGGCAGGGAGATGTTCATTTGGTGGCCTCAGCCAACGCCAACCTTGGAAGGACTTCAAGAGAAATCACAACCCAGCAGATGGAATGACAGAATCAGAGAGCTTGCAGTCAGCGTGGAGAAGGGGCAATGTGGCCACAGCCAGATGGGAGACTCCCAGGGCTTTGGGTCAGCTGAGGAGAGCCTCCAAGGTGGGAGGGGAGGGACTGCCTCCCAGCCTAGCCCACCATGGACCGGCCATGCTCAGACCAGCTCAGCCTCCTCATCTGTGCACGGGTGATCATGGGAAGAAAGGCTAAATGAGCAAACATCAAGTACTGGACACAGAGCTGGAGACAGGCCCTCCCAGGCATCGAGTCCCTCCTCCATCCAGCTCAGCTTGCCCACCACCCCTGCATGCTCCCATGCACACCCTACAATAAGGGCAGTGTTCTGGGTCCTGTGGGGGAGGGTAACCTGTAATAGAGAGCTCTTCTGACCAGGGAGGGCCTGGCAGCCCAGAGTTGCCTGACGCCTGGGTAATCTCTTCAATCCCTAGGAAGGGGTGGCTGCTGCCCTGTGGGTCTTGGTAATCTTAGCTCGAAGGAAGACAGTACTAGTGGGGAACTTGACCAATTGGAAAACGTCACCACCAGCCTTCCTGCTTTTCCTTGATTCCCACTGTTCCATGGATGTACGCAAAGGTGGCAGGGAGGAAGCTGACACACACTGGAGCTGCAAAGGGACCCCAAGACAAAAGAGCTGAGGGGTTCTGCTTCAAGCCAGGTGAGACTGCATGGGACCGGCCCAGGGTTCAATAATCCATGAGGCCTGCAACCCCCACCAAAAAGCCTCTAGGCACAGCTGCCCCTTCAGAGAGCAGAACAGACTTCTGCTAGGCAGAAGGTCAGCTTTCTGTCCTGCACACATGGAGCAGAGGGAGGAGGGCGGGAGAGTCCAGAGGGCTGGGGCGGGATTCCAAAAAGCTTTCAAGTCAGAACAGTTGTTTTAAAGACCGCCAGGTAGGGAGCAGTCATGAGCCCTTTGTCTTCCGAGCCAGGTGCTGGATGGACAAAGTAGAAAATGGGCAGGAGGGCAAGCCCAAGCCAGCTGGGCACGCCAGACAGGCTGAATAAGCCCTGCCTGAAGGTCAGGTAGGAAATCCCGGGCGAGTAACCCCCGAGGTTTCACGGGACTCCCTGTGTAAGTCAGGTTGGGGTCGGTACTAACCTCCACTTACCCTCAGGGGAATAAAGACTCAAAAAGGTAGCAGTTAGAGGGTTTTTCTCCAATGCATGTAATTGATCCATAAGACAGAAGCCCTCTGGGGGTGCTTTCAGGGGCCTGGGTGTTTCCAGGATTCACGAAAAGCTGAGCAGCAGACATTCCCCTGGTGCTGGCCAGGCCCTCTGTAGGGAGGGCACTTTGAAAGATGGTGGGTGAGTAGTTCCTTAGCTTCTGTGCACAGGACTGTTCATAGCAGAAAGCAATTGTTTTTCCCAAATTAACCTTCTCATAAAAGAGAACCTAAACATTAGCAACTAAAGATCAATCATTTTTTGCTTTCCAAGGAGTGAGCTGTTCACCCATTCTCTTCGGAGCATCCTGTTCCAGCGCATTCACAAAAAAGCACTTCTGACACCCCTTCACCATATGCAAGGCAATGCAGCTGAGTGTGGGTGAACCAGGTACAATCCTGGCCCTTGGGGGATTTGCAGGCTAACAACAAGGGGACTTCAGCCCGTGGCCATTATGGTCAGACACACAGTTAAATAGCGACGAGCTTCAACCTCACGTTCTCCCAAGCCCAGGCTCTGACCCTCTCAGCAGGCAATGACCAGGTTGTCTGACCCCACCCGACCCCCACATCTGACCCAATGTGAGACCCCACAGCTTCAGGCTTCCTGAGCGCTGGTCCCTGAGAGCTAAGATGGCCAGTGAGTTTCCCTTTCTGGGCCAACTCCAGCTGTTTGGCAGTAGCTTCTGTGACCACTGTGTTAAAAGGATTTCGAGCTGAACCTACTGGACTAAATGGCAAAGTGAACAACGACAGATAAACCACACCGGCTGTGCACATCGAAGATTTTAATGATGATTTTTTTCATTCCTGACCTGTAAATATTTCTGCTCAGCCAGCTTCATTCCAACAGATTGACCCAAGTGAATGACCCAACTTCATAAGAGCTCGTCTAACTCAATATCACATTGACCTTCATAACCTCAAAGCACAGCCTCCAGCCCTCATGACTTGCCCTGGGTCTGAGCATGCAACGCGAAGCCTCCCTGGCCCCAGGGCACAGCTCATCTGAGATTGTTAGCAAAATAAATTTGGACCTGATTAGTTCACTTCAACCCTCCACCAGCAAGAAGCAAGCTAGAAGGTTTGGGCTGATTAATAATTGTTACTGAAGCTGAATGCAATTAGTTATATAATTTTGAACAGTTAAACTGTAATTCCACTGAGCTTACATCACGAGACTGAAGCATTAGCAAGGATTATTTTCAAAGGGCTGATAGGTATGACTAAACTTCCATGCACACTCCACTGTCTTTGAACCAAGTCCAGCGTCAGAGACTCACTATCAACATGACATTGTTTTAATGAAACATTTATGGAACTAATACACATGAGGATTTCTTTCTTGAAGAACCCCAATGCTCACTCCAGGTCCTGAGAGAAAGCAGATGCTCCTGAATGGTGCATTTTGCATAGGCTGCTTTTCCCCATCCCATGCCCCCATGAGGCATTCTGGTTGCAGCTGTCCCTGCCACTCTCTGTCCAAAGCATGGCTTTCCCCCTCGCTTCTGTATTGTCACGACCAACACATTGTGGAGCTTCACTTTCCAAGTACTCCTGCAGCTGCTGGTGACCTGAAGAAAGCCCTTTGACCTCATGGTCCTAAATTTGCCCCTTTGAAGATCATGGTGGTCAATGGATTCCACTTGTGCACCCTTTGGGTGCGTTCCACTTACAAGAACATGAATCTGGACCTGGAAACTATTTTCTTTTTTAAAAAGTATATATGGTTTGCTTGATGACTTGTGATTTTTTTTTAAAGTATATATGGTATACAGCTAACCCCTAAATTCCCGAACAGCCACGTTGCTCTCCGCCTTTCTACATTAAGCCACATGGGTGCTTGGTGTGCCATCATGGTGTAGGAGTTGCTTTCCTGCTTTTATGATTTGCATGCATTAATATAAAAGGCACTTAGAAGAGTGCCAGCTATGAATAAAGACTCTGTATTTCTTTATCTTCATCAGCCAGTCACAAACCGTCTCTTTCTAATTCCTACCATGTGACATCAAAAAGAAAATCCATCCTACTCTATCATAAAGAAAACAAGGCCTAGGGATGGAGGAGACCCATGCTGCGGGGCCAGGGCATCACCCGCCTGCCTTGTTGTATGAGAGATCACAGGGGCCCTGTCTTGCAAGGTGGCCGCGACCATGAGAGATGACTGACAAAAGCCCTCCCCACAGGGGAAGAACCCAGTGAGTTGAGGCTGTCTCCCTCGAGGCCACCGCTCTGTAGGGTCTGTTGGCGATCAGAACAGCACAACTCAATACCCAAGTCTCTTCAACATCAGCATGTCCACATCGCCTGCCATATCACAGGCCTTTCCCACCTGCTTCCAAGACCCCTCTCTTGTTTAGTGATATTTCACCAAGGAGCTATCATTTAAAAACTTTGTTTTATTTTGAAAATTTAGTCCTACAAAAATGGGGAGCAATTTTGATTTCATCATTCATTATTTGTTTAATTCCCCAACTCTGCTGCAATATATCCAATGTGGTTTAAAAATATATACAATAACCTGATTTGAAAACAAAAACAGGCCAGGCGTGGTGGCTCACGCCTGTAATCCCAGCACTTTGGGAGGCTGAGGGAGGCGGATCACGAGGTCAGGAGATCAAGACCATCCTGGCTAATGTGGTGAAACACCGTCTCTACTAAAAATACAAAAAATTAGCTGGGCGTGGTGGCGGGCACCTGTAGTCCCAGCTACTTGGGAGGCTGAGGCAGGACAATGGCATGAACTTGGGAGGCGGAGCTTGTACTGAGCCGAGTTTGAGCCACTGCACTCCAGCCTGGGTGACAGAGTGAGACTCCATCTCAAAAAAAAAAAAAAAAACCAAACAAACAAACAAACAAAAACAAAAGGACCAAGCAAAAGTGAGAAAGTAAATAGGTAATTTGAGTGGTGGGGATCAGCTGTAACTCAGCTGAGTCTTGCATTTTAAGGAGATGGTTTGGGCCTATGGACTCCATCCCCCTTCCATCCTTACAAGTTCCTGTTGAATTATCTTACAGAAGAAGAAGGGAAATTCTGTAGCTGGGTTGGAACATATTGGTGTCACCATGGGTGCATGCTGCAGTGCCTGAAAAGATATGAAAAAGAACTGACAAGGACTCCCACCGACGGTGGCTGAAGGGACAAGGACTCTACTTATTGGAGGGGTGACAAAGCCATGTTGAGGAAGAGCATGGGGAGCAGAAGGCAGATTGCCAACATCCTTGGAGATGCCACTTGTCACAGCGTTATTGACTCATTAACCATTGCCTGCATTATTATTTCAATGAATCAACAAATTCAACTAAATGACATGGAGATATAATCTTTTATTATTCATCCATATATCAAAATAAAATTAATAGGGAGTATTTGGATGATTTTACATGAGAACACTTAATCAGAAGGTAGGCCTCCTGAGCCACGAACGTTAACAAGCACAAATGCAGATACTGGTGACTTGACTGGGTCTTCCATATGAGCTGGCTCAATGCTTTTACACCGTGGCTAGAGCAGTGCCTCAGGGTTCTTCAACTTTTGTCTGCGTCTAATTGCACCCAAAGAAAAGATTACGTATCTCAAAAATCTTGTAGCTCCATTGAGCTGATACAGTCTACCCTATTGACGGACAAGGAAACTGAGGCTCCCCTCCACGGGATCTGCTCCCTTAAAATTGAGCCCAGCCCAGGATCCAGCCTGGAATCCTCTGTAAAATTTCAGGCAGCCACCACAGTTTTGAAATTCCATTCATTTCTGTAATTTCTATTAGCCAGATCATTTTATGCTTGACCTTAGCCATACTTCACAATCTTTTGACTGGGTCTTCCAGATGAGCTGGAAGGTCCTACCTGTTCAATGGTCTCACACCATTCTGGATGATTGGATGTTATATCACACACTATACATAAAACTATTACAACATGACAGAATCATGCATTGCAGACCTGACATTCTTCTAACAGGACTTGATAAGAAAGGGAGGTTTTTGCATCTTTTGAGATTATTCTAGAAAGGAAAATGTAAAACAAACCAGCCTACAGATATGGCGTAGCCCCTCCATGTGGGTTAGCTTCTCGGAGGCCTACAATTTCTGCTAGAAGACTTGGTAAATGATTGTAAGGACTAGCAACAGCGGTGACACCTATTCATGAAGCCTATGAGCTTTGAAAGAAATAGTTAAAGCCTGAGGTTTTTATCTCCTGTTTAGCTTGCAGAAATGTCAGGTCAGGTACCATGTGAGACAAACACACCAAGGAGCGTCTAGGACCAGCCCGCAGCCCTGGCATTCCAGGTCTCGCATCTGGTATTCATTAGACAGTAATGTTATTAAGCTTCTAGTCACATAGGAGAAAAAGAACCATGTTCAGAAATGTGAAGGTATTTGAATGTCAACAACCAGGCTCTACCTCTAGGGACAAAGTTTTCTTGAAAGAAATGTTATTGCAGCAACAAATCTGTTTTTCTGGTGATTTCACCTCATTTCCACCGTGTTGTCATCAAGGTTCACTTTCACAAATGAAGTGGCCTATGCTCCCATTCTTCACGTGGGAAAGGCACTTTGCTGCTCGCTGTAAAGCCTGTCTGTATCTCTCACTACCCCAGCCCCAGGAGGCTGGAGCACGCCGTTCAGCAGGTCAGGCAGGTCCATGGGCTTGGCTGAGGTCACACAGCCAAGAAGTGGCAGAGCTGAGTCCCCGCCCAGCACACCCCCCTGGGAGGCCCCCTCCACAATCCCTGAGCACCCCATCCCTGCTATGGACTGAATTGTGTCCTCCCAAGATTCACGTGTTAAAGCCCTAAACCCCAGTGTGAAGGTGTCTTAGAGATGGAGTAATTAGGGAAGTAATTAAGGTCAAATGAGGTCCTAAAGGTGGGGTCCTTGGAACTGGTGTCCCTAGAGGAAGAGGAAGGAACCACAAGTCCACCCTGCTCCACACACACACACACACACACACACAGAGCAGAAAGGCTATGTGAGGACACAGAGAGAAGGCAGCTGTCTACACACCCAGAAGAGAATACTCACCAGAAACCACATTTGCTAGCACCTTGGTCATGCACTTCCAGCCTCCAGAACCGTGAGAAAATGAATGCCTGTTGTTTAACCCTTGGTCTGTGGTTCTTTGTTATGGCAGCCCCAGCTGATAAGACAGCCCAAAGCCATGGAGTGTGAGGGGAGGATCTTAGAGGGACGAAGGAAGGGTCCTCTTTAGAAAAGGGCCCAGGAAGCCAGGGCCTGAGGCCACATTCCAAGAAAGTGAGCAGACAATGGGTCCAGGCCACGAGTCCCACAGGGCCAAGGGACAAGGTTGTGCTGACCGTGTTGTGGGGTGCGTGCTGCGGCGCCTAAAAAGACATGAATAAGTGAAGACGGAGCCCCAAGTGCTCCCTGAGAGGGACTCTAGGATATGTTTAGGGAGGTGCAGTCAAGGTCAAAAGAGCAGACCTCACTCTTGCCAGGAAGGGGACTGCTGCGGGTCTGGGCTTTACACGGGACACTGTGCTAAGCCTGGCCAGGCACCACCCCAGAAGCCCAGGGATGGTCAGAGGCCATCTCCGAAGGGTGCAGACACAAAAGCAGAGCGGTGCCCCTTGTGTCAGGAAAGCCAGTCTCAGAAAAGGTGCCCTTGGTGCCAGGGCTGTTGGTCCTCCTTCTCCAGCCAGCGCAGGAAGCAGGGTCCAAGAGGAGTGTCTCCGCTCCACTGGCAGGAGGCAGATGGGGACGCCATCCAATGTCCATGATCAGGCTGAGGACCAGTGGATCTGGGGTGAGGCTGGAAGGTCCTACTTGTCAGGGCAAAGCAGGTTCATGCATTTATCAAACTTCTCCTGAGAACCGACTACATCAGACACTGGTTAAACCTGTGGGAGATCCCAGAGAGCACATGTTCAAGAGCACAGTGGAAGCCCTTAGGGGGAATGGGGTCTCACCGAAAAGGAGCAAGCCAACCAGTAACTGTACTGTGAGCAGGCATGTGGCAGAGAGGGAGGAGAGCACGTCTTCTCAGCAAAGGTAGTTGCAGAAAAGACTACAACGAAGTTTGAGCTTGTTCCTGAAAGTGAAGAGACATCCTTGAGGAATTGAAATCTAGATGTGAGATGTTCAAATCTGCCTTTGGGAAAAGCCACTCTGGTGGCATTGTGGAGGAGGGTGAATCTGGAGGGCACAGGGCCAGCAGGAAGGTGAACACAGTGAGCCCTAAACCAAGGTGGGCGTGAGACATGGACAAAAAACCATCTGTGAGCCCCTGGGGATGGGCTGGGCTAGCAGGACAGAGAGGGAGGAGGACTCCCAGGCCCCCAGGTTTCTGGCTTGGGTAACAGAGAATGATGGAGTCCGTTCACACGGTGGGAAGACAGGAGAACACGTGGGGGCAGCTGGAGAAAAGGTGGTTGGTGTGAGCAGGCCAGTTTGCCTGAGCTCCTGAGCGTTGCCATGAAGCCGTCCAGAGAGCAGATGGGAACAGGGAACAGGTCTCAGACAAGAGATCTGGACTGGACGCGCCAAGCAGGGAGCTGCCTGGCCCATGGAGGCCCAACACATGTTAAGGACACGTTATGGGCGGAATTGTGCCCCCACCCCCAAAATTCATATGCTGAAGCCTCAACCCCTAGTATCTCAGAATGTCGCTGAGTTTGGAGATAGGACCTTTGAAAAGGTAATAAGGGTAAATGAAGAAACAAGAGTGGGGCCTCCAACTACAAGACAAGGAGAGAGGCCTCAGGAGGAACCAAACCTCGAGCTGGGACTCCCAGCATCCAGAACTGGGAGAAATAAATTTCTTTGTTTTAAGCCATCGGTCTGTGGTGCTTTGCTCTGGCAGCCTGGGCTGGCTGATACAGAACCCTGACATTCTATAAGTTTCATCTTATAGTTTGACGAGGCTGTTGGGGGGGTCCCTAATCCAATCTGACTGGTGTCTTTATACAAAGAGGGGATTTGGACACACAGAGAGACACCAGGGATGTCTGCACACAGACCTTGTGAGGACACAGAAGAGAGAAGGCCATCTGCAAGCCACGGAAAAAGAGCTCAGAAGGAATTGAATCTGCCGACTCCTTGATCTTGCACATCCACCCTCCAGAACTGTGAGAAAAATCCATTTCCGCTATGTGAGCCGCCCCGGCCATGATACTCGGCTACAGCCGCCCTAGCAGAGGAATGCATCGCCGGAGGACAACCAAGGAAGTTGTGGGCGAGGACAAAAGGGAAATCAAAGGCTACAGAGAAGGATCCGCTGCTGGAGACCCAGGAGAGAGGTAGCCACGTCCATGGAGCACCAGGAATAGACACTTATGGTGAAGAGTACGTGATGTGGCCACTCATGAGCAAAAAGCAAGGGCTGTTTCCACAGAGGAACAGGGACAAAGCCAGGTTGTGTGGCTGGAAGGAGCGAACAGCAGTTCAGCCTGTGGACACAGCAAGAGCACATGGTGCCGCAGGAGGCGTGGACGAAGGACAGGAACGGGGGAGGCAGCAGTGCTGGTGGGGTCAAGGGACAAAGGATCCAGGGAAGATTTTTAGATGTTGTTTCGCTTTGCGTTTGGTAAAGAGCGTGTGTGTTATACGAGAAGCCTCAGCCCGCTGCTACAGAAGAGGGGAAGTAGCTCGTCTGTGGCTGGAATGCGTTGTCACCAACAAGATCCCAGCATAAAACAAAAGGCATACTCAGCTGAGATCGTGGAGAGAATTCAATGAGGGGGTGATGGAGAGAATGGTGGGCAGCCCTAGGGAAGCAGAAGGGGCCCTGAGATACCTAAGGACAATGTCATTAAACATCCAGGCCTGGGGGATGAGGGGGAAACGGAGACACCCACGTGTGGTGAGAATTGGAGCAGTGGAAGGGGAGGTGCCTCATGGAAGCTGTGCGGGGCGCTGGTGCTGCCTGCTGGAACCACAACACTGTGCAGGGAGGGCTGGAGAGAAATGGCCCGATGCTGTCTCATCTCACCTTCTGGTCTCCTGGGAAACTCCTGCAGGAATTCTAACCGAGGCTAAAGCACCAGAGCACAGCAAAGAGGGCAGGCCACAGGGTCATGCCACAGGGCACAGAACAGAGTGAATAACGCATTTGGGGGAGCTGTGGGTTGAATTGCGTCTTCCCTCAAAAAAAGCTGTGTTGAAGTCCTACTCTCCGCTACCCTAGAACGTGACCTTATTTGGAAATAGGACAGTTGCAGATGTAATTAGTTAAGATGAGGTCAAAGTGGAGGAAGATGGCCTCTCATCGGTGTGGCTGGTGTCCTTACAAGACGACATCCGCGCGTGGACAGACACAGCGTGAAGCCCTGTAAAGACGAGGGTCACAGTGATGCATCCTTGGCCAGCAAAGAAGTGCCAAGGATGACCAGTGACACCAGGCACCCAGAGAAAGGCCTGCAACAGATGCTCCCAGTGCCTCCAGCACGAGCACAGCTCTGCTGGCTCCTTGACCTTGGACTTCCAGCTTCTAGAACTTTGAGACAATCAATTTCTATTGTTTGAAAGTACCAGCTTGGGGCACTTTGTTACAACGGGAAATTAAGGAGAGGGGTGGGGTACACAGGCTGACCAGCATGTTTAGACAGAACAGGGGAGGACAAGGTGCCTGACTGGGTGGGAGTGGCAGGAGGGGAAGGCTTCCTGGGAAGAGAAGGGGAGATGAGTTTTGTGGTGGGGGTGCTGGAAGAAAGCCTAGGCGAGCCCGTCCTTCCTCCCTGCTTTCTCCAAGGTCATCTGCATTCAGAGGTAGGGTTTGAGCTAGCGGGTGGGGGCTGGAGGGGGAGCTTGAGGAGCCAGGGGAGAGCTGGGGACATCTGGCAGGGAAGGGAGGAGGTTTCTGAAGAAGGGTGCAGTCGCCAAGTGCCTAAGGGCTCTGCCCAGATGAAAATCCACCCGCTTGATTGGCACCAGTCTACACGTCATGTGATTTTTCTCCAGCCTGGAATCAGTGGGAGTGAGGAGCTGCTTGTGTAAACCCAGGGCTGGGGCTTCACAGCACCGTCCACTAGACCTTCTGCAAGGAAGGAAATGCGCCATCATCTGTGCTGCCCAACGGGACGGCCCTGGCCACACTTTAATCCTGGCTCGTGCAACTGGGAAACTGAATTTTTAAAAAGAATTTAAATTTAAATAACCACAGGAGGCGCTTGGCTACCATATTGGACACGGCATACAATACAGATGGCTAGGGAAAGTGAGGTCAGTGTGCGCCAGGGAGCACCTCAGGTAGCTGGGACCAGCAAGGCTGGAGGCAGGAAAACGTAAGGCTTATCCAGGCAAAGGAACAGTCTGAAGTCATTAGAAACTTAATGATGCAAGGGGGTAATTGGCCGCTTGCCTCGGAGTTGCTGGGTAACTAATGTCGTGGGCATTTTTAGGGGTGCAAGTGATGCTGAAGTGTGAGCTCTGCAGTGTGTGGCTATTTTCTAACCTGCCAGCTCTTTTCTCCATTGACAGAGGTCACAGCGCCCTCCAAGTACCTTGTGCTCCTATGAAGAGGGAGCAGCTTTCTGAAATTTTTAACACCTTTCCAGATGTGCTGAAGAGATCTGTCCTAGAGATGTTGCAGGCGTGATATTTTCATGGCATTTTAAAGTATCACTGGATCCGTCTTCCGACGTTTTAAAGAAATCCCTTAGGGGGGATAAGATGCCTGTTGACTAATTAAACTCAGTAACAAGCCATTTGCTCTCTCCTGGGGCTTACTAAGGTACGGATAGTCCATAAAGGAGTCCCTAAAGGAATTGCATGTCTGTAGAAAAATAGTCAGTCACACTTGCATCATCCACTAAATTCTTCGCTCATTTTATTGATGACAAATGAATTTTTGGAAACTTGGTAGTTTGCCTCCATGCCCATGAGGCTTCTTCTTATGAATTCTGGAGATCCATGGATGGGGAGCTGTGTTCCCCACACATGTGATAGAAAAGCAAGCTGGGATGTGCTTCCCCTGGGGTCCAGGCAGAGGTGCTCAGCCCAGACCCCCCAACTCTCAATTCAGTCCTCTCTGTGACACTATGCAATGTCATCTCTTGAACACCTTAGGCCAAGAACAAAACAAAAACATTTTAAACTCTTCAAAGTTCCATAAAATTTCCACCATCAGTATACATGCAGATGCAAGAATAAAGGCAAAAGGAATTGTCTTGTAAACAGCCACACAAAAGAATTCTAAGTATAGAGGAAAAACAAATGTTGGCATACCTGCATTTGTGCCAGCAATGGAAAGGCCCACACAAATTAGATCAAGTGGTAGACCATCCCTTTTAAGAAAGTACTAGAAACCCAGCCATGGGGTCTGAACTGTGGTTTACACCATGCAAGAGACTGCTCTGCCTTCCAATGCCAACCGCCAGTTGTTGTAAATCTCCAGCTGCCAGGAGACCAGGTGGCCTGCCATGTGTTTCTCAATAAAATTAACAGGATTCATAAAAACCTACCTTGTACAATATTCTTCTTGGATTAACCAAAAAATATGTGTTAACTCCTTGTTTAGGCTGGCTGTGGGCTCAGCCAGTGTCAGCTTGGGGCTGCCAGCCACAGGAGCCACGGAGTCTGGGCCCTACTGGTTCCACGCCCTCGTGGTTCCCTGTTCTCATGGTTCCACGCCCTGGTGGTTCCCTGCCCTCATGGTTCCACGCCCTGGTGGTTCCCTGCCCTCATGGTTCCCACGCCCTGGTGGTTCCCTGCCCTCATGGTTCCACGCCCTGGTGGTTCCCTGCCCTCATGGTTCCATGCCCTGGTGGTTCCCTGCTCTCATGGTTCTATGTCCTCACCATTCCAGCTCAGCAGCTATGTCATAGGGGAAACCCATCCAACTACCGATCTATAAATTTTTCATGTATAATCCCTTAGTGCTCTATTTTTTTCCATTTACTCAAACCTAATTGACAAAGTCATTCAGAGAAACTTTATTAAATATTGCCATTTCGGAAGTAAGAGCTTTTATTTTAAAGGAGTGGTTATGATGTCACTTGGGGATTTTGAAAAACAACTTTGTTTCAAAATCTACGAAGTTAGCCTTATCTCTTGAAGTCTGAGTGTTATCTTATCTCAGTAGAGTGAGTATTCCCAGATGATGCTTTCAGAGGGCAAAAAGCTGGTCAACCCATACACAGGTGACCAAAACAGCAATTCTCTCTAGCCAAACATCATGTGAGGTTTCTCTTACTAAAGCAACATCCAAAGCCCGCTTTGGCCCCTGCGGGTAAAAATCAATTACAACATCAGCATGAAGAGCGGGGTTTCATGATTAATGGAGTCATTCCATACAGAGTATTTAGTAGCATAGCTAAAGTCCTTCATGAGCTGTGAAGCTAGACAAACAAAAGTAGCTTTGGTTTGTGAGTTTTGTTCTTAGTGGGAAAATACCATTCAAAATAATATTTCATGTTTATCTCTTCTCCTGAAAGTTACATGCCAGGTACTGGAGGTGGAGGTGAGAGTTGGGAGAACCAGGCAGAGGCTGGATTGGAAGCTTTCCCATCGCCCATTGGAAGCAATGTCCTCATGACGCTTCACTCCTGGGACGTGGGAGGGTGCGCCGTGATGACACAGGTTTTGTTGTGATGACTGATACTGTTTACATATCTATCCACACTCAGCACTCACCACCACCACCTGCTCCTGCAGGTAATTAGAGAGGAGCCTCGCTTCCCCGGAGCTGTCACTTGTGTGTCTTGGCACGATTTATGTTTTTTCGTTTTCATTAAAGGAACCCACAGATAGTTGCTTTCAAAAACCCAGTCTGCCCTAAGGATAGACATGGTAAGTCTTGGCCAAATTTATGGGAGTTTCATGAACATGCATGAAACAATCAGCTGGGTCTGAATGAGTGAAGTATCTTTGTTACCACAAAGGGCACAGGACTCATTCATTCCTTCCTAAATTCAGGAAATGTGTGTGGGTCCTCCTGTGTCCTGGGCACTGCATGAGGACCCGAAGACGTAAGAGGAGGAGGACTCGGTCTGCCGTTTGTTGCTTCCACTGCCTTCCTCCATCTCCTTTTATGTGAAAAGTGTAGCAGAGGCTGGAGAACCCACAAATGAGATCCACATTCTTCCCTGTCCTGGCGTTGCCAAAGCAACTTGGTTCCCATCTCTTCTCGGCCATCCCCGAGGTTGCCGGACAAGCAGTGGACAAACTGGTGTCCAGGGACAGTCAGGTCAAAAAGTCGCTCAGGTGAGCATATGGAGTAGATTCTGATTCTGGTCCTAGAGGAATTCCACCTCCTTCAGGTAGCCCTCGGGGACTGATAAACCAAACTGGAACCCCGTCTCTTTGACATCATGCTATTCCAACAATCCTGAGTTAAGTGACTTTAGGGAACGGTGCGTGACCATCACTTACACAGGCCCGGGCTCAGACAGGGGGTTATGCAAGTTGTCAGTGCAGGTGGGGCTGTAAACTTGCTATTTATTTTCCCCACTTTTACAAATGTTTGGAAACACGTGAATTCCTCAAACAGTATGCATGTAACCACAGGGTGTGGTTTTAGAAACAAATGGCAGAGGACTATTAAAATAGAAAAGAACTTCACCTTTGGAATGTAAGAACAAAGACCTCTGAAAAATCTATATTAAAAGAGTGACAACCCGCATGTTCTCACCTATAAGTGGGAGCTGAACAATGAGAACACAGGGACATGGGGAGGGGAGCAACACACACTGGGGCCTGTCAGGGTGGGGAGTGAGGGGAGGGAGAACATCGGGATAAATAGCTAATGAATGCTGGGCTTACTACCTAAGTGATGAGGTGAGAGGTGCAGCAAACCACCATGGCACACGTTTACCTATGTAACAAACCTGCACATCCTGCACATGTACCCCGGCACTTAAAAATAAAAATTAATTAAGGAAATAAAAAAAATAAAAATTGAAGAGTAGCGACACAGAAAGGATTCTTTAAGATAACCAAGAAGACTACAATGCAATGTGCTGTCTGGATAAAGTTAAATCTGCCACATTTGCCAATGGTGAAATTGAGCTTATCAGTTGGCTCATTTGATAACCATTCTCCCAGCCCCTCTGGTATGTAGGCGCCTGTGAGGGGCACCAGGCATTCACCTGTGTGTCAAAAGCTTTCTCACGCACGTTCTCAATCCTCTTTTCACCATAATGTCAAACAATAGAGCAAGGCTAAAAACGAAAAAGGCAGACCAGCAAGGAGCCCAGGGTAACCAGAGCTAATGGGACAAGTACACCATGCACAGCAGTGTAGAAGGGGTTTATAGGACCATCTCCATGAATTTGCAGAGCACCCTTGGAGACAGATACTTGTATGGGGTCCACGTTCTAGCAGAGAGAATCAAGTCTCTGTCTGAGAAGCCGAGTCACTTGTGCAGAGCAAGAATTTTAATCTAGGTATGTCTGGTTCCCAAACCCTGTCACCATCTCTGCACCAGAATGTGCCAGAGAGAGAAGCAGGCTGCAGTTGGCAGGCAGAGGAGCCAGCTTCCTGGGGCCGGCAGTCCTTGCTTCCAAAACCAGTCTGTACCCTGGGAAGTCCATTCCAGGGAAGTCCAGAATGAGAGTCTGGGCTTAGCAAGATCCTGGCAGTGCAGATCCAAGATGGTGGGATCCACTGAGGATGGGTCCAGGGGTTCACCCCGCAGCCAGGGACATCCGAGAAACAGTTCCCAAAATGGAATGACACACACTTCATCGGTAGCTCAAAGCCAGAACGGACCCCAGTGGTCCTTATCTTCTCAGGCTGGGCAGTTTCTTGGAACTGAATTAAAACCCAAATGGGTCCCCTCTGTCTGTATGTTTCCTAACTAAGGGAGGGGTTAACAAAAACAGCCATCATCTCCCTGCATCCATTCAATTGCTTATTAGGTGCAAGAGCCTCTGTTAATCCTACTGTGTTGAAAGGGATAGGCCCTGTGCTAGAACCTGGAGATACAGGGGTACTGAAGGTACCTCCTCAAGGAGCACTTTTCCTGGAATATGATGCAATGAGACACTAACCATAGAGAACCTAACAAAACACTGCTGAGTATGCAAATAGATAGGCATTAGCTAGATCAAGTGACTGAAAGTAGGCGCTAAATATAAGAGAAGAACTTATTACAGAAATGACCGTCTTTTACAGCAAAGCAATGCTTTGAGATTACAACTACAGCAGGAAGCTTGGCCTCCCCAGTAAAGGATCTTCACAAAGTCCCTCTGGCCTCTCCTAAAAACAGTACCTCATTTCAGATATTTCAGGATTTAACACCAAAAACGAGCCACATGGTTTGGTTTTTCCAGCCTTTCTAGAAGACTGTCTTTATCCCAGGGATCCAGCTTCTAAGAACAACTTTCTACCCATAAGGCAATCCATACTATTTTTATGCACTGTCAGGAAAAAATAATGAATTGTCAGTTTAACAATCTTATGGTAATCTTTTAAGACCAAATCTAGCTATCAGAAAGAAAGGAGGGGAAAAGTGAGCCTCAAAGTTGAAAAGCTGGTGTAATTTGCTTGATGTTAAACCTACCTTCTCATCTTCCCTTCATTTTGACTGGAACACCAAAGGTTCTATTTTCTACTTTCAGATATCACTCCTGGCATGCAATCTTATTTGGCCTTTGGATGACTTCAGGCTTTGGAGAATTCTGTAAAACAAATCTATATTTCATCAGGTGTATCTGCTCTTGAAACCAACAACTCAATGACTGATGCCCAAACTATAACTTGAAAAAGGGGGAAGAAAGAAGAAAATTCTTTTGTAAATTGGATTTGGAGTTCTGGCAGGGCTATGTTTTACTCTTGGCAGCTGGGCTGACTGTCTCAGAATATCCACTGGTTTCCTGATGTGGAGTCTGCATAGGCGAATTTCTTTATCTGGAGTCACCCCGGATGGTGGCAGTGACTTCAAAACCAGCCAGTCCGAGGTCCACATAAGGGACTTCCAATCAGCTGTGTCCAGTGGGCCAGTCTGGTGGCATTCCTGGAGCTTCAAAATACCCAGAGCTCAAGCCAAGACTGCCAGGAGCGCCTGCTTTTGTACCAAGAACATAGTCACCTTTTCATTTTTTTTTCTTTTCACTTTGTGGTCTGATACTACTTTATAAGTAAAAGCCCATAGAGATAATTATTTTTCTTTCACAGAAAAAAGAAAAGAAAATCCATATACTATTCGCTAGCTCAGTTTTCAGGGCACTGAGCAGGAAATGATCTGACATCGTGAGAGGACCGATTCCAAGGATGTCTCCTGATAAGATGAGGGTTGGTGGACTCTAGCTCTCTCTCTGTAATAATTTTGGAATGTATCTATTGACGATGGAGTGTGAGACAATTGTTTAATCAGTTTAAATCGATCATGTTCCAGCTTTCACAGTGTTTGTTATCACTGCATTAACTCTAAAGGCAGCACAAGGCAACGCAAAGAGCTTAGGGCTTAGAAGCTCTGACTTTTGCTCATTCATTCATTGATTCATTCAACAACTATGCCTTGAGTACTTGGCAAAGAGTCGGCGAGCTGCTGAAAACTGGGTGTACAGGGACAATCTGGTTCCCAGTTCAGGCTCACTCTAGTTGGAGAGAGGTGTGGTAAAAGAAGGCAAGTCAAAGTGCTACAGAGCCCAGAGAGACAAATAACTTCTAAGCATCTGCTGGTAAGAATTACCCTACCTTGAGTGCACAAGGTTACCAGGCACTATGCCATACGCTTTACCCACGCTATCTGATTTAATCCTCAAAGCCAGCCCGTGAAGAAGATACGCGACTATCCCCAAATTATTTTAGATGTGGAAACCAAAGCTCCGAGGTATTAAAATAACTTTTTCAAACTCACACAGAGGGGGAGTCAGAACTAAAACCCAGGTGGACTTGAACCCAAAACTCAATTTCTTTACCATCTTTTTGCACGTTATTTGTTTATCTTAAGACCTCCAAGACCAGCCCTTTCTCTCTGCCTCCTGCAGGTACCTTGGTAGTGGAGTGGGCAGGTAAAAAATAATGCACATATGCAAAGCATTCTTAGGAAACTCCTGAGTCTTCCATACAAGGAAATGCTCAGTGAACTAAGAAAGATTTTGAGACCTTTTAACAACCTTGTAACTTAACTTGAAGATGAGATATGGTTACTTAAAGGTAACTTATTCAACTGATTTTCAGATTCTTTTCTGTAGCCAAGCTTAACCGCTGCAAGATTCCTAAGACCTTAGGATGCCAACCTGGCTCACCTCCTGGGCATTTACGGCAGGGTCTGCCTCTCCAGGGTGTTTGTTAGGAACCGTCTTTCTAAGAAGCTGTTGACAGCCACTCATTGTAATGAGGCTCCACAAGTGTTGGACATCTTCATTTTTTGCAGGTCCCTCTGTCCTACATAATGGCGTCATCACATGAGATTGGAGGCAGCTGAGCTCCACAGTTCACACGGAATTTCCTCCTGCTCTGGCTCTCCTTAGTGGAGCCAGTTGTACAGGCCTAATTGCCTCTCCATTACAAAAAGGTACCTTGCGGATCAGTTGTAATCCATAACCTCAGGCTCTTCCTAGAGTGGTTTTAAATTGGTTCACACACATCTCATATGTCTCCTATGACTTAATTTTTCCATGTTATGTTGAACACATTTTTTGGGATGGGTGGACATGCATTATAATAATTTGCCTGGATGCCACCCAAGCCAGGGATAAATACACATTCACAGAAGAAACCATATCCTCCCCCTCTCCCCCCACAAAAGACTTACTTATTTAACAGTACAGGTAGGTGCCTCTGGAGCAAATGTTTTCCGTTGCACTCAATGCAAGGCACTGTCGTCATGCGACTTTCCCTACAGCCATCTCTTACAACCCTTGAAAGGCATGCTCCATCAGGGTCTCTCTTAAGATCATGTTTCCCAAGATGTTCACCCACAGGGTAGGCCTAAGATGGATTTGCACCATTACTGACCTCTCTATTTGGTTTGCCTCTGGGAAGCTCAGACTTAAGAAAAACCAAACTCAACTCTTAGACTCTGTGGAACCTGAGTCCTCATTCTAACCTGAATGATAATCAGAGTCACCTGGAAAATTTTAAAGAGCACGCATTGTGGGGCCTACCCCAGAGCTCCTACACCAAACGCTCCACGGGTAGACCCTGAGGGATCTCTTTTGTTTCAAAACCTTCTCAGTTGGGTCTCCTTGCTGCCTTGGAGACCCTGCCATGTTCAATATTAGCACAACAGGCTAAACGAGCTCTGCGGGCCAGTTGGAATGTTCTACAATGAAAGGGCTCCATGGTCAAGGACGCTGAAAGGCTTTATTCCAGGACTCCTCAGAGGTTGAGATGTGCCCAGGATGCATTGGGAATTTCCCACAATGCAATGCAGCATTTCTTACACATATTTGTCTACAAAGCACTCTTTCTCAGGGAGTACTGCTAGAAGTTTAACTCAGCGGAAACCCCTTACCCCAAGAACAATCCTAACACTATCCCCTGCAGACTGCAAGCAAGTCACCTGCCCGTGCTGCATCTGTTTTTTCTCTATAAAATAACGTTGACCTGCACCTGTTACTGGCTAGGTGTGTTATGCCTGTGCACAGCAGGCCAATCACTCTGGTGATGGGTTTTGCAAAAGAGAAAAGATTTTATTCACAAGGCTACCATGCGAGGAGATGGGAGAACAAATCTCAAATCTGCCTCCAGGAAAATAGAGCTTAGGGATATTTACAGGATAGAAAGCAGGTGGTCTAAAGTGTGGGGAAAGGTGGCTGGCAGGTAGGAAAAGTGAGGTAATTTGGGCATCTGCACAAGTGGAAATGAGCCACGTGGCTCTTCACATGAGATGTGCAGAAAATGGCCACAGGCCCATAATCAGAGGGTGGAGTTCTTGGCCCTCTGATATCAAAAGGTCACTCTTCCAGCACCCCCGCAGGTGGGCTGGTGGGTTCAAATGGCTTGAACTGGACAAGAGCTGCCCCCTAGTTCCTGAAAAGCAATTTTAAACACCTGTTACTGGTCCGGGTGTGGTGGCTCATGCCTGTAATCCCAGCACTTTGGGAGGCCAAGCCAGGTGGATTACCTGAGGTCGGGAGTTCAAGACCACCGTGGTCAACATGGCAAAATCCCGTCTCTACTAAAATTACAAAAATTAGTCGAGCATGGTGGCATGCACTTGTAATCCCCGCTACTCAGGAGGCTGAGGGAGGAGAATCACTTGAACCCGGGATACGGAGTTTGCAGTGAGCCGAGATCGCATCAGAGATGCTGTGCCCGCTTTCAGCGTCAGAGCCAGGACATCAGGACACAGCAGCACTCCACACATCACTGGCAAAAGTGTAGCAGTTAGCCTTGCAACTCAACAGTGTGCTACCTCCAAAACGTTGAGTGCCAACCACTTGACACGTGTGTGCACATGCACATGCAAACACACACACACACAAACATGCTAAGCACACACATACATATACACACCACACACACAATACACACACCCCTACACAACACACTGCACACACATACATATACACACCACACACACAATACACACACCTCTACACAACACACTGCACACACATACACACCACACACAATACACACACCCACCACACCACACTGCACACACACATACATATACACACAACACAATACACACACACATAAATAACACAAACACAATACATACACCCACCACAACACACTGCACACACACACATACATATACACTCTGCACACACAATACACCCACACACAACACACTACACACACATACACACCACACAATACACACACCCACCACAACACACTGCACATACACACATACATATACACATCACACACACAATACACACACCCACACACAACACACTGCACACACATATACACAACACACACAACACAATGCACACACCCGCACACAACACACTGTACACACACATATATATGCAGACCACACACACAACACAATACACACACCCACAACACACTGCACACACACACATATACACACTACACACACAATACACACACCCAACACAGCAGGCTGCATACACACATATACACACCACACACACAACACAAAACACACACCCACCACAACACACTATACACACACACATATATCTACACACCACACACAATACACACACCCATCACAACATACTGCACACACACAACACACATATACACACCACATACGCAAAATACATATGCTCATCACAACACACTGCACACACACACACATATACATGCCACACACAATACACACACTCCATACACACATATATACACATACGCTCATATGCACACACCCCACACACAGCACAACACACACACTATAGACAGACACCCGATTCACACACCTATACACACACCACACACACAACACAAAATACACACACTATGGACTCACACCCCATACACACACATATACATACACCCCACACACAACACACCACGTACACACAACACAACACACACACGCACATATACACACTCCACATGCAACACAACATACAACACACCACACACACACATATACACCCATAAAATCACCCAAAATGTCAAGCTGTCCTCTCTGGAGGCTGGGTCATTTTTGCCATTCCGTAGTTGTTATTGCTAAAGGAAGTGCTTCCTTATCCTTTCTCGCTTTCGCCACTGTGGGTCAGAAACATGATCTTTATGTTTAATGATGTCACGTGTGCACTACTGGCCACACTCTGGGGTGTTGACTGAGGCTTAACAGCTCGCTTCACAAAGCCGACAAAGCATGAGAGGAGTGTTGACCTTGTGCCGGCTGGTAGGGCAGGGGCACACTGAAGCCATCAGTGCTGCACTTTCGGGAGAACTACTCCAGCCTTCGTGTGAAGGGTGACTTGGATGGACAAGACGAGGTCAGAGACAAACTGACGAGGAGACACGAGAGAGACAGGATGAAGGCGGCAGCCCCGGTGGTCAATGACAGGGAGGACTGGCCTGCGTGGAGAAGGTGAACCCATAAGGAAATTGCTCCAGCTTCCTGGTAAACACAGACCGACTGCATTGCTTATCTCCCATCACCCCTCAGTCGGGGTCCACTCAGGAGATGCCCATTTGAACAAGGAAAGTTTCATACTCAGAATATGACCCATAACAGCAAATAACTGGCTTTCTTTTCCAAAACCTCATGATCGTGGCAGCAGAGAAAATAACAATCAACAACTAGAAACAACACGTACAGAGACGTGTGTGTGTGTATTTGCCTTTTCCTCTCACCTTTTGCTTTCTGTCATCTTCCAAAACCATAATGAAAGAAGGCCAGAGAGGGAGAAACCAGCAAGAAACAAACCTATTTGTGCCACGAAACCCAAGATGTAAACACCTACCAACACCCCACTGGGTGAGATTAAAAGCATTATGATCTCAAAAACCCTGGTCGGATATAAGACCCTATATCTCATCCTCACTTCAAACAGTCAGAAGCTCGCCCCACCTGCCTGGGCAGAAGACCTAAGTTCACCCCATGAGGAAAGCAGACCGGAGGCTCTGGGCTTCGGGACACCAGGCACCGGCGATGGGGGGCACACGGCAAAGCCTAAAAATAGGGCAACTATGTGAAGGATACACGCTGGATGCTGCGGCTCCTCCATGCCCCTCCCAGGCCCCTTCTCAGGTTGATACTTCCAGGGACATTGAACAATTTTTCTCCGGAAAAATAGGCCAGCCCGAGAAGAAGGCCCCTCAACCACTAACATCCAGGGAGACCACAGGGGGACATCTGGAGACCTCAGTGAAATTCACTGGTCACCAAGCCCAGCTCAGCACAGAGCTTCCAGCCGGGCTTCTAGTCCTCATCGTAAAATGTGACTCCATCGCCAAAGATCAGTAGCTATTTGAGAAAAGCCCTAATGTGAAACACAGAAAACAGAAGAAGGAAACAGGAAAAGAGAGGAAGAGGGAAAGCTTGGGTGGCCCAGCGTGAAGCAAGGCCCTGCGTGGAAGGAGGCAGGGCTGACAGTGTGCATACCTGTGTGTAGGGCTAACAGCGCACATGCCTATGTGTAGGGCTGACAGTGTGCACATCTGTGTGTAGGGCTAACAGTGTGTACACCTGTGTGTAGAGTAGGGCTGACAGTGCACACATCTGTGTGTAGTTCTGACAGTGCTCACACCTACATATAGGGTTAACAGCGTGCACTCCTATATGTAGGGCTGACAGTGCACACACCTGTGTGTAGGTCTGACAGTGCCCACACCTATGTGTCCACCTGTTAGTGGACAGAAATGTCCCTGGAGTGGGTTGAATAGTGTCCCCCAAAACAATATGTCCCCTGGAACCTGTGGATGGGGCCTTCACTGGAAAGACTCTTTGCAGATGTAATTAACTCAAATATCTCGAGATGAGACTATCCTGGAATTAGGATGGGCCCTAAATCCAATGACAAGTGCTCTTAGATGAGAAGGGGAGGCAAAATGAGACAGAGGAGGAGGCTGAGTGAAGACAGAGGCAGAGACGGGAGTGATGCATCTTCCAACCCAGGCTTGCCGGCCACACCAGAAGCTGGAGGAGGCAAGGAACCCACCACCACCCCGCAGACCCTCCAGAAGAACCAACCCTGAACACACCTTGACTTCTGGCCCCCAGAAGTGTGACAGCATGAATCTCGGTGGTTGTAATCCAACCAGTTTGTGGCAATTGGTCACGGCGGCTTTAGGAAGCTAATAGAGTCCTCACACTGTCTGAGCAGGAGGCAGGAGGCAGCAGGCAGCATGCCTGGGCACAGGCTTTAGCCCTGACCAGTGGCGTTCAGACTCCAGCTCACAGGCCAGTGCCCTGCGGCCCCTCACCCCCACTCCTGCTTCCCTTCTTTCTGAAATGAATGGCCTCGTCCTTTGCACTAGCACTGCCTACCTGGCTGGGATGGGTTGTGGCGGCACACAATGGCTCTTTCTGTCTCTGGGTTGAATTTTAGGCTGTACATGAGGGGCTAGGCACACAGCAAGTGCTCAGTAATTGCTCCTATTTCATTCATTACTTTGTCTCTGTTAGGCTTGTGTCCCCCCAAAATTCATATTTTGAAGCCCTCACCCCCAGTGTGGCTATATTTGAAGTAGGGCCTCTACGGAATTAATTAAGCTTAACTGAGGGCATAAGGATGGGGCCCTGAACCAATAGGATTTTTGTCCTCTTAGGAGAGACACCAGAGAGCTCATTCTATCTCTCCCTGCACAGAGAGGCCATGTGTGTACACAGTGAGATGGCGGCCACCTCAAAGCCAAGACAGGAGGCCTCAGAATGAAACCTCCCTCGGGGGCACCTTGACCTTGGACTTCCCAGCCTCAGGAACTCTGAGAGATTTCTGGTGTTTAGGCCTCCCAGTCCGTGATGTCTTGTTGCAGCAGCTGAGCTGACTGATACATCATCTGAGCTCTGTTCTCCTGGGGCCTCCTTTGGCCCTAAGCTGAGGATTTGGGAGCAAGTACCCCAGTCAGGGAGTGGGTGAGGCAGGAGAGGGGAGGGGAAAAATCCAATGGAAGGTGTGATCAAGGGGAGACTCAAAGCATAACGCACACCCTGAAGCTGGTCCTGCCTTGTGGCACAGGAGCTGGGCTCTTACACAGCCATACTGCCAGGCACTGACTGTGGGACTCCAAGGCATGTCCAGCCCTCCTTATGTTGAGGGGTCCCAGTACCCAAGGGCAACAGCTTGAGGGGTGCAGGTCAAGTTTTCAGTAACTCAGTGCACGGGCCTTGTGGGGAAGGGCCGGGTAGAGGGCAGGGGATAGAGAGCCGTGGGCACCAGGCACCTCTGCCCGTGCCCAGATTGGGTTTTGCATGTAGAGATGACCCTAATTCCTTGGCTTAAAAAAATTTGGTGTAGGGGAGGGTGCAATATGACGAAGACACTGGGTCTTGCTGACCAGGTGAGACTGTGAGCGATGGAGACACTGGGTCAGGGCTGGCCAGGTGAGACCGTGAACCCAGTATGAAAATGTAGTCTCCGCCTCCTCTGAACCGCCACGGAGACCAGCATAGGCCACTGCGGTGTGTGCCACCAGGCAGGGATGAGGAGAGGAGCTCAGGCTTACAGAGAGTTGCCCCTTCCTTCTGGAAACACACGTCCAGTGGTACCTTCTACAGCAGGGAAGAGCTGAGAGCCATGATAGAATTAAAATTTTGCTTCCCCACAAGTTCTATTTATACTAATCCTGTGATTGTCTCAAGAGGCCCCGCCTTGGGTGCGGGGGTGAAAACTGCTTGCTGCCATTGGTGTCTGGGTCTCAGCCCAGGCTTGTGCTCATGAACAGTGCTCCAGAGGGTCTCCCACCAAGCATCGCATACTCTATGAGCACCGCCTGCAGCAAGGGTGTGGCTCAAGGGTCTGCCTGGGGTCAAGCGATCCTCAAGAACAACCAGAGCTTTCGAAAACCTCCAGGGAAAAAGGGAAACCCATCTGACAGATGTCGTTTTTGGCTAAGCAGGATTCCCAGATAGTCATGAACTCCGAGCTGCTTGTTTGATTGTCCGAGCGGGGAAGACAAGGTCCCTGGCTGCACAGCAAAGCCAGAAGGAGGCTACAGCCATTGACCTGCAGAGCCCAGAGGCCTCTCTGTCCACTTTCCCGACTTCCTGGCTCCAAGCCTCTTTTTCTGTCCTCACTGGTAGTGGCCATGATGACCTTTGATTCCTGCCATCAATAGCTCTTACCGCACAATGATGACAACATCAGTGTTTGTCAACTTCTGAACACCTCTCAGACACCTCCGCTTTTCCTTGAAGTGTCTACCCCCAAAAGTGATGGCATCCCAGGAACTGAGGCCTGCCATCCCCATACCTCATCCCCGGGGCTTGCCCTCCGAGGTTCTGGCCATCGTTGGGCCAGGATAGGAGGACTCCTTTTTAAGCCTTCCCAATTCCCCCAATCTAAAGGATCCTTCCAGAATCCTTCTCACCATGTTGCCCCTTAATGATTTCTCTACGTCTCATTCCCCCTCTCCCCTTCCAGGCTGGGAGCATTTTAACAGGAAAAAAAATCACCCTCGGCCATCTGTGACATTTTTAAGACAAGCACAGAGCAGGGCACACAGTGGTCGCGCACTAAAGCTTGTCCATCAGTGAGTGAACGAACAAACGTGTGGATGGATGAATAAATTAACAAGAACGAGTGTGGAATATGTCGCAGGGAAAGACATTCACCGTCTGCATAGCTGGGCAACGGACGATTTTTCATTTACACTTTGGGCTGCGCATGAAATTAAAATTCTCATTACAGTGTGGCACGAAACACAATTCACACTTTTAACAACGGCCCTGAGAAACGCAACGGTGGGGAAACCTTTAATGCGTTCGTCCTATTGACGAGCCCCGCGTAAAGGAATGAAAAGATTAGCTTCAAACACTTTCATGTGAAAGGCTAAAAGGAAGCAAATCCAGCATGGCACGGTGGAGCCCAAGGCCCTTTCAGACACGCCACCGCCACCGACAGGACATGTTTGCCGCTCGCCCCATGACATGTTGCCGTGCCAACATACATTCTGAGTCACCCAAGCAGATTTAATGCCATTGCCACAATGACTTTCTCTTTGCCTTTTCTTCTGAAAACTGTGAAAGGGAAGATGCCGACCTACCTAGGAAATGATTTTAATCAGTTTAGTTCCGGAAATAACTATGGAAATTCAGATTTTTTCATTCTGCTGCTTCTGAGCATTACAGGGAACAAATGGCTGATGAAGCCACCACTTTTTTTCTCCCAACCTGTCGGGAGAAATGACATGATTGTCAGCCGTTCCGAATCCCACATGGAAAGGTCTGGGTGCATAAGCATATGAAAAGCCAACAAAAATGAAGCTTTTGAAAAATAAGAAAAACTCCAGAATTGGGCATTCCTCTTCCCATGCCATCCAGATAACCATATCCCCCTTCACAGGGGTCCTGTCCCCAGGGCTGTTGATGTCAGAGCTGGAGAAGCCCAGCCCTGAAAAACCTAGACAAAGGCCATGAGCACCGCGCCTGACAGCAATAGACAGGTGAACATGAACCCCTTGTAGACTTCAGACAAACCCGGAACGAATGAGGCACACTAGAGGCGTGATAGATTTCAATACTGTGACATAACTGGACAGCACGTGGGTTAAGCATTGGGCAATATAAAAATGAATCATGCCGATAACAAAACGAAAAAAAGCTTAGAAAAGGGTTAGGAACATTTGCGTGGCCCTACGCAGGTTTCAAAGTACTTCACTCATTCTTCTGTCCATTCACTCAACTGCATTGATTCGCATATATGCTCTCTTTCAATCTCTACAACAATCCTTTAATAAAGGTGGAGAGGTAATTTTGAGGGTGAGGAAACTGAGGAGAAATATTTCTAATGCCATGGAGCTAATAAGAAGCAGAACTGAATCTATCACCCTGGTCTCATGCAGTCCTGTCCACAGCTCTGTCCTGCTAACCGTGTTCTTTCTGGAGCTTTTTAGGCAAAATACTTTAAATCTTAAATTACAATTTAAAGCTTCCCAAGGGTACTTAAAATGTCTACTAATGTTTAATTTGTGTGTTCCTATTTCAGGAGTACATCTTTTATGTAAATGGCAAATGCCCCAAATTCCTGTAGTTGAAACATATTTGGGCACAGTGGAGATGCTGGCGTGAATCCACATTGCATGATTGTCTGTGCTGCCCTGGCCTGTTAGGGTTCTGCTGAGTTGAGGGGCAGGAAATGGAGAAGCCATGGCTCTAAGGACTCAGATGCTTTTCCCCAGGTGCTCTGTGTACCCTCAGTGAACTCCCTAGGCAGTGAATGGCATCCAGAAGTCTTGTGTCTTAATGGTTGGCTTTATCCTAGGCCAGGGTCTCTCCACCTCCACTCAGTTGACATTTGGGACTCAGTAATTGTGTTAGTCTGTTTTCACACTGCTGATAAACACATACCGGAGACTAATTTATAAAGAAAAAGAGGTTTCATGAACTCACAGCTCCACATGTCAGGGGAGGCCTCACAATCATGGTGGAAGGTGAAAGGCATGTCTTACATGGTGGCCGGCAAGAGAGAAGGAGAGCCAAGTGAAAAGGGAAACCCCATATAAAACCATCAGATCTCATGAGACTTATTCACTACCACAAGAACAGTACGGGGGAAACTGCCCTCATGATTGGGAGGAGGCTCCAGGAAACGCCATCAAGAAAGCCAAAGCTGCTTTTCTACCAGCTGCCTCAAGTTATCTCCCACCAGGTCCCTCCCACAACATGTGGGAATTATGGGAGCTAGAGTTCAAGATAAGATTTGGGTGGGGACACCGTCAAGCCATATCAGTAATTCTCTGTCTGGGGGCTCTCCTGTGCACAACTGGCTGTTCAGCAGCATTCTTGGCCTTGACTCACAAGATGACATTAGCATTCCCCACCCCAAGTTGGGACAACTAAAGATATCTCTGGACATTGACAAATGTCTCCTGGGGGTGCAAATTGTCCCCAGTTAGAATGAGTTTGAGACAGATGTGCCTCATCTTTTCACTCACCACCCACAGGCAGATATTCTCTTGCCCGATTTCTCTGAAATGCATTGTTTCTTCTCAAGAAAAATGCAAATTATGCCCAGAGAAAGTGGTCAGAATGGCTGTTGTTCTCTGAGCATGTACTATGTGTGCCCCAGGCACCGTGACATGCATTTTGCAGAGACTGTGCGATCTGATCATTACGATTACCCTATGAATCAAGTACTATCATCGTCCAACATTATAAACAAGGAAGCTAAGTTTAGCAAAGCTAAAACCTGGCCCACATTCCCCAGGATAGTAAACAGTGATGGTTCTTTGGGCTACACACTTGGCAGAGGCCTGAGACTTTGAGAAGGCGGATCTCAACCCTGTGGCCCAGGCTCTCGCTAGGATGGTCCTAAACATGCACATGGAAACTGTGTCCAGGAGTGTGTGTTGGTCACACAGATGGTAGCAAGTCTAGGTGTATGCACAGGTCTGTGTGAGCGTCAGAGACTGCACGAGGTGAGCAAACTCTGCTACTCTGCCAGAAGAGTTTATGGAAGAGTCAGGCCGTCCTCAGCCATCCTCAGGGCAAACGAACCACCATAAATCTCAACCACTTTCGAGTGGTTTAATGTCCTATCAAACCTCATTCAAACTAATCGTGTTCCATATCAAATGTCATTGATATCGAGACTGTGGGATCTTAGCAGTCCCTGCATAAATGCAAACCACCAGGGAGCTTTTCCTGGGAAATCCAAGACTAAGAAACAGGAAGTGGGAAATGTTCTATAGCGGTGGGTCGATCTTTTAAAGCATTTAGCCCACCTGAAACCACTGCCCCTGAAGGACTAAAATCTCAGTGGCATAGGCCCATGCAGAGGTATCCCTGGCACTTAGGGGCAAAAGCTCATACCTCCAGGAGAAAGCTCTGGGAACTTTCTCTGCTGTCTTCCTCAGCCATCCATCCCAACAGTACAGATCCACAGCACGCCACTTTTCCCCAGAGTTCTGAGACACCTGTGCTTACCTAAATGTGATGTCTCCCAGATCCATTACATATATACAGCCAATATCCTCAGAGTAGAAGCCCAGTAAGGCAGAATTTCCACATTCCTAATAAAATAGACCATGCCCCGGAGCTGCTGCCTCCTGGAGAGGCCCCAGGAAGCATCGGCTACAGAAGATTTAAAATGTATTGCTGCTCTGCCCAGATCTGACCACAGATATCAGTGGGGTCCCATCCCAGGTTGCTGCGAGACTCTTGGAAGGACCAAAAGCCATCAGCCAGCAAATAGATCGTATTCCCTTGTGCTCAGATGATTTTCCATCTGGGCTTTTCAGCGGCATTATTTTTCTTCTTCACTTGTGGGGAACCTGGGGTACAATCAAGGTCAGCAGCTCATACGTTGAACCAGATGGAAAGCATTTAACACTGACTCACTGATGACGGGCTGCCATCCGGGCTGCTGGGGGTGGCCTTCCGCTGCCCACCGCCCGCCATGCCTTGGGCATTTCAACCATGAAACAGGAGCAGAGTATTAGAGCCTGGGATGGGAGGAGGCTCCAGGAAGCGCCATCAAGAAAGCCAAAGCTGCTTTTCTCCCAACTCTGAGGTCCCACCCTGTGCCTGGGGCTCCAGACATCCTTCCTGGGGTCCAAGGTCATGGCGCTAACAGCTTTCTTACCACATCAGGAGGCGGGTGTCTTGGAAGATCTGTACAGAGAAAAGGACGCCAAAGAATGACCCTCCAATGGCAGCACTGCAGGCCCTCTAGTCCCTGGATTTGAGGAGAGCCAGGGGTCTCCTGTCCACCCCTCCTCCCTTCAAGGCCCACCCCATATCCAAATACAGCTCAGGATTCTCTCTGCCTCTTCTACACCACAGTCATAGGGTGGGGCTGATTTTTTTTTTTTTTTCAGTATTAACTCCCCTCCCCTCAGGACACTCTGTGTCCCTTGACCCAGCCTCTGTTATCCCACCTGGCTCCAGGGAAGGACCCTGCAGTGGAAATCAAAGGAAAGAGATTTTGAGTCCAGATAACTAGGAATAAACCAGCAAGTCTTCCAGCCCCAGGCAGGACAAAGAAGGGGATTTCTAGAAGGAACAGAAAGAACACAGTCACTGGAGCATTCCCGAGATGGAGCCTGCCCCTGCAGACAGCAGACCCCAGGGACGTCGGAGGGTCTGGGACAGTAGGCCACGGTGCCCTGGGCCCTGTGGGAGATGGAAAATCCCCCCAAAGCAAAAGGTGCCACCTGGTGAGTCCGGGTCCAGTTCAGTGTCACCCTCCCTCCCCACCCCCTCCACTGCAGTGTGGGAGGAGGCAGCTGGGGCAGCCCCCAGGCTGCAGAACAGCAGAAAAACAGAAAAGGGCCAGACCAGTCTCACCATCCAGCGAGGCAAAAGCAGCAGCAAGAGCCACATGAACTGGGGTGGCAGAGGAGCCCTGCAGAAGGATCGACAGGTCCTCTCAGACATCCACGTAGACACACAAGCCTGAAAGACCCTCACCCACCCCAGCACTGTTAGCCCCCGGGAACCTACTGAAATTCTAGGGTAAGCGGGTGGGAGAGACCGCTGGATGGACCGCGATGGCAATTCAGCATAGCAGTTCAGTTGAATGCCTTTTACCGCCCATCTATTGCAAGGCTGAGCATGTGGACTGCAATTGATGCCCTCCTCCCCCTCCCCATTTTGAATTTACTACTGGAAAAGTGTATTTCTGCCTGAACTTGACCCCTAGAAGGCTCACAGCAAACATGCAAGCCATTTTTATCGTCAAGGAACACATATTTGGGTCGAGAACTTTCCCGATTCCATGTTGCCATCCTACCTACTCTTATTTTCCCTTCTTCTTGGTATCTTTGCCTCTTGTATGCTGTTATCCCACTATCTACATCATTGTTATCGGACCAGAATCCCACTGAAGACCAGGTGTATATATGCACCTGAGGATGTACATGTGTATCAAGAACATATTTCCAGTAAGTTACAGCCCTAGTTTCAAAACTCTAAGCTGTGAAGACCTTTGCAGGAAATAGGATTCCCCTGTAGTGCACTCGGTCTATGGGCCCCTGGGGACTGCAGGGCTGCCCATTGTGGGTCTGTGGGGCAAGGACTTGCACAAGGTGCTTTCCAACCTAGCAGCAGCGCCCAAGCCCACAGGTCAGACGAGCATCTGGGTCTGCCTTTGGGTTGGCAAACAGCTCTCTGTGCAGAGAGGTCTTGGCAGAGGTGGAGGTGGTGAGGGCAGTGCTGGGAGCCCAGCCCCTCTCTGAGCCCCTGCCCAGCTGACTCGTCTGTTGAAGTCTCCGCCATTCTTGTGGCTCCAGGTAGAGTTAGAGAGGGCACAGCAGGAACTGGCCATTCTGAGAGCACTCTTTCCAACCACTAGTAAGGACATGCGCAAGCTGGGGATTCGCTCATTGTGTGGCCTCAAGGGGGTAGCTGATTGGCATGGTTTAAATGAAAACTCTCAATAGGAAATATTGCCCCTGGAGGTGTTTACCTTAGCAGATGAGATTTAAGGGGCTGTGCCACTGGCCCTGGAAGCACACAGGTGGTACAGATGAGGACACCAGTCCTGCACCCTGAAACTCTCCTGTCTGGACGGAGAGTTCAGACAGGTTCAGAACAGAGATGGCTCTGGCCAGCAGGAAGTAGAAGCAAGTGGCACCTTCTCTGTGCCAGCCTTCTCTCCTAGCTGGACCCTAGCAATCATCCCCCACACCAAAAACACTATTGCCTGAAAATTTTTTTAAAAACCATGCAGTGTGCTCAAATGATTTTTTCTTTTTATATCATTTCAAACAAGTTAACCTGGTAGCTTTTGCTTTACAGCAGCACTCTTTTTCTGAGCATGTTCATGCAGGTGGCCTGTGTGTGCCATATATATCCATGAATTATTATCATGTGTGCTATTCAAGTGCCAAAACACACTTTGAAAACTGAGACTTGATGCATTTTTAGGAAACAAAAATCTTTATTAAAAAAAAATAACTTACAAATTGAGAGAACTCTCTGAAATGCAACTGTTCGTTGTGTGTGCAGATTTGCAGTCCAGAACAGTTTTTTGTTTATTTTAAAATGTAACTTTACAATACTATTAATGTCACAAACTGCATTACAAAGCAGTTTTCGTTCCATATCCCGTGCCGGTACAAAACACCACACAGATATAAAACTATGGTAAATAAAACATTTCAGCCAAGACTGGCATATATTTATATATTTATATATATTTATATATATATAATTTCAAAACAGCTAACAATTAGTGTCATCCTTAGTCAAAACTGAAGTCACGCTAACCTTAAAACTACAACACTCTGAATATATGTCAGCACTATGCCTCCCAAACAATATTTAAAATATATTTAACTTTCAAATACATTTATAAGGTACACCAATAGTGAGAAAATAAAGTCTTAAAATTTAAATACAAATCACCATATAAAAAATTCAGGAAACACAGAAAATCCTATCTTACAGAAGTCCAGGCAAGCCTGTCCTCAGCTGGCTCTGACGCACAGCACTGCTGTGCGACACAGCTCTGCCTGTTGCAAAACTGTCAGCACGCACAGCCAAATGACAGCTGCGTCATCAAGAGAAAGAGAGAATGGATGCAGGGGGCACGTGCTCCCCTCTTCACTCTACTCAAGCATCAAGACCCGAAGCTACTTTGCTTTGCTCTAGAAAACCATAGGGCCCATCACCCTGTTCAAAAACAAGTAAACCCGTCCCAGAGCCTCTCCAGGGCAGATCATTTGGTGCTCTGCTCCAAGGCAGAGTACTCCGTCTCTGAGACTCTGGAGGCATCGATGAGCTTGGTGAGCCCTGTTTTGGCCGAGTACTTGAAGATGAAGGCCTTCATCAGCTCGTACCTGTAGTTGCGATTGATGAAGCTGTAGAGGACAGGGTTGACGCAGCAGTGCACCAGCGACAGGCACTGTGTGACATGCAGGGCCGTGAAGAGGGCGTGCTCCAGCCGGCAGGTGAAAGGGATGTAGTGCAGGATGGAGAAGATGTCCAGCAGCACCGCCACGTGGTAGGGCAGCCAGCAGACAAGGAAGACCACCACGTAGGAGAAGATGATCTTCCGGCTGCTGTGCTTCTCCTGGTCACTGGACGCCGAGATGGCTCTGGCCAGCAGGAAGTAGAAGACAGCGATAATGGAGAAGGGAACGGCAAAGCCCAAGACAACGGAGACCAGCTCCATGCCGATCAGCCACTCCTTGATGCTGTGCTCGGGGTAGAAGGACCGGCAGTAGGTCTCATTGTTGGACGCAGACGTGACGGTCTTCAGGTAGTAGGTGTCAGGCAGAGACACGCAGAAGGCCAGCAGCCACACCAGGATGCAGACGACACGGCGTACCATCTTCTTCCTGCTGCTGGGGGTGTTGGTGAAGTAGGTGATGGAGAGGTAGCGGTCCACGCTCATGCACGTGAGGAAGAAAATGCTGCCGAAGAGGTTGATGGAGAAGATGAGGTGTGTGACTTTGCACGTGAGCTCGCCCATGGGCCACTGGTTGTGCTGCACGAGACTGACCACCCAGACTGGGATGGTGAGGACAACCCACAGGTCGGCAATGGCCAGGTTCAAGATGTAGCAGTGCGTGTCATAGCCTGTGGTCTTGGCCTGGATATTCACCCAGACCACCACGGAGTTGGCAATCATGCCGATGACGAAGATGAAAATGTAAATGAAGGAGAGCGTGTAGAGCAGGACGCTTTTGTTGGGCATGTTGGGACACATCACCGTGTCCACCACGATGCAGTCGCTGCTGTTG